>NC_000018.10:79961929-80263285 GCF_000001405.40 Homo sapiens
CCCTGGAGACACCGAAAGCCCTTGGGTCTGCGCCTGCCCCCACCACGAGGGAGCCGTCCCCTGAAGCCATGAGCTTGATGCTGGGCTGTCCCTGGAGTAAAGCTTCCGGGAACTCCGTGCCTGCAGAGTAAGGGAAGAGGGGACGTTCTAGAACTTTCTGGAAGGGAGGAAGGAGGGCAGTCTGACTGGCTCCCTGCTCATTTAGCTGTCTGTGGTTAGGAAAGCTGCCTGTGGGCTGATGAGGAACCCTGTCGTGGCCCTGCCGTGGGGCACCACTGCCCATCTCCTCCCGCCTCCAGAGATGAGCGCCCTCTGAAGAGCTTGGAGGGCTGACGCCAGCCCGCTGTGTCTGCCTCCTCTCTACAGGCGTAATTTCCTTTTCCCCTAAGTTAGCTTGAGTGACTTCTGGTTCTTGACACTGAGGTGTGTTTCTGATGGAAACACCACCGGCTTGTACTCCTTGCCCCCCACGCCAGGCAGGCTTTCCTGGGTGCAGGCCGTCCACCCTGTACTGTGGCATCTTCTGGCCCTGCCTCCTCCTCCTCAGCAGCCACCCACACTGGCTTTCCCGAGAAGCCAGAAGCCGCCCGGCAGGATTCCTTAGGCCTGAATGGTCCTGGGAGTGGGCCGGGAGCCACAGCACAGCAGCCACTTTCCACCCACACCGCGTCTTTCTCAGCCGTCCACACTGGCCCCTACAACTAAGTTTGTATCTCAGCCTCTCTCAGAGACAGAAAAAAAGAGGAGGATGCTAAAAGCACACAAAAAGTGGCAAAATGGCCATGCTTTTAAAAAATAATTTTAACAGCTTCATTGAAATGTAATTCACATACCACAAAACCCACCCATTTAAAGGGCATAATTCAACAGTTTTGAGTATATTTACAGGGTTGTGAAACCTTCTTACGATCTAATTTTAGAACATTTTTGTCCCCCCACAAAGAAACCCCAGACCTCCTAAATCTCTCCGCACTCTCCCTCGTCCCTGCAGCCCCCAGCAACAGAAGTCAACTTTCTGTCTCCGTGGCCTTGCCTGTTCCAACTCTCCATGGACTTACCACTCAGGGTCTTCACGCCTGGCCTCTGCCACCCAGCGTTGTTCCGGAGGCCCGCCTGCTTCGTAGCGTGCGTCAGCGCCTCACTCCTTTGTGTGGCTGAGGAATATTCTATCATCTGCATTTTGTCACCTACTTATTGGGGGTGGACATTTGGGTGGTTTCCACCTTTTGAGCATTACTGATGCTGCAGTAGACTTGGTGCACTCGCGCTGTCGTTTCGGTATATGCCTAGGGGTGGCGCGGCTGGGCCCTGTGGAAACTGCTTCACTTCTGAGGACCCACCCGACTTTTTCACAGCACTGCAGCCTTTCACAGCCCACCGGCTGCGTGGGGGGGGCCACAATCCCCACACGCCTCTCGGACTTACGTTTGTCTCTCTGATTCTAGCCATGCTGGTGGGTTGCAGTGGGAGCTCATTGTGGTTTTGGTTTGTGTTTTCCTGATGACTGGTTGTAATGAGAAAAACCGAGAATCACATTTAAAACCTTACCCTAAAGTGGGAGTTGCTGAGAGACCAAAGAATGACTGGGCGGAGTCCAGCTTGGTGAGTAGGTGAGTTTATTAGGACTCACATGTGGGGCACTCGTGGGCAGCAGGACAACTCTAGAGATGAGCGTGCTTCTGTCCCTAAGCTGCTTTTGAGCTAATTTTCTGCCTCTTTGCGCCGTCTGTGTGATGGGCCTGCTCCCTGTGGTGGTTCTCACATCCCCTCCGGGCTGTTTGGGTTCTCAGGGACACCTGCTCCTCGCTGGGCACCGTGGCCTGGACTCACCGCCTGGCCTTTAGGGTTCAGGCCACAGACATCCGCCCTGAAGTAACCTGGCGGGAACCGCCACGCCACAGCGGTGGTGCTGGGTGGCTGTGTTTTATTTATCCGCACATGGAGACACCAGAGCTTCCAGGTGTGGTCACTGGGCTGTGCCCTAGGGATGCTGGGGTGACCAGACATAGCCCTGTTCCCACAGCGCTGCACAGGGGCACAGACATGGCAACAAGACTGGTAACCCTAAAACACCGTCCTGGGAGGTCACCCACAAGGTGACGAGCCACAACCCAGGTGTGAAAGAGGCCAGGGAAGGCCCGGCGTGGTGGCCCAGGCCTGCGGTCCCAGCACTTTGGGAGGCCGAGGCAGGAGGATCACTTGTGCCCAGGAATTCGAGACCAGCCTGGGCAACATAGTAAGATCCCGTCTCTACAAAAAATAAAAAAGATCAGCCGGACCTGGTGGCGCGCGCCCGTGGTCCCAGCTACTGGCCAGGCCGAGGCAGGAGGATCGCTTGGGCCCGGGAAGTCGAGGCTGCGGGGAGCCATAGTCGCCACTGCACCCCAGCCTGGGCCACAGAGCGAGCCCCCGTCTCTGAGAAACGCAGCAGGGGTGACCGAGGCCCATGCACTGCCCGTGCGGAGCGTTTTGGGGGTGTAGGTGGCCGGTGGCGCCCACGGGCCCTCTTGAGTAAGGCGGCTCCGCCCAGGCCGTCCCGGGGCCTCGGCTCGGCTCGGCTCGGGAAGCCGCAGAGCCTGGGGGCGCGGACCAGTCCTCCGAGGCGGCCGCTCGGTGACATTGCGTCCCTGCAGGTGCAGCGCCCGCCTCTCCGCTCCGGCCCCGCCTCCGCCCTGGAACGCAGCGCGCTCCGCCCGAGGCCTCCCGGCGGCCCATACGGGAATCGCGGAGCTTAGCTGTCGCCACCTCGCGCCGGGTCCGCGCGGCCCACGGGACCCCCCACTGACGCCCCCGGCCAGCGGTCCACATGGACGTGCGGGGCCCTGAAGCCCCCGGCGGGCGCGCGCTGCGGGACGCGGTGAGCCCCTCCCCGACTCCTGCTTCTCTCTGGATGGGGGCGCCCCTGCGGTTCTGGGGGGTTTTGAGGTCCTGGGGGGGGAGCCTGCGGTGCTGGGGGTGCCCTGCGGTCTTCGTGGGGCCCTGAGGTCCTGGGGGGCCTGCGATCCTGAGGACTCCTGTGGTCCTGAGGAGTCCTGAGTGCCTGGGAGGCCTGTGGTCCTGGGGGGGCCCCTGAAGACCTGGGGGACCCTGCGGTCCTGGGGGGGCCTGAGGTGCAGGGGGGAGCCCTGCTGTCCTGGGGGACCCTGCGATCCTCGGGGGGCCTGAGGTCCTGGGGGGAGCCCTGCAGTACTGGGGGGCATTGAGGTCGGGGTCAGTGGGGAAACAACTGGGCCAAAGGGTGCCCGAAAGGGGACCCACGAGTGTCGCAGCGCCCAGGGCTCCGGCCTCTTCCGGGAAATCCTCCCGCTCCCCAGGCCTTCCTACTTGCCAAAGAGTTCCAGGCCCACAAGAGGACTGGCTATGAGGAAGAGACCTGGAATCTGAAGGAATGTGTTGGGCGTTGTGCAAACCCTAACGTAAATTTCCTGACAAAGGTAGAAAGCCCTGGCATGGTTCAGAGGTGGGGCCTCCTCCTATGTCGACGGGATTCTAGATTCACACCATGGTACGTGGGGCTCCCTGGGATCTTGAACCCCCAGCTGGGAGAATTTTGTGCTTCTCAGCCTCACTGTTCTCATCTCACCCTGGACACGGTCGCAGGGTGAGGAGTAGATTACACCGTGAATGGTGTGGGACGTCAGTCTGTAAACTACAAAGCAGTATATAAACAGGAAACGCTTTCAGTAGCAATGGTGGTATTTCTGTGTGACCTGGTAAGTAATTTCATAAGAATTCTTGAGGAGCGCAGGGTCACGAGATTTTCTCCTGCATCCTCCTCTGCATGCTTTATGGCCTTGGCTCTGGGCCAAGGTGTGTGATCTCCTGCATTCATGGTGTGTGGTGTGAGGAGGGGGATGGGTCCCTGCCCCGTCTGCACGTGGCCCTCATGATTCCCGCGCTGCTTGTTGAAAAGACTTTCCTTTCCCTCTGAATCCAAAGGCCTTAGCACCTTTGTCAGAAGTCAACAGATTTATGGATGGGTTTATCCCATGATATTTATTTTTTTTATTTTTATTTTTTGAGACGGAGTGTCACTCTGTCGCCCAGGCTGGAGTGCAGTGGCGCGATCTCGGCTCACTGCAAGCTCCGCCTCCCGGGTTCACGCCATTCTCCTGCCTCAGCCTCCCGAGTAGCTGGGACTACAGGCGCCCGCCACTGCACCCAGCTAATTTTTTGTATTTTTAGTAGAGATGGGGTTTCACCTAGTTTGCCAGGATGGTCTCGATCTCCTGACCTCCTGATCCACCCGCCTCGGCCTCCCAAAGTGCTGGGATTACAGGCGTGAGCCACCGCGCCCGGCCTTATCCCATGATATTTAAAATGTCATACGTGGGCCAGGTGTGGTGGCTCATGCCTGTGATCCCAGCACTTTGGGAGGTCAAGGTGGGCAGATCACCTGAGGCCATGAGTTCAAGACCAGCCTGGCCAACATGGTGAAACTCCGTCTCTACTGAAAGTATAAACATTAGCTGGGCCTGGTGGCACATGCTTGTAATCCCAGCTACTTGGAGGCTGAGGTGGGAGAATCACTTGAATCCAGGAGGCGGAGGTTGTAGTGAGCTGAGATCGCGCCATTGCACTCCAGCCTGGGCAACAAAACAAGACTTCATCTCAGAAAAAAAAAAAAACTCATATGCCAACAGTAAATATTTATTCAATTGTCTTACGGTTTATTTTTTCAGGCAGAAAATCTATTTCAGGAACTTCAGGAACATTTTCAAGCTCTGACGGCAACATTAAACCTCAGAAATATCCTTTTCTACCTTTAACAAATGCTGTGATTCTTTCGGACTGGTAGATTATCATGGAGTATCTTTTTGTTGTCTGGTAGTAGTAGGTAATAGTTTACTTAGGATTTCCCAGTATTTACTTCTGTGCTTTTATGTGGCTTCCTGATGTGTTAATTACCCCTCACCTATAGCAAAAGCTGTACCTCCGGCCGGGTGCAGTGGCTCACGCCTGTAATCCCAGCACTTTGGGAGGCCGAGGTGGGCAGATCACGAGGTCAGGAGATGGAGACCATCCTGGCTAACACAGTGAAACCCCGTCTCTACTAAAAATACAAAAAATTAGCCCGGCATGGTGGCGGGCGCCTGTAGTCCCAACTACTCAGGAGGCTGAGGCAGGAGAATGGTGTGAACCCGGGAGGTGGAGCTTGCAGTGAGCCGAGATCGCGCCACTGCACTCCAGCCTGGGTGACAGAGCGAGACTCCGTCTCAAAAAAAAAAAAAAAAAAGCTCTACCTCCTGCTTGACTGGCAACACAGGATGTCTTGTGCAGCAAGTATAAAGGACAAAAACACAAACATATAACACTTCCCAGTGGGGCTTCCATCAGTCCCCAACCGGACAGTGCCCCCTAGACCATAGACCCCACAGAGCATAACACTGAAGCACAGGATCCCAGATACGGCTCTCCCAAACTTTGTTTTGTTTAGTTTAACATCGCCAACTCACTGTTTTGTCTTAGAAACATGAAATCAAACAGAATGAGAATATAATTTTTTTTGGAGTTGGAGCAAATCTAGATAAGGGTCACAATTGCCCCAAGACTTGCCCAATTTGAGCTCATGCTACACAATTAAATATATTCCTTAAATATTGTGTGCTTGCAACTTTTGATTTTGTAAATGGGTTCCCACAGGACAAAAATGAGTCTTAAACATAAAATTAAACCATATGAATGTTAGTTTTTTAGTTAATTTCAGCTGGGTGGTAGTCTATAGTCCCAGCTACTCGAGAGGCTGAGGCAGAAGGATCGCTTGAGCCCAGGAGTTCAGGGCTGCAGTGAGCTGTGATCACACCACTGCACTCCAGCCTGGGGGAAGAGCAAGACCCTACAAACAAAAAAGAGTTAATTCCATTATATTTATTTTTACATACCCAGAGTTTGACTAAAATATACCAGACAATCTCCTGTCCCCAAATCCATGTCCAAGCAAGGGGAGCCACGTTTTCTAAGCTCACAGTTTAAAGGTTAAAGAGACACACTGAGGAAAACTCAGGGAAAGAAGCTGATTTGCATGGACACTAGGCCTGTCGTTGATTCCCTCATTTCAAAAGTTGCATGTGCCATGGGAGGCGGAGTCTCTGAGGACATCCTGGCTGTGCCTCGGCGGCTCTGGACTCCAGCTCTACGCAGAGCGCCTTAACACTGTACTGGAAGAAATGGGAAATCGCATTGAGGACTTACAGAAGAATGTCAAGGACTTAATGGTGCAAGCTGGCATTGAAAATTCTATTAAAGAACAAATGGTAAGGTTATTAGCAAACTATGTCAACCGTTTTCGTATGTTTTGACTGCTTTCATCTTGAAACATACAATCCCATATTTGTTCACTATGGGAATTGCTGCCTCTGTGCTGCATGAAAACTGCTCAGGAATAATAAATTTCCAAATGCTCTCTTCTTTTTTTGAGGTGGAGTCTTGCTCTGTCGCCCAGGCTGGAGTGCAGTGGCATGATCTTGGCTCACTGCAAACTCCACCTCCCGGGTTTAAGCCATTCTCCTGCCTCAGCCTCCCAGGTAGCTGGAACTACAGACATGCACCACCACACCCAGCTAATTTTTGTATTTTAGTACAGACGGGGTTTCACTATGTTGGCCAGGCTGGTCTCCAACTCACAACCTCAGGTGATCCACCCACCTTGGCCTCCCAGTGCTGCAATTACAGGCGTGAGCCACCACGCCCGGCCACACCCAGCTAGTTTTTGTATTTTTAGTAGAGACGGAGTTTCACCTTATTGGCCAGGCTGGTCTCGAACTCCTGACCTCAGGTGATCCACCCGCCTCGGCCTCCCAAAGTGCCTCCTCTGCAGGGCATCTGAGGCCACCCAGTGCAACCCGAACCTCATCAGGGCACTGTAGGCATTCTCACAGCTTCTGATGCTGAATGTAAACATGCCACAAAAGAATGCTAGGATCAGAGGCATGTTTAAAGCCATTAGTAAAAATAACAGAAAAAATGATTCAGAAGCCAGGCGCGGTGGCTCAGCCTGTAATCCCAGCACTTTGGGAGGCCGAGGTGGGCGGATCACGAGGTCAGGAGATCGAGACCATCCTGTGAATGGTGAAAGCCCGTCTCTACTAAAAATACAAAAAAAAAAAAAAAATAGCCGGGTGTGGTGGCGGGCGCCTGTGGTCCCAGCTACTTGGGAGGCTGAGGCGGGAGAATGCCGTGAACCCGGGAGGCAGAGCTTGCAGTGAGCCGAGACTGTGCCACGGCACTCCAGCCTGGGCGACAGAGCGAGACAACATGAAAGAAAAGAAAGGAAAGAAAGAAAGAAAGAAAGAAAGAGGAGAGAGAGGAGAGAGAGGAGAGGAGAGAGAGAGAGGGAGGGAGGGAGGGAGGGAGGGAGGGAGGGAGGGAGAGAGAGAGAGAAAGGAAAGAAAGAAAGAAAGAAAAAGAAAGAAAGAAAGAAAGAAAGAAAGAAAGAAAGAAAGAAAGAAAGAAAGAAAGAAAGAAAAAAAAACGATGCAGAATAGCGCCCACGTTGAGCAGGTCCTCCCACCTGTGCCCACGCGGATGCTTCCCCAGGGATCCTCTGAACCTCCAGGTCAGAAAGCTGGTGAGCCGTGAATTCACCCTGCATTTTAATTTTTGGGTGTGGTCTGTTCAGGTAGGCAGAGATGGCAGTGCTCTGATTCTGCTGGTGGACTGAAGTCCTCATCCCTTCTCTGCGTGCGCTCAGAGCAGAGGCAGTCTTCCCCCAGACACCTAACCAAGTTTCCTGCAGACACACTGGCATCATAACCTTCAGACGTTTATTCTGAAAGTCTTAAAGCAGTATGTCAGTGGCCCCATACTCTGTAGCCTTCTGCCCCTTGCTTTTTTGTTCAGTACTGAGATTCATGTCGACACGTGTCGCTCTAGGTCAGTCGCCAACTGCTGCCTGATAGTCCTCTGATGATTTACTTTATATTTGACTAATATTGTTTCCAAACAATGCTGCACTATTCTTGTCTACTTCTTTGTGTACACGTTGCCAGTTTCTCTAGGGGACTTGGTTATTCTGTACCTAGGGGCTTGTCACCTGCATTAGCTGCCACAAGTAATTTCTGGACTTTGCCTAGAAGCCATCCTGGGGAGATGGGAAATAGAATTCACTAGGTACCCAGAGAGCCACTAGTATATCCAACTTGATTAAAGCACCACAGTGCCACAGACGAGGCAAGGCTTGGCAGCCATGCAGGCCTAGGTTTCAAATTCTTATCCTCTGTTGCTGGCTGTAACCTGGGGAAATCTAAGCTTTAGTTTTCTTCTCTGCCAAATATCTACCTGGTAAGTGGTTGTAAGGATTTAAGAAAATTGCTTGCAAAGCACTTAAGTCAGGGCAAGGTAGACAGCAGGTACATAATGAGATAAACTTGAAATACAGAGTCCAAATCATTATGATTTCAACTGTACTGCAGCCACAAAGCACCAGTGAGAACGTTATTAAAATCAGGGGTGAACATACTTAATACACCTGATAGGAGTTACGGCCTGAACGTTTATGTCTCCCTAAATAGCTGAAGACCTAACTGCAGCATGTCTGTATTTGGAGATGGGGCCTCTACAGAAGTCATTAAGGTTACATCGGTCCTGAGGGTGGGGCCCTCATCCAACAGGATTCGTCTTTCTGAGAAGAGACGCAAGGGGCTCGCCTGCTCTCCCCTCCGTGCCTGCACCAGAGAAGGAGGCCATCGGCAAGCCAAGGAGAGCCCTCCCCAGAAATCACACGGACCAGCACCTTGATCTGGGACTTCCAGAAAACAGAACTGTGAAAAGACAAGTTTCTGTTGTTTAAACCACCCAATCTGAAGTATTTTGTTATGGCAGTCCTGGGCAGACTAATACAATATGCAACACATTTACAATAAATATACAATAAACTTACAAATGTGGAATGTAATTATTTTATCTTTTTCTGGTAACGCCAGTAAAGCTGTTATCCTAAGAGACATAATTCACACATCATCCACCAATTATGCAATTGACAGAATTGTACCATTATCACAATCTTAGGGCACTTTTTCTGTTTATGCCTGCTCGGCTTATGTAAGCACATTTTCATTACATCAAAAATAAAACTGCCCATTAGCTGTCACCTCCTATTTCCCCCTCCCTCCCAGTCTTAAGCAACCACTAATCCGTCTCTATGGATGTGCCTATTCTAGAAATTCCGTATAAATGGAATCACACAATATGTAGTAACTGGCTTTTCACTTACAGTACTTCATTCTGTTTATGACTGAATAATATTCCGTTCTATGGATGGACATTTTGTTTAACCGTTCATCTGTTGATGGACACGTGGGTTTCCACATTTTGGCTTCTGTGTACGAGTTTCTATGTGGACATATGCGTTCAATTCTCCTGGGTATGAAACTGCTGGGTCAAATGGTAACACCATGTTTATCTTTTTTTATTTTTTTGAGACAGGGTCTTGCTCAGTTGCCCAGGCTGGAGTGCAGTGGCACAACCATGGCTTACTGCAGCCTTGACCTCTGGGGCTTAAGTGATCCTCCTGCCTCAGCCCGCCGAGTAGCTGGGCCCACAGGCACGCACCACCATGCCCAGCTAATTGTTCTGTATTTTTTGTAGAGACAGGGTCTCACCAGGTTGCCCAGGCTGGTCGTGAACTCCTGGGCTCAAGCAATCTGCCTGTCTCAGCCTTCCAAAGTGCTGGGATTACAGGCTTGAGACACCTGCACCCGGCCCATGTTTAACTTTTTGACGACCTGCCTGCCTGTGTTACCACTTTGCCACCAGCAGTGTGTGAGGGCTCCAATTTCTCCACATCCTTGCAAACGCTTGTTGCGATCTTTTTGTATCTAGCCGAACTTGTAGGTGTGAAGTGGCGTCTCACTGTGGTTTTGATTTGCACCTTCCTTAACAAGCAGTGATGCTGAGTGTCTCTTCGTGTGCTTCCTGGCCGTCTGTTTCACCTGCTCTGGAGAAATAGCAGGAGTGTAATACTGAGTGTCTGTTACATGCCAGGTACTCGAGGTCACATACACGTTCTCCCTAGCCCCTCATTCCGATACGCTGTTGCACTCTCCTACTTTATACATAGAAAAATCAGCACTTGGGAGATTAAACTGCAGATTTGCATTTGAATTTTAAATCCATTTAAAAAGCACACACTCATTTGTACTGTATGTAAAAAATGTGCTTCATTCTGTAAGTACCCTCCCGTTTCCACAACAGCAATCAATCTCCCGACAGCAGCGAGCCCTGTGCACCACTCCTGTGCCCGGCAGGCACCACGTGCTTCTGCGTCCACATCTGTGTGCAGGGCAGACACTATTATCCGCCTTTACCAAGGAGGAAACAAAGCTCAGAGAAGGTACCCTGCCCAAGGTCACTTGGTGGGGCAGAGCCTGGGTCTGAGGTCAGAGGGCCCACGGTGTGCTCAAGTGCCCCCATCCCTGCCCTTCCTCACTTTCACTTCAGAGCTCGAGTGTGCTGAGACGGGACACGAAGATCCCAACCAACCATCCACACTGCTAGGATGACAGAGGGCAAGAGAAACCTGAGACTGTAATAAGGACATTTTCTTTTCTTTTTTTGAGACGGAGTCTTGCTCTGTTGCCCAGGCTGGAGTGCAGTGGTGTGATCTCGGCTCACTGAAACCTCCACCTCCCGGGTTCAAGCAATTCTCCTGCCTCAGCCTTCCAAGTAGCTGGGATTACAGGCACGCGCCACCATGCCCAGCTAATTTTTGTATTTTTAGTAGAGACGGGATTTCACCATGTTGGCCAGGCTGGTCTCGAACACCTGACTTCGTGATCTGCCCACCTCGGCCTCCCAAAGTGCTGGGATTACAGGTGTGAGCCACCGTGCCTGGCCAATAAGGAAATTTTCTAACTATATGAACTGAAGGGCCATGGCTTCTACAGAAAATATGTTTACATCAAATACAATCTTGGGAAGAATAAAAAATAGCTCTCCTATTCCTTACAGGGAAGGCTATAAACAATATTTTATTGTACTGTTTTTATAACCAGAGTAAACCTTTGGATTCTGTCATGGATTGAATTGTGTAACCGCAAAATTTATATATTGAAGTCCTAACCCCCAGCACCTCAGACTGTGACTTTTGTGGACATAAGATCCTTGCAAATGTAATTAGTTAAGATTAGGCCATGCTGGAGCAGGGTGGGCCCCAATCCAACACAGCTGGTGTCACTACGAAAAGGGGAAATTTTGGACACCAGCACCCACACAGGGAGGACACAGGTGAAGGCAGAGATGGGGCGAAGTATCCACACACCAAGGAACTGAAAATACCACCAGCAGCCCCCAGAAGCCAGGGACAGGCCTGAGCAGATTCCCCTCACGGCCTCAGCAGTGACCCCCCACCCGCGACACCCTGATCTCAGACCCCCGCCTGCAAAGCTGTGAGAGCACACATCTCTGTTAAAGCCCAGCTCGCGGCATATGCTGTCACCGCAGCCCCAGCAAACCAACCCAGTATGCAAAACGCACAGGCTCACAGGATAAACACCTTCGTTTTACTCCAAGGGTAAGAATTAACTTTGACTAGGAAAATCAGTAATCTATTCATTAAGTTTCCTGAGAACAAACAAGTAGGCCTGCTCCTCTCACCACGTGCTTGTTTATTTCGGTGAGTTAAGACCATGTTATCAATTCCATCTCAGAGGTGCTCCAGCCCTGGAGCTTCCTGTATTTTCCAAAGGCTTTAAATAGCTTAAAACGTTTCCATACAAAAAGGGCTCCACGACATTTATCCGCGCAGACTGAGGGCGCCTCAGTAGCGGTACTTGGTGGAGTAGTCCTTGGGGGACACCACCAGGCCGCGGCCTTTGCGGGCCCCGCGGTACACCGTCTCGATGATGTCCACCATCTCCTGCTTGTCCTCCATGGCCCAGTTAATCTTGTTGTTGTTGCCAGTCCCCAAGTCAATCATGATGTGCTTGTTCCTGCAACGAGAAACAAGGGCATCCATTCTCATAGAAGTCTCTTTAAAAAAGAATTCCTTGAAAACAATGCCGTATTTTTCCCACTGTGACAAGCTCTTGTTAACATCACTGAAGAACGCATAAAATCGAGAGTGTATGCCATGATGCAGGAGAATACAGGAAGCAGCTAAATGTGTTTTTAAAGATGCAATGCATTGTCCACCATGCTCTTTCCTGCATTTTTCTGTATTTATTTAGGACAGTTATTCTAAGGGGAAATTAAAAGGTCAAAGGAGGGCAGGCGCAGTGGCTCATGCCTGTAATCCCAACTCTATGGGAGGCTGAGGCAGGAGGATCACTTGAGGCCCGGAGTCCGAGATCAACATGGATAACAAAATGAGACCCCCATCTAATTTGTACTAATTTACCTGATAAAAGCAATGTGTAAGTTTTTCACAGTGCTCTTATGAGCAATGACATAAATTGTATTAAAAGCCCTTCAACTATGAAATGAAGATGACATTTTGCATGTTTATGGTTAGGGAAGTAGATAATTCTTTACTTATCTTTCAAGAGACTAGTTCTTTTCCTCATGAATACTCATGTGCACTTTACAAGATAAGGATATTAACCCTTTGTTGTACTGGCATAAATTTATCCTGGTTTGTTGAAGTTTCTTTTTGAGATGGGGTCTCACTGTCATCTAGGCTAGGGCATAGTGGCAAAATCAACCTCCTGGCCCAAATGATCCTCCCACCTCAGCCCTCTAAGTAACTGGGACCACAGGCACGAGCCACCACACCCAGATAAATTTCTAGTTTTTTGTAAAGATGGGGTGTCCCCATGTTGGCCAGGCTGGTCTCAAACTCATGGCCTCAAGTGATCCTCCCACCTCGGCCTCCCAAAGTGCTGGGATTACAAACGTGAGCCACTGTGCCGGCCTGATTATTTTTCTTAGAGATGCGAGCTATGTTGCTAAGGCCGGACTCAAACCCCTAGCTCCAGTCCCACCCCGGCCTGCAGAGTGGCTGGGCTGCAGGCATACCCCACCTAAAGACTGTTTTTTAACGTTCACTTCCACAAGATCATGCATTTGGCTTCCACCTACTATTCCGTAGAAAGTATTCCCCGTGAAGTCTCTGGTTCAGGAGAGGCAAATCTGATCAGGGTCTGGAGCCCACCTCTGGCCGCCCTCTCATTCTCCATGCTGCAGGCAGGCCCTACATGCAGCATGCACCAAGCTCCTTCTACAATGACTGGGGGCTGCCCGTAGCACCCTCCCTGCAGCCCTATCTGACCTGGGTGTACTTCTTCGGTATTTATATCTCATAAACATCTGCCTCCTTTCACTTCTTCAGAACCCCCTGCTAATTTACTCAGCTGTTTCTATCAGACAACGTCCTATGAGAGTGGGAATCCTGTCTTATCTGACATTAGGCTCCACCACTAGACCACAAACCTGGTGGGGGCTCAAGATATATGTTTGGTGCATAAGTTAACTAAAGTACCGTTTGTCTTAAAATTCTAAATCACAGAAACAGCAGAAGGAAGTTTCATCTCCTTTTCTGAGTACAGCATCAGTCCTAAAAATATCAAACTACACTAAGTAGGCTGCTCCCGCCACCCAAGGCTGTTGCCTGCAGCCTCCTTGCCCCTCACAGCATCTCCAGCCCCAGGCTGGCCTCCACTGCACGCTGTGGGGGGCAGAGACCTAAGACGGCCCTCCCTGTTCTCACCTGAAGAATTCTGAGGGGCAAAATAGAAAAGGCCTCTATTGCCTCGAACAGGCTGTTAACAGAAATATGGACTTCAGGAACACCTGGTGTGGGCTTGGAAGGAAGTGAGGAGTGTGTTACTGGGAAACGGAGAAAAGGGGACCCCCGTTACAGAGTGGCCGAGGAACAGGGACACGGGGTCCGCAGTTATAGGAAGTCAGAGCTCAAAAGCAACACACTCGGGATATTTAGCTGCGGAAACTTCCAAGCAAAGTCTCGGAGGTGCTGCCTTCAAGAGAGGAAAGAGGCAAATTAGTGTAAGAACTGTTAACAAAAGGAATAAATTCTTTAGCCTCTCCGGATGGCCAAAGGGGCTGAAATTCAGAAATGGCTGCTGAACACACAGTAGAGAAAAGGATGAGGGTCAGCCACGCAACCTTTGCTGAAACCTAGGAAAGATGAAAAGTTCACAAGAAATGCAGGGTGCACCTCACAGATCTTCTCAACCTAACAGGAGGCACCTAGGAAGCCAAGGGCGTGTCCAGGGGAGCGTATCCCGACGCCCAGAACCACGGCAGTGCCTCACGCTTTGGCAGCCTGAGGCGGGAGGATGGCTCGAAGCCAGGAGTTCAAGCTTGCTGTGATGGTGCCACTGCACTCCACCCTGGGTGAGAGTGAGACTCCATCTCAATAAATAAATAAAACAAGGTCACTATCCTGGATTATTTGGGCAAGTCTAATCTTATCACAGTCCTCTAAAACCAGAGCATTTTCTCAGGCAGAACTTTTCAGGTCAGAGAACCTGTGTGAAAAGTTCTCAATGTGCCGGCATGCCAGTGCTGGCTTTGAGGGTAACTGGGTCTCTGGCAGCAGAGTGGCCTCAGGTAACAGCAGCAAGGAAGCAGATCTCAGACCCACCACCACGAAGAGCCAGACTCGGCCCACAACCCAAACAAGCCCCTCAAACACTCCAGATAAGCACCCAGCCCATGGTTCAGACCTTGTGAGACCCTGAGCAGGAATCCAGCGGGCCCTGCCTGGATGTCTGACTTACAGAACTGTGAGCTCAGAAAAGCGGGGTGATTTAAGCTGCTCAATGCGTGCTAATTTGTTACAAAGAATACAAAACTAACGCATACCCTATACAACCCACCTGACCTTCCTTACCGAGTAGGAGGCTCCACTTTTGGAGAATGGTCTAATGCTCATGTAGCTAATTCACCAACCTCTATGGTAACTAAACAAGTAAAAACAGCATCAGATGGTGATTTCTTTCCCCATTAAATTTCCATAATGAAATTTTTGAGCTGATAAAATAATCTTGTATTTATAAGCAAAGTAGTTCAGGTGTTCCTCTTGGATATAAAAAAGGACACCGAAGTTGATGATAACATATTTAATAAATTAGGTTTTTGATTTTTTTTTTTGAGACGGAGTTTTGCTCTTGTTGCCTAGGCTGGAGTGCAATGGCATGATCTCGGCTAACTGCAACCTCCACCTCCTGGGTACAAGTGATTCTCCTGCCTCAGCCTCCCAGTAGCTGGGATTACAGGTATGCACCACCACGCCCGGCTAATTTTGTATTTTTAGTAGAGACTCGGTTTCACCATCTTAGCCCAGCTGGTCTCGAACTCCTGACCTTGTGATCCACCCACCTCGGCCTCCCAAAGTGCTGGGATTACAGGCGCTTTGAGCCACTGTGCCCGGCCTAAATTTGTGATTTTACAACATTTTTGATGAACAGATTATAGTTCCAGGTATCTAAAATGTCAGTAACAACATCTTTCATTGAATTACACTTCACCTAGGTTTCCCCGCAAAGTTATTTCAAAAGGGTAATTTGTTACTGAGTAAATGCTAAAACTAGAATTGTTACTTTGAAAATTATTTCAAAGATTCACACTGATTGCCTGGTGATACAAACGATTTTGGGACATGACTGTACAACCAACTTCCTTCAAAATAAAATAATCTAAAGAGATCTTGATTACATTAAGCTTCCAAACTGACAATATTCAATTTCAGTAACAACTTTAAGATAACGTACCTGAAGAAAAACATGACAGTACATGGATCGTATAACTCATACATTTTGTTGAAGTCAGGCACTTCTGTAATATCCACAAGATAAATAACTGCAAAATTTTTAACCTAAAAGGAGATTAAAAAAAAAAACTGAAATAACAGAACACTTTGGCTTTCATTTTATAGAAGCACATTTATAAAAACAAAACCAAGAATTTGTGTGGATCAGGGCAATTTTTGTTTTGTTTTTTTGAGACAGGGTCTCACTCTGTCATCCTAGAGTGCAATGGTGCAATCAGCTCACTGCAGCCTCGACCTCCCAGGCTCAAGCTATCCTCCCACCTCAGCCTCCCAAAGTGCTGGGATTATAGGAGTGAGCCATCACTCCTGGCCAACGGGGCAATTTTCAAACTAATTCTTCAACATTTTTTCCCAGTGCAGCAAACACGCGGGAAGATCATGTGACACTACTGGGACCTTGGCCACCGGCTCCTTCCGCCTCACGCCACCGTTTCCCAGAATAGTTCAGGAATTGGCCGCTGGCTCCTTCCGCCTCACTTTACCATCTCCCAGAATCGCCCAGGAATTAAATTTCACTCAGGTAACAAGTTATCAAAGTCCTGCAGAAAACGTCCACAGACATATTATTTATGCTGATCTAGTAATCATCTGTATGAACCTTTACAAATAGTTACATGCATCTCACAACTGCTCTAAAATATACCTGTAGAATCCTGCCATCATTTCCCCGCAATTAGGTCTGAACACTTGCAAATATTAATAGTACCTCCAATAATACTGCATATAACACATTTTCTGTTATTTTTTCTTTAATTGCAAGTTTATCAGAGATTTAGAAAAGTCAGAAAAATAAAAAGAAAATAAGATCACCTCCAATCCCAACACCTAGGGGTGACTGCTGCTATCTTTTTTCCAGAGACAGGATCTGGTTCTGCTGCCCAGGCTGGAGTGCAGTGGCAAGATCTTGGCTCACTGCAACCTCTGCCTCCTGGGCTCAAGCGATCCTCCCATCTCCGCCTCCCAAGCAGCCGGGACTACAGGCACGTACCATCACACCTGGCTAATTTTTGTATTTTTTGTAGAGACAGGGTTTTGCCATGTTGCCCAGGCTAGTCTTGAACTCCTGGACTCAAGTGATACGCCTGCCTTGGCCTCCCAAAGTGCTGCGATTACAGGCATGAGCCACCACGCCTGGCAATATTTTTACTATATTCTTTCCCCTTTCTTATAGATATATATTTTTTAATTTGTTCATATTATTTCTGTTCAGACATAGCAAAATATGGTCATATTGTGATCGTACTACAATATTTTGTATGCTGCTTTAATTTTGAGCATTCTTTTTTTTTTCTTTTTTTTGAGACGGAGTCTCGATCTGTCGCCTGGTCTGGAGTGCAGTTGCATGATCTTGGCTCACTGCAACCTCCACCTCCCAGGTTCAAGCTATTCTCCAGCCTCAAACTCTCGTGTAGCTGGGATTACAGGTGTGTGCCACCACGTCTGGCTAATTTTTGTATTTTTAGTAGAGACGAGGTTTCACCATATTGGCCAGGCTGATCTCGAACTCCTGACCTCAGGTGATCCACCCACCTCGGCCTCCCAAAGTGCTGGGATTACAGGCGTGAGCCACAGCGCCGGCCAATTAAGAGCATTCTTTTACATACATTACCTACTTTCCAAAAATGGCAAACTTCTATGGCTGCGTGATTCATCAAATGGCTATGCCATTACTTTACCATTTGATATAGTTTGGATATTTGTCCCTGCCCAAATCTCAGGTTGAAACGTAACTCCCAGCGTTGCAGGTGAGGCCTGGTGGGAGGCGACTGGATCATGGGATGAATTTCTCATCAATGGTTGAGCGTCATCCTCTTGGTGCTGTCCTCGGGGTAGTGAGCTGAGGTTGTTCCAAGTGTGTGACACTCCGCCCCAGCTTTCACCGTGCGACGTGCCTGTTCCCCTTTGCCTTCTGCCATGATTGGAAGGTCCTGAGGCCTCCCCAGAAGCAAATGCCAGTACCACACTTCCTGTACAGCCTGCAGAACTGTGAGCCAATTAAACTTCTTTTCTCATAAGTTACCCGGTCTCATGTATTTCTTTATAGCAATGCGAGAAGAGCCTCCTACACCATTCTTCTGTTACTCTCTGATTGTTCATTAATATTATTCATCTGTGAACATTTTCCCCCTTAAATTTGTATACATACTTCATTATTTCCTAAAGACAAATTCCTAAAATTCTGGAACAAAGGATATGACATTTTAAAGGCTCTTTATAAATACTAACTCAATGCCCTTTAGAAGCTTGTAGCCACTTACATGTGTTATGAGTTAAACTGTGTCCCCAAAACAGTTGAAGTCCTAAACCCCCAAAGTGACAGCGCAGCTTATTTGGAAACGGTACTGCAGGCGTAATCAGTTAAGGTAAGATGAGGTCATACTGGAGTAGGTGGGCCCCTAATCTGGTGTGACTGGTGTCCTTAGAGGAAAATGGCCACATAAAGACACAGGGACAGGAGGCTCTGGGGGCATCGAGGACTGCAGAGGCGTCTACAAGCCTAGGAGCTCCAAGAGGCTGCTGGCAGCACCAGAAGCTGGGAGAAGCATGAGGACTCTCCTTGGCAGGTTTCAGAGAGAGCCCAGCCTGGAAAACACCTCGATTCTGGACTTCTGGTATCCAGAATTGTGAGAGAAGTTTCTGTTGTTTTAAGCCCCTCAGCTTGCAGCATCCTCTCACAGCAGTCACGGGAAATCAATGGGATATGCACAACATTTCTTCATATAAAACTAAATCTTTACAACCTGACTGTAACTTACAGGTGAAATAATTATATCTGGGATTTCCATGAAACACACAGCCTAAAAAAATGAGGGGTTAGGTAACACAAGACCAGCAAAATACCAGCAATTGTTGAAGTGGAACAATAGGAACAGACGGGTTCACTATATTCTCTACTTTGGGAAATATTTTTTAAAAATTAAGATGGAAATGTAAACCATGGAGCAGGGTGGGGAGAGGGGGAGGGGGAAAGCCCACACTTCACAAAGACTCCACTGCCCTTCAGCTTTGGTGAAAAAAACCGTATCAGAACTCCAGCACAGGGCCCACTGCAGGAGCGTGCGCCTCGCCATCCATGTGCTTTCAAAACCCCAAGGTGAGCACACGGCCCACTGCAGGAGCATGCAACTCGCCATCCATGTGCTTTCAAAACCCCAAAGTGAGCACACGGCCCACTGCAGGGGCATGCGACTCCCCGTCCATGTGCTTTCAAAACCCCAAAGTGATGTTTGCATTAGACATGGGCCCCTCTGAGTCCGGTCACTCTGACAACGCCCATTTCTGAAACTCTAGTTTCCCGCAGCGTCCACAGTGAGAATGTGTTGGTCAGGTTGCCAGAATCCAGCTTTATTTTCATGGTAAACTAATAAACTGTCTTTTGATTTGACTTAAACACAAAATACTTCCCTACAGAAGCTAAAATAAATACACCAACAAAATAAATGGTCACAGGCATTAGGAAAGTCAAAATAATATTTCATTATTCTCCCTTCAATGCCTTGCTCAGGGACAGATACAATAAATACCAGTAACATCATATTAACTTACGGAATCACCATGCAAATAATAAATTACTTGAAATATCATTTGGACAGGGTTGTAAATTGTGTACTTAAGAAAAAAGAAAGGTCACAACAAATTTTTACCATCCCTTTTCTTGCACGTAAAAAATAGTAAATATTATAAGCATCTGTGGTTTTTAATAATTTGTAGGCATTTAATAAACAGAGTGCAGGGCCAGGTGAGGTGGCTCACGCCTGTAATCCCAGCACTTTGGGAGGCTGAGGCGGGCGGATCACTTGAGGTCAGGAGTTCGAGACCAACCTGGCCAACGTGGTGCAACCCTGTCTCTACTAAAAACACAAAAATTAGCTGGGTGTGGCGGTGCACGCCTGTAATCCCAGCTACTTGGGAGGCTGAGGCAGGAGAATCACCTGAACCCAGGATGTGGAGATTGCAGTGAGCTGAGACCGTGCCACTGCACTCCAGCCTGAAGGACAAAGCGAGACTCCTTCTCAAACTAACAACAACAACAATAATCAGAGGGCAACTGAGTAACTGTAACTTTAAAGATACAAATGTGACTCTCCTTTTGCCTTCAAGCTCCGGCCCACTGCATCTAACCCGGAGAATTCTAACAGAGGCAAACTACCACATAAAGCTCACGTGCCACGAGAACGTGAACATCCTCTGATTTCACCACAGACCAGTTTCATGAACACTTGAGAATCCACCATGTATGAGGCACTTTTCACTCATGGATTCTAATTCTTTCAACACCTCTAAATAGATGTCGCCGATGTTTTAGGTGATGGAATTCAGGCTCAGAAAGGTCACGTGAGTGATGCCCAGCCGCACGGGGAAGGGGCAGAGCTGAGATGCACTCTGTCTGGCTCCAAAGCCTGAACTCTGGATGACAGAATCAGCCTAACCCACAGGAGACGGGGCGGCAGTGTGGTCACGGGGTGGCAGGGAAATATCTGTCCTTAGAGAATTCCATGTGTAAAGAGAAAGACACAAGACCAGCAGCCAGGTCTCAGATCCAGCACCAGGGCAAGGAAGCAGAAGTGCAGGACAGTGGGGACCGATGCGCAGGTGGACTGGCCCACAGAGGACCTTTTCCACTTGGGATTCTGGGCCATGTATTTATTTCTAAGAAAGCAGGAATTGAAGAGTTCAGTTTTGTATATACTGAGTTTGAGAAAACTAAGGGACATCCAGAGAAAAAGGCCCTCCAGGTAGCGACTGGCCTGGAGCTGTACAATGGAGTCTGGGCTGGAGAGAGCTACCTTACTGCCGCCACCTACATCCAGCAGTGATCCCAGCCAGGGTGGCAGGTGCCAGGCTTGGGAGTGAGTGCAGAAGCCCACTGTAGAGTTGGGGGCAGGAAAGGGATGCCAAGGAGGCAGTCTCAGAAACCAAGGCAGGAGACTCCGGGGAGCTGTGCCGAGTGCCCCAGAGAGGTTACCAGAAAGGACGATATGGGAACGGGGACACTGCAGGGGCTGAAGGACTGAGGAACAGAGGACTTCAGTGTGGACAACTTTCAAAAGCCGTGGCTATGGAGAGAGAGGGAAGTTACTGTGGGACTTGGGAGTTCAGATAGGAGAGGCTGAAAGAGGCAGGCAGAGGGGAGCTCCCCAGCCTCCCACCACCCCATTTTCTTGGTGAAATGGCATCTGTGGGGTGACTGGAGGAGCATGAGCTGAGGGCAAACATCAGCAAACATCCAGCAGCATCTGCTGGTGGCGACATTTCCACGGTAACCAAGCGCTTGGAGGAGGAGCTGGGTGAGTGCAGCCACACTGCTCTGCCAAGTCATCCTGTGACTTCCTCAACAAAGGCAGCTTTTTCTTTTCTTTTTTAGATGGGATCTCACTTTGTCACCCAGGCTGGAGCAGAGTGGCGTGATCTCGGCTCACTGCAACCTCTGTTTCCCAGCCTCAAGAGATCCTCCCACCTCAGCCTCCCGAGTAGCTGGGATTACAAGCGCCCACCACCACATCTGGCTAAGTTTTGTATTTTTAGTAGAGATGGGGTTTCAACATGTTGGCCAAGCTGGTCTCGAACTCTTGACCTCAGATGATTCGCCTGCCTCGGCTTCCCAAACTGCTGGAATTACAGGTTTAAGCCACGGCGCTGGCCTCAAATTGTTTTTAAATTCTTTGATTGCCTTGAATTGTAAGTATCTTTTCCAACTCTGTTGCCTATACACCTCATAAGCATGCTTTTTCTTTAGGCAAGTCAGCAATTAAAGTGCTCAGCAGTTCTTCCGCATGCCTCTAAGTCCACCTGCCAAGTTACAATGACATAACTCTGCAAAACACATGACCAAACTGGCACATGATACCAACCACTGTTCTACACTTTTGTATGGAGTCCCTCAACCAGCTAAGAAAACACCTAAAATTCCGGAAAAAGTGTTCTGGGCAGTTGATTAGCACAACAAATTTTTGAAGTGTTTATTTTTACATTTTTAGGTAATTCATGTCAAAGCCATAAAAAAAACTGAAAAACTTGACTTTCTAAAATTAATGTTTGCCTTAATCAGCTCTCACAATAACTTGCAAACTTAGTAATGTGAGAGAAGTAATCACAGTAATAACAGTGGCATTACTGCCCATGTGACAGGAGTGCTCTAGAAACCTTTATTAATCCCACCACAACCCTATGAGTGAGGCACAAGTATGCCCTTTTTACAGGTAAGATGACCCACGGGGCCAAGTTCGTAACGCTCATGCAGTTATGAAGTGCCAAGAGCCTAGCTAGAGTCTGCACCCTCAACCGCCGCTCAACACCACTCCTCATACCTTGTGGCTAGAGTCTGCACCCTCAACCGCCACTCAACACCACCCCTCATACCTTGTGGCTAGAGTCTGCACCCTCAACCACGGCTCAACATCACCCCTCATACCTTGTGGCTAGCTACAAGGCTGTTTTTTTTCCAGAGACAAAAATCCAGAGGAAACACCAAAAATATCCATTCTGTTTGTTTCTACAAGATTCCTCATCTAGCTGAGTGTTGACTCTCACTGGTTCAGTAGGCGTTCTGTGATCCTTAATGTGATACTTAAGATACACCCCTTAATATGGCTCCTATGAAGTTCCATAAATATATATCTGCCTTACACACAATTTATTAGAATGTACTATCATGGGCCAGGCATGGTGGCTCACACTTGTAATCCCAGAATTTTGGGAGGCTGAGGTGACTGGCTCACTTGAGGACAGGAGTTTGAGACCAGCCGGCCAATATGGCAAAACCACATCTCTACCAAAAATACAAAAATTAGCAGGGTGTGGTGGTGGTGCAGGCCTGTAGTCCCAGCTACTCAGGAGGCTGAGGTTGCAGTGAGCCAAGATCGTGCCACTGCACTCTAGCCTGGACAACACAAGAAGACTCTTGTCTCAAACAAACAAAAAAAATGTACTATCATGAGTCAATAATATTACTGAGGAATTTTTTTGTTTTGTTTTTAGAGATGGGGTCTCGCTCTATCACCCAGGGTGGAGTGCAACGGCACGATGATAGCTTACTGCAGCCTTGACCTCCTGAGCTCATACTCTGTCTTAGCCTCCTGAGTAGTGGGGTTACAGGCACATGCTACAATGCCCAGCTCACTGAGACTATTTTAAACTCTATTTGCGTGGGCTTTTTAACACAAAAAATAAACGTCCCATTCAGTCTTCTCACCCATCATGGGATTTAGGTAACAGTGAACCCCAAGCACTGCTGTGAGTGTTCCTACAAAATGGAAAGACAGCTCAAAGGCACATGAAATTGTCCCCTCTGAGAGCGTTCCTACAAAATAGAAAGACAGCTCAAAGGCACATGAAATTGTCTCCTGTGACGGCGTTCCCACAAAATGGAAAGACAGCTCAAAGGTCCATGAAATTGTCTCCTGTGACGGTGTTCCTACAAAATGGAAAGATAGCTCAAAGGTACATGAAATTGTCTCCTGTGATGGTGTTCCTACAAAATGGAAAGACAGCTCAAAGGTCCATGAAATTGTCTCCTGTGACAGTGTTCCTACAAAATGGAAAGACAGCTCGTACATGAAATTGTCTCGCTTCAAAACTGCATAAAATCAGCTGCTAAATAGAAAACTTTTTTTTTTTGAGACAGGGTCTCGCTCTGTCACCCAGGCTGGCATGCAGTGGCGCGATCACGGCTTGTCACAGCCTTGAACTCCTGGACTCATATCCTCCCACCTCGGCCTACCAAGTAGTTGGGACCACAGGCACATGCCACAACGCCTAGCTAATGTTTGCATTTTTTGTACAGACAAGGTTTCACCATGTTGCCCGGGCTGTTCTCGAACTCCTGGGCTCAAGGGAACCACCCACCTCGGCCTCCCAAAATGCTGGGACCACAGGCGTGAGACACAGTGCCCAGATGAAAACTTTATTTATTATTATCACTTTATCAAATGAATTGCCCCACATTTATTAGCAAACTCTAGGCATCTGTGAAATCTTTTAAGCATAGCTCTGTTTCCAAACTGACTTTATTCCTGAAGTTTACAGCTCAACTCTAATCCAGCATGAAGTCAAGTGGGCCCTGTGGAAGCAGCAAATCAATACAACACATCTAGGAAAAATCATATCAAGTCCAGCCTGAACATTTGCAACTGTTACTCACTTTAAAACAGCTGGAATATCCAGACAGAACTCGGAACAAGGTAAGGAAGAGTCCCCATTATCTGCCATTTCTGCACAGGGAAATTTTTAAATAGTTATATTGTTCTTTATACTAAAACCTTATATTTCAAAAATTTCTGTTGAGCTTCTCCAAAAAAGGGCTTCCAGAATTAGGAAGTCATATTTGCCCATAGACTAAGAAGAAAATAAAACATGAATATTCTTTTAATGCATTTCAGGTGTGCACTTTTTTTTTTTTTGGAGACAGAGTCTCACTCCTGTTGCCCAGGCTGGAGTTCAGTGGTGTAATCATGGCTCACTGCAGTCTTGACTTCCCGGGCTCAGGTGATTCTCCCACCTCAGCCTCCCAAGTAGCTGGGACTACAGGCACGTGCCACCACGCCCGGCATTTGTACTTTTAGTAGAGAAGGGGTTTCACCATATTGTCCAGGCTGGTCTCGAATCCCTGGGCTCAAGTGATCGCCTACGCTGGCCTCCCAAAGTGCTGGGATTACAGACATGAACTACCGCGCCTGGCCTAGGTTTGCCCTTTTAATAACTATATTATAATATTCGCATTAAAAGTTTATTAATAAAGCTATCCAAATTTTTGGACAAAAACAAAAATCAGACTATTTTAAAAGACCAAAAAAAATACCCCAAAGTGAGCCCATTTCAACTGTCCTTAAGTGTGTGTCCACTATGTGTGTCCACTAGTGATACAGTGATTCATTCTGTAATAACAAAGAAATTGGACATAAAGGAGTTGGAAAAGAGCAAATCTGGCAAAGACCCTAAACACTTACATTAACACATAAAATCTGTTTTCTAGCTAAGAGCATCTTGCTGAGCTGTGCTCGGATGTGATGAGACAAAGGCCCTCACATCTCCAGCCATCCTAGCCTCGAGCTGCCGGCAGCAGGATCTGAACACCACCCGATGTTTATGCCACCACCTGCAATGTAGAACAGTGAAAGATTCTAGAATTCATAACTCAAAGTCAATACAGCAGTGATTTA
The DNA here is from genome assembly GCF_000001405.40 of Homo sapiens. Classification (NCBI taxonomy): domain Eukaryota; kingdom Metazoa; phylum Chordata; class Mammalia; order Primates; family Hominidae; genus Homo; species Homo sapiens. Next base: position 79,986,815 of record NC_000018.10, read on the forward strand.
CTTATTGGGAAACTGCTCTTAGTCAATTCTTCGCTGGATTTCCAGTATCTGCCCTTGTCCACTACAGCTCAAGCAATGACAAACTGATGTGTGGCACTGCCTCTCTCATCATCTCTAATCCCCGGCTGGCAGAACCCCCAGCGTGTGAGAGAACTGCTGCTCTCCCGAATTCCCTAGGTCCCTCCTCAAGTCCTCAGTGTCCAGGAGGAAGAGGCTGCGAGATGGCTGGTACTAAAGCTACTCCACCTCCATCCCTGACCCCCATGGAAGGTGGTTCAAGGTCAAGTCGCATCAGAATTCCCTGAGGGGCTTCTTTAAAAAGCCATTGCTGGACTTCACCCCATACCCATAGAATCAGAATCACAGATGCATTCTAGTAAGCACTCCAAGGGAGTCTTGTAATAACTAAAATATAACAACAGTTCCTAACTTCATGCCTCTCCTACTAAATAAGAAATAGCAAAAATTAATAAATGGCAGGCCAGATAGTCTTTCCTTTCCTGAATATAAAATATGTCCTTACATCTGTTACTCTTTACTCAAAGGAGTTATTTTAACCCAGGCCTACTTTTTAGCATCTGTGAAAGAAAAGATAGCTTCAATGTTACTTTTACTCTTCATTAAAAGGAATAACCTCTCAAATTACTTATGGAAAATTAATATGGCAAATATTTTATTAACACCCTAGTATTTGTGCCCTTTGCCCTATTGCTACAGCTGCAAAACCTCAATAAAAGTCATCCTAAAATTGCTATGAGGAACCACAGAAAAAGAATGAAATCTGGTTATAAAATAGTGTCCTACAACTTTTATTGTCAGCAAGTAAATGCCAAGACCACTCAGTGTACTAATATTAGAAATTCAGAGAACTAATTCTAACAAAGCATATTTCTATTTTCTCCTGATGTTTACTGCACCTCAATCACTGTAAGCTGTAAACCACATGACTCACAAAAAGCGTGGTGGGATAAAAAAACACACCCACAGAAAAGCAGGATTTCTCATGCTATGAACATGAAAGTCCTGCTTTATGCATACAACGAATAACTCAGGTACCAAAAAAAGACGTCCTTTTAAATTAAGGATCCGCGCTCTCAATAAAACCTGCAAGTGCATTTTGTTCACTGAACTATAAGTTTGGGAAAAACGCCTTATCAACAGAAATAATTAATTCATTTGAGAGGAGGGGGATCATAAACCCTTTAAAATATGAAAAACTACAAGAGCTCCCCGCAGAAAAAGGCGTGAAACGCCGGCACAGTCCCCGAGAGCGCTCGACCGCAGCGAGGGGAGGAATCGCCTGAACGACGGAGCCGCGGCCCCTCCTCGGGGAACAGCTCGCGCCCCCAGGCGACGCCGGCAGGGCAGAGGCGCGGGGCAGATGCGGAAGCACAGCCCGCAGAGCGGGAGAGTCCGGCGCGCTACCTTCTCGGCGATGCTGTACAGGACCTCGTCCATCTTCATGCACGTAGGATCCCAGTCGTGGCCGAAGCGGATGACGACCACGCGGTCCTCCTCCGAGAGGATGGCCTGGTCCACCTGCCAGCCGTTGTGCAGGTGCGGGAGCATGTACGACATGGCGGCCCGCGCGCTCGCCGCCGCCCAAGGCGGGGCGCCAGGGAGGGCCCAGCGAGGTGGGCTCAGCCGGCCCCTCACTCCCCGGCCCCCGCCGCCCCCGGGCCCACGGACGAAATCCGGTCCCGCCCGCACACGCAAACTCCGCTGGGACTGCCACCCGGCAGAACGTCTGGGCGCGCACGCACCGACGCCGTGCGTGCTGACGGCATGCGCGCGCGCTAGCGCCGTGCGTGCTGACGGCATGTGCGTATAGGCGCCGCGCGAACGTGTAGTTGGCCGGGTGGAGCGGCGGCGACCTGGGCACCGTGGAGCGCCGTTGGTTCCGTCATAGCAGCTGTCGGAGTGGGGGTTCCTCCCCAGCGTCCAGGCGGCCTGGTGGTCCTGAGAAGCCCCGGGCTCGCCGTGCCCTGCCCCCACGCTCCCGCCCCGAGGCCGCCCGCCGCCGCCCGGGCTGTCCTCCAGCCACGGATGGGGACGTCCAGAAAGGCCCGGAATGCCCGGCACTGCGGCTCGTTTTCTTCCTTTCTGGTGCTTGTTTCTGTGTGTTACTAAGACAGTTCATGTGTGTCATTTGTGAAACTTGATCATAAAAATGTGTCGTTGTTGCCATACCCAACCACAGCAGAGTCGAGCAGCGGGGTAGGGAGGAAGCACTGGGCAGGCCGTCCTTGAGGAATGTCACCATCAGGCCGGCTGCTGAGCTGCCTGTTGTAACCTGAAACCAGGTTTTTTAATTTGTCTTTTTATAAAGAAAAAAAATTTTTTTTTGAGACGTGCAGTGACGTGATCTTGGCCCACTGCAGCCTCCGCCTCCCGGGGTCAAGCGCTTCTCCTGCCTCCGCCTCCCCATAAGCTGGGACTACAAGGCGCCAGCCCGGCTAGTGTTTTTTTGTACTTAGTAGAGACGGGGTTTAACCATGTTGGCCAGGCTGGTCTTGAACTCCTGACCTCAAGTGATCTGCCCGCCTCGGCCTCCCAAAGCGCTGAAATTACAGGAAGAAGCCACCGCGCCCGACCTAAAGCCAGTTTTATTCCATAGCTTCAGCATAACTTCCACCTCCAGGACTGATCTGGCCCCCTGGCTTCGCTCACCAGTCAGAGCTCCCCAAACCCTTACTAGTGCCAGTGAACTTTCTCAAAGAGAAATAAGTTAATATTTCTCTTTTTAAAATAAAACCTCTAACCTCTGTTCTTCTGAGAGAGCACTTTGGGTTCATGCTGGAGACTCCCTGGTTTGCAAACTGATATTGATAGTAAAACTCTTGTCTACTATCTAGCTATCCTGGTGGTCCTTTAGATGACAAATTTAAAACAAATCACGCCCGGGCGCGGTGGCTCACGCCTGTAATCCCAGCACTTTGGGAGGCCGAGGCCGGCGGATCGCCTATGGTCGGGAGTTCAAGACCAGTCTGGCCAACATGGTGAAACCCCGTCTCTACTAAAAATACAAAAAATTACCCGGGCATGGTGGCGCCCGCCTATAATCCCAGCTACTAGGGAGGCTGAGGCAGGAGAATCGCTTGAACCCAGGGGGTGGAGGTTGCAGTGAGCTGAGATCGCACCACTTCACTCCAGCCTGGGTGACAGAGTGAGACTCCATCTCAAAAACAACAACAAATCACTATGCAGATGCTGTGGTGTCTCTCAGATGGGCTGTGGCATGGTGAGAACTACAGTCTGAAGAGCCTGCTGGCATGGGGATTGAAATGGGTTCCATGTTTGGTTTCCTCTGGGACACAGCACCATAAGGTGCTTTGATAATATGCACCCACAATTTAAATACTAGAATCACAAGTGCAGCTCACTGCCAGATTAAGCTTTTTACATAATACAGAATATTTCCCAATTATATACGAAATGCTTTATTGTAATGAAACAATTTCAGGTTGGTAGGATATTAGAGATCATCTAAATCTCTTTCATTTTATAATTGAGTAAAGCAGAGGCACAGAATATAAGCATAGTGGTTAACAGTGAGGGTTTTAGTTACATAAAGGCGTGTTCAGGTTCATCTGTGCCTTGCATAAGTTATCTCAACAAACTTCAGTTTCCTCATCCATGAGATGGGATGATAAAACAAAATCTCCTGTACTTCATTGGCACCAGGTACACACTGGAGAAATCTGAGCCCTTACTAAGGTCAGGCTATTGCCTTCTAAAAAATTCCTTACCGTCATTTTGGTAGTCACTCATTTCAGATACAAACACAGTTGCTTAACACATCACAAGCATTTTATTCACAGGAGAGTTGTTCCAAGCTAAGGCATAAGACTCAAATGTCCCCAAATAATTTATTGAAACTCATTTTTTATTGTGTTACTTATAACAAGATTTATCGCCTTAATTTTTAAGGACATTAAGTACATTCATATTATGCAACCATCACCACTATCCATCTCCAGATAAATCTTTTCTTTAATAAAAACTTTTGGCCGGGCGCGGTGGCTCACGCCTGTAATCCCAGCACTTTGGGAGGCCGAGGCGGGCGGATCACGAGGTCAGGAGATCGAGACCATCCTGGCTAACACGGTGAAACCCCGTCTCTACTAAAAATACAAAAAAAAAATTAGCCGGGCGCGGTGGCGGGCGCCTGTAGTCCCAGCTACTCGGGAGGCTGAGGCAGGAGAATGGCGTGAACCCGGGAGGCGGAGCTTGCAGTGAGCCGAGATTGTACCACTGCACTCCAGCCTGGGCGACAGAGCCAGACTCCGTCTCAAAAAAAAAAAAAAAAAAAAACTTTTGTTGAGATCTAATCCATATACTATAAAATTCACCAATTGAAGGTGAGATGGTTTTTCAGTGTTGTGGAACCAATACCACAATCTAATTTTAGGAGAATGTTATCACCCCGAAAAGAAAACCTATACCCATTAACAGTCATTTCCCATTTCCCTCCCATTCCCTCAGCCCCTGGCAATCACTAATCTATTTTCTGCCTCTATAGATTTACCTATTCTAGACATTTCATATAGATGGAAACACAAAATATGGAGTCGTTTGTGACTGCTTTCATTTAACATAATGTTCTCAAGGTCCATATTGTAGCAGACATCAACAGCTAGTTCTTTTTAATTGCTGATGAATATTTCATTAAATAAAACAAAAAATTAGAAACTATTCCATTATATGGATATACTACATTTTATCCATCAGTTGATTGACATTTGGGTTGTTTGCATTTTTTTACTATTATGAGTAATGCTGCTATGAACATTCATGTACAAGCTTTTGTGTGGACTTAAGTTTTCATGTGGTAACTGTTTAACATTTTTAAGTATTGCTAAATTGTTTTCCAAATTGGCTACACCATTTTACATTCTCACCAGGAATGTGTGAGGGTTTCAGTTTTTCCACATTCTTGCCCATGCTTGTTATTTATGTACCTCGTGAACCCCAAAAATCTGAGACAGGTCTCAATTAATTTAGAAAGTTTATTTTTCCAAGGTTGAGGATGCATCCATGACACTGCCTCAGGAGGTCCTGATGATATGTGCCCGAGGTGGTCGGGGCACAGCTTAGTTTTATACATTTTAGGGAGGCATGAGACATCAATCAATATATGTAAGAAGAACATTGGTTCAGTCTGGAAAGGCGGGACAACTTGAAGCAAGGACAGGAAGACTCAAAGCGGGAAGGGGGCTTCCAGGTCACAGATATGTGAGAGATGAACAGTTGCATTCTTGTGAGTTTCTGATCAGCCTTTCCAAAGGAGACAGTCAGCTGTGCATCTGTCTCAGTGAGCAGAGGGATGACTGACTAGAATGGGAGGCAGGTTGAAGGGACCCAAGATACTTTCCTTTCACAGCCTTGTATTATGGTCATACTGGTAGGTATAAAATGATAAGGTGGTTTTCATTTGCCTTTTCCTAATGGTTAGTGACTGTTCCTCAGTGGCCAGGCCTATACAAATCTGCCCCAAAGTCAGAGGAAGCTGAGACGCCAAAGAAAGGGACTGGCAAATCTAGTTCTTTAGAGAGAAACATTTAATAGGGACTTATGTACAGAAGCCACATCTGTGTCTCTGGCAGTGGTGAGACAAGGTGGTGGTTTCCCAACCATCACCCCCAGGCCCAGGGCCTTCCCAGACCCAGGGCTTACATACTGTGAAAGGAAAATAAATCTTGTGACCCCAAACTCATTAAGCCAAAGGGAAAAGTTAAGCTGGGAACTGGGTCAGGCAAACCTGCCTCCCCTTTTGGTTCCTAAATAAGAGGGCTGCAAGATGATAACCTACACGCCTCCCCCATATTTTGCCCACAAGGAAATTCCTGGTGAGCTCCAAGATTTCTGCCCTAAGGTGTTCCTGTTAAAATTTCGCCATGGTAATGTAAATCGATAGCTTGTCTTTACAGGTGCAGTCATCCCCCTGCCTACCAGATACAAATGCATATCTGATTGTTCCCCTGCCCTTTTGTTATGTTTTGTCTATGTTACCTTATGTAATAATGCAGATTCCTCTGCCCCATTTGTCTGTCATCTTATGTAAAAAAAAAAAAAAAAAAAAAAAAATGCAGATTCACTGAACCAAAGGCATGAATGACTATTTTTCCCTACCCTCCTCTTATGTGAAATTTGTGTACTTCTCAATATCCCACCCTTTCCCCTTTAAATTTGGAGCCCTCAAAATAATCTTTGGAGAAAGGCGTAGACCTGTCTCCCAGGCACGAGTCCTTATCTTTGGCAGATAAGCCTCCTGGAATGAGACTGGTCTCATCATTTTTTTCGACTGACATGTGGTAACCACTAAGGGAACCTGGGCGAAGGTGGCCCAGCCTGCAGCAGCTCTCCTATTGGTGCTTGGTACTGGTCTGGGCACCTTGTAGCCTAAACTGGTAGGACAATTTGCTGAAGTCTCGGACCTCTTTTTTCCAGGGATCCCTGATCTTCCAGTGTTTTTCAGTTGGGGGTCAGAGGTTTATTTGCTGTTTAAAAAAAAAAAAATCTCCTTTTTTCCTGGAATTTCCACTCACTTCCATCAAGGAAGGCAGCCTGTCTGCTGCTGCATCTGTGGAGAGCACTTTTCAGCTTGGGCTCCTATCACTAGGTAAGGAATTGGTTTGGGATTTTGTCTTGCAAATTCTTTTTAAATGACTAAAGTTAGCATGAACAACCCACTGGTGTTAATTTCTGCTTACACTTGAGTGCTCAGAAGTCATATAATTTGCGTGATCACTGTTAGTTTTGCTTAGCTGTTTTGTTGTTTCCGTCTTGTTGGGTTGTGTGTGTTGGGTTGTGTGTGTGTTTCAGTCCTTTCAGCTACCGGATTTGACCAACTCCAAACCCTCTAGCTTATGAGTGTGGAATTTTCTAAAGAAATAAGAGCACTTTACTCCCCTCAGCCTTTCGGGGCATTCTTAGGCAACTGAGAATCGCGTGAGGGTGTCTGGGAGGAAAGCACCTTAAGACGTGCAACAGCTCTGAGCTGGTTTTCTCCCCAGAAAAACATGCTTAAGGTCTAATCTCATCTGGTAGGTGCATATAAGGAGCTGACCCTTCCCACACCTGGAGCCCCTGACACACTTTACCAGGTAGCCGCGACAAGCGTGGACTGAACTGGTTCAAGGAATAATGGCCCTGAAGAGCCAGGTCCCCAGGCAGCACACTTTGGGTCTCACACACATCCCAACTTGGTTGAATCCGAAGGGGAACTTTAAATTATGGGGAATGAGGCCTCTAAATTAGCTAAAACCCCAGCAGCTGAGGAACATAAAGTTCCACCTTTAGAAACTCCGGCCAGGTACATGCAAAATACTTACGGCAAATTGTCATGCAAATATTTAACCAAGTGGACCACTATAACCAAAGTAGTTCTAAGTTACAATGGCCTAAATGGGGATCTTTTGAGATGCCCAATTTAGTGTACCCGCGAACCAGAATGGAAAACGCGGGCACAAAAACTAAGAAACCGGAATGGGAGAGCTACTTTCTTGGTACCTGGAGAGTAGCCAGCGGGGGGAAAGATCACCTCACCTCCCTACAGGAAGCCGACAACTTAGAACTGCCAATCGAGAACTCTCTAATCATTTATCTCTCTTAAAGAAATCCTCCCAGGGGAAAGATCACCTCATCTCCCTATAGGAGGCCAACAAACAACTCAGAACTGCCAATCGAGAACTCTCTAATCGTTTTATCTCTCTTAAAGCAATCCTCCCAGGGGAAAGATCACCTCATCTCCCTACAGGAGGCCAACAAACAACTCAGAACTGCCAATCGAGAACTCTCTAATCGTTTATCTCTCTTAAAGAAATCCTCCCAGGGGAAAGATCACCTCATCTCCCTACAGGAGGCCAACAAACAACTCAGAACTGCCAATCGAGAACTCTCTAATCGTTTCTCTCTCTTAAAGAAATCCTCCAAATCCCTTACTTCCCCCTTAGTGCCTCCCCTACCTCCACCTACACCCCCACTCTACCCCTAACCCTCTGGACTTCCTGGACCAGACCTCTCCCGTCCTTTTCCTTCAGGTTCCAATCTACCCTATTCTCCTCCTTGCCTGCCACTCACTGAACCGAAGGCAGTAGGGAATCTAACTTCCAAGACCCTACTTCCTGCCGATTCTCTGGTATCGCCAGTGGCAGCCTCTCATCTGGAAGACATGGAAAAGGGGACACCATAGGGACTCCTCTCATGATCAACCCGTTTCGGGAACAACTGTTAACAGTTAGGGGAACCCCTGTGATTGTCTGTCAACCCTGGTTAATGGCTGAGTTGCGAGGCATAAAGAATTTCCTGCCTCCCGTAAAGATCCAATTGGGTTTGCTCAAGAGTTTGAGCTCATTATCAGAATCTATGACCCGGGTCATTCAGACCTTTATCAGCTGGTCCACATACTGGTCTCAGAAGCTAAAGCTAAGTGGCTGGAAAAGGCACAGTGGTCAGACATTGTAGCAGACCTGATCTCTAAAGGCCCAGGAAGGCCAAATCAGCCAGCCCCAAATCCTGAAGACAGACGCAGAGATGCTCGTGAACGATGACTGTTCTGTTAAATAGCATTCCTTCAGTGTCCCGGAGGGTCGTGGATTGGAGGAAAATCCAGCAATGCTGCCAGAGCACAAAGGAATCCGTTTTAGATTATTTCACACGTTTTGATAAAACTTTTAGACAATATTGCAGGATGTCAGCTGATTGCTATGAAAACAATAAAAATGCTACAATATTAAATGCAAATTTATTAGACTAGGTGATGATTTAGCCACCCTTAGAAAATGCCACATGATAAATTGGGCCACAGCCAGAACTAATGAACTAGTTAGCTGACCAGTTATCCCGCACTGTGATAAAAAGGAAAAACAGAAGATTGCCCAAGTTATGCGTTTACAGTTAAAGCAATTAACTTTTCAAACCTCTCAGCCCCAGAAAGATTTTAAGCTCATAGGTCTGAGGACTCTTCCCTCCCAGTCTGTTACTAGTGTAAAAGACCAGGACAACGGCCGGGCGCGGTGGCTCACGCCTGTAATCCCAGAACTTTGGGAGGCTGAGGCGGGCAGATCATGAGGTCAGGAGATCGAGACCATCTTGGCTAACATGGTGAAACCCCGTCTCTACTAAAAATGCAAAAAAAATTAGCCGGGCATGGTGGCGGGCGCCTGTAGTCCCAGCTACTTGGGAGGCTGAGGCAGGAGAATGGCGTGAACCTGGGAGGCGGAGCTTGCAGTGAGCCCACATCGCGCCACTGCACTCCAGCCTGGGCGACAGAGCAAGACTCTGACTCAAAAAAAAAAAAAAAAAAAAAAAACGGCCAGGACAGCTTAAGAGGGATTGCATTAGGCTGAAATGAAAGAAAAGACAAGAAAATGCAGCTCAGGAAGACTAGGGTGCTCTGAGAAAGTACAGGGTTTCACTGCTCCAAATATTCTACCCTGACAAATTGGGAGAGATTGATATAATGATAAACCAGGAGCTTACAACTGCCTGAATTTGACACAGGAGTGGCTATATCTGTTATAAATCCCACCTAATTTAGAAACCCCATACGTGAGAGTAATGAAAGAATTAACATGGTGGCTGTGTCTAATAAAACTCTCTCATGTTTTAAGTCTAAACCTAAACCTTAACATTTCTTTGGGTTCAGATGCCCCGCCATGGGCTCTAAGTGTGACATGCTCCGTTGGTCCCATGTGTTTCTAATGTGCCCTGCAGCCCCGTCAATCTTTTGGGCTGTGATCTCGTCAACATCCATAATGCTCATATCTCTTTTTCATCGAAAGGTGAGCTTCTTCTAGAATTGAAGCCAGGGACCAACAATATCAACTTAGAAAACATCCTGACAGCAGGATGCAGTCACTCATGCCTGTAATCCCAGCACTTTGGGAGGCCGAGGCAGGTGGCTCACTTGAAGTTAGGAGTTAGAGATCAGCCAGGCCAACATGGTGAAACCTCGTCTCTAGTAAAAATACAAAAATTAGCCAGGCGTGGTAGCGCATGCCTGTAATCCCAGCTACTTGGGAGGCTGAGGCAGGAAAATCACTTGAACCCAGGAGGCGGAGGTTGCAGTGAGCCAAGACTGTGCCACTGCACTCCAGCCTGGGCGACAGAGGGAGACTCCATCTCACAAAGAAAAAACAAGACCTGACATTGCACCACAATTTAGTACTAGTAATGTTAAGACACCATTTTGTGACTGGGGAAGGGAAATGAGACAGAGAAGGAAATACTAGAAGAGAAGAGAGAACATTGGAATAAAGAGCAGAAAACAGTAAAACTCCTTTTAGCTTCCCCAGTCTTCCTGTTAACTCCAGAAGTGGAGCATTTGCTTAAGGATGTCCCTTCCCACTTATACTCTCAGTCAAATACAGATATAGGGAAAATATTCTCAGCCACTTCCATAAAGGTAGAGATAAACCTGAAGAACCCCCTACCCAACCTCAAACAGTATCCTCTCTGACAGGAAGCTACAGATGGAATCGCCCCTGTCATCCAAGATTAACTGAAAAGGGGGCTCAACTATTCCCTGCACAAGCCCCTGCAACAGCCCCATATTCCCTGTAAAACAAAAACAAAAACAAAAAAAAACAAGCAGGAGGGGACGGAGATTTGTACATGACTTGAGGGCAATAAATATGGCAATACCCAGACACCCAATAATCCCCAACCCACATATCCTTCTATCAACTATACCCAGTACCAGCTAGTATTTCTCAGTTGCAGATCTCTGCAGTGCCTTCTTTAGTATTCCTGTAGATCCAGACAGCCGGTATTTGTTTACCTTTACTTGGAAAGAAGGGCAATATATGTGGACGGTAATGCCTCAAGGGTATACACAAAGTCCCACTTACTTTTCCCAAATATTAAAAGCTGATTTAGAGGATTTAATTTTTCCCCAGGGCTCAACACTCATTCAGTATGTAGGTGACCTTCTTTGTTCAGACACACTATCTTCCTCCCAGGAAGATGGTCTATATTTACTCAAACAGCCACCAAAGGACACAAAGTGTCCAAAGACAAACTTCAGCGATGCTTGCTGCAAGTTAAGCATTTGGAGGCATATTATCTCAGTCAAAGGACTGAGTATTAACCCTGACAGAGTGAGAGGAATTTTAGCTTTCCCAATGCCTGTTACTAATAAACAGCTTAGAGGATTTTGGGTCCTGGCTGGCTATTGTAGAAACTGGATACCAGTGGACAGGCCCGGTGGCTCAGGCCTGTAATCCCAGCACTTTGGGAGGCTGAGGCGGGTGGATCACGAGGTCAGGAGATCGAGACCATTCTGGCTAACACGGTGAAACCCCCTCTGTACTAAAAATACAAAAAAATTAGCTGGGCGTGGTGGCAGCACCTGTAGTCCCAGCTACTCTGGAGGCTGAGGCAGGAGAATGGTGTGGACCTGGGAGGCAGAGCTTGCAGTGAGCCGAGATTGCACCACTGCACTCCAGACTGAACGACAGAGCGAGACTCCGTCTCAAAAAAAAAAAAAAGAAAGAAACTGGATACCAAATTTCTTCCTTATGGCTCAACCTCTCTATGCATACCTAAAAAATGAACAACCTGATCCTGCCTTGTGGAGTCCTGAGGGACAATCAGCTGTACAACAAATAAAGGAAATTCTAACTAATGCCCCAGCCTTAGGGCACCCAAACTACAAACTGCCTTTCTCCCTTTTCACACACAAAACTGGAGGTACTGCATCCAGGGTACTGATCCAGAAACATGGTGATCATCAGAGGCCTATAGGCTATTTTAGCCAACACCTGGACCCGGTGGCTTGAGGGCTGCCTCCTTGTGTGAGAGCAGTAGCAACCATGGCCCTTCTGTACAAGTCTGTTGAAGAAATAAGTATGGGTTCCCCCCTTACCATTTCTGTGCCACATTCTCCTGAGACCCTTCTAAACTCTCATCATACTCAACGTGTGTCTGTCAACCGGTCAGCCTCTTATCAAATTTTGCTTGTACCATCTTCCAATATTACTACTTCCAGTATAATAATCTTAATCTGGCCACTCTCTTGTCAGGCCCTTCTGACAAGACCCCTCATGACTGTGTTCTGATGACTGACTTCTCACCCCAGGACAGACCTACAAGAGATGCCACTGGATCATGCTAAAATAGAATGGTATACGGATGGGTCTTATTTAAGAGGAGAGGATGGAAATTTTGGAGCAGGATATGCTGTGGTTTCCTTACTAGAGGTAATTAAAGCCGGTCCTCTTCCCGAAGCCAGATCATCTCAAGTGGCTGAGTTGACTGCCCTGACCCGAGCTTGTCAATTGGCAAAATACAAGGCTGCAAACATTTGCACTGACAGCTGCTATGCTTTTGGGGTTTGCATGACTTTGGGATGCTATGGAAAGATGGAGGATATTTAGCCTCCTCAGGGCAACCCATAAAAAATGTACAAGTATCAGAGCTGTTAGAAGCTATTCTAGGCCGGGTGCAGTGACTCACGCCTGTAATCCCAGCACTTTGGGAGGCCGAGGCGGGCGGATCACATGAGGTCAGGAGTTCAAGACCAGCCTGGCCGACATAGTGAAACCCCGTCTCTACTAAAAATACAAAAATTAGCCAGGCATGGTGGCGGGTGCCTGTAATCCCAGCTACTTGGGAGGTTGAAGCAGGAGAATTGCTTGAACCCGGGAGGTGGAGGTTACAGTGAGCCAAGACTGCGCCACTGCACTTCAGCCTGAGTGACAAGAGTGAGACTCCATCTCAAAAAAAAAAAAAAAAAAAAAGCTATTCTAAAACCAAAATAGTTCACAACCATAAAAATCCCAGGTCACTTTAAATTAAACACCACAGAAGTTCAGGGTAACCAATTGGCTCATGCCACAGCTAAAAGAGCAGCATTTGAGCCAGCCCCAATCCAGAAAATGACCATAAAACTCAAAACACTTAAAAACATATGATATAGTTTGGCTGTGTCCCCACCCAAATCTTACCTTACATTGTAGCTCCCACAATTCTCACATGTTGTGGGAGGGACCCAGTGGGAGATAATTGAATCACGGGGGCAGTTTCCCTCATGCTGTTCTCATGGTAGTGAGTAAGTCTCATGAGATCTGATGACTTTATAAGGGGAAACCCCTTTTGCTTGGCTCCCATTCTCTCTTGCTTGCTGCCATGTAAGATATGCCTTTCCCCTTCCACCATGATTGTGAGGCCTCCCCAGCCATGTGAAACTGTGAGTCCATTAAACCTCTTTTTCTTGATAAATTACCCAGTCTTGGGTGTGTCTTCATCAGTAGTGTGAAAACGGAGTAATACAGTAAATTGGTACCAGCAGAGTGTGGTGGTGTTGTAAAGATACCCAAAAATGTGGAAGTAACTTTGGAACTGGGTAACAGGTAGAGGTCGGAACAGTTTGGAGGGCTCAGAAGAAGACAGGAACATGTGGGAAAGTTTGGAACTCCCTAGAGACTTGTTGAATGGATTTGACCAAAATGCTGATAATGATATGGACAATGAAATCCAGGCTGAGGTGGTCTCAGATGGAGAGAAGGAACTTGTTGGGAACTAGAATAAAGGTGACTCTTGCTATGTTTTAGGAAAGAGAATGGTGGCATTTTGCCCCTGCCCTAGACATCTGTGAAACTTTGAACTTGAGGGAGATGATTTAGGTATCTGGCAGGAAATTTCTAAGCAAAGAAAAGCATTCAAGAGGTGGCTTGGGTGCTGTTAATAAGATTAAGTTTTTGAAGGGAAACAGCATAAAAGTTTAGAAAATGTGCAGTCTGACGATGAGATAGAAAAGGAAAACCCATTTTCTGTGGAGAAATTCAAGACAGTTGCAGAAATTTGCATAAGTAATGAGGAGCCAAATTTTTTGTTTGTTTGTTTTGTTTTTTTGAGATGGGAGTCTCCCTCTGTCGCCCAGGCTGGAGTGCAGTGGCATGATCTCGGCTCACCACACCCTCCCTTCCTGGGTTCAAGCAATTCTCCTGCCTCAGCCTCCTGAGTGGCTGGGATTACAGGCGCCTGACTCCACTCCCAGCTAATTTTTGTATTTTTAGTAGAGACGGGGTTTCACCATGTTGGCCAGGCTGGTCTTGAACTCCTGATCTCAAGTGATCTGCCTGCCTTGGCCTCCCAAAGTGCTGGAATTACAGGCGTGAGCAAGGAGCCAAATGTTAGTCACCAAGACAATGAGAAAATGTCTCCAGGGCATGTCAGAGACATTCGTGGCAGCCCCTCCCATCACAGGCCTGGAGGCCTAGTAGGAAAAAATGTTTTTTGGTGCCTGGCCCAGGGCCCCCCTGCTGTGTGCAGTCTAGTAAGGACTTGGTGCCCTGTGTCCCAGCCACTCTAGCAATGGCTAAAAGGGGCCAAGGTATAGCTTGGGTTGTGGCTTCAAAGAATGGAAGCTCTAAGCCTTGGCAGCTTCCACGTGATGTGGAGCCTGTGGGTGCACAGAAGTCAAGAATTGAGGTTTGGGAACCTCTGCCTAGATTTCAGAGGATATATGGAAATGCCTGGACGTCCAGGCAGGAGTTTGCTGCAGGGCTGGGGCCCTCATGGAGAACCTCTGCTAGGGCAGTGCAGAAGAAAAATGTGAGGTTGAAGCCCCCACACAGAGTCCTCACTAGGGCACTGCCTAGTGGAGTTGTGAGAAGAGGGCCACTGTCCTCCAAACCCCACACTGGTAGATCCATCAACAGCTTGCTCTGTGGCCCTGGAAGAGCCACAGACACTCAACTCCAGCCCATGAAAGCAGCCAAGAGTGGGGTATACCCTGCAAAGCCACAGGGCAGAACTGCCCAAGGCCATGGAAACCCACCTTTTGCATCAGTGTGACCCGGATGTGAGACATGGTGTCAAAGGAGGTCATTTTGGAACTTTAAAGTTTAATGACTGCCCCACTGGATTTCGGACTTGCATGGGCCTTTAGTCCCTTCGTTTTGGCTAATTTCTCTAATTTCGAATGGCTGTATTTACCCAATGACTATACCCCCATTGTATCTAGGAAGTAACTAACTTACTTTTGATTTTACAGGCTCATAGGCAGAAGGGACTTGCTGTGTCCCAGATGAGAGTTTGGACTGTGAACTTTTGAGTTAATGCTAAAAGGACTTTGGGGGACTGTTGGGAAGGCATTATTGCTTTTGAAATATGAGGACATGAGATTTGGGAGGGGCCAGGGATGCAATGGTATTGTTTGGCTGTGTCCCCACCCAAATCTCATCTTGAATTATGGCTTTCATAATTTCCATGTGTTTTGGGAGGGATCTGGAGGGAGATAATTGAATTAGGGGGGCAGTTTTTCCCCATACTTTTCTCCTGGTAGTGAACAAATCTCACAAGATCTGATGGTTTTATAACGGGAAACCCTTTCATGTGGCTCTCATTCTCTCTTGCCTGCTACCATGTGACTGAAGAAGCCTCACAAAACATGCAAACAGTACAGATTTCAACAATCCTGAACCAGCAAACAGATGGTCAAGGAATCTGCAAGCCCTGTGGCACATCTTAATCCGTTAGGTCCTCGTGTCTAGGTGCATGCTGATGAGAATATGTTCCACCAAATCCAGGCTGCCCTCCTAGGGTGATGGGAAAGCAGAGGGGTTAAGTATGGCACAATCCACAGTTCAGTTCACCAAGTAAGGATGTGAGTAAAATGCTAAAAACAAAAAAGCCACTGAAGAGTTGCTTATAGAGTCCAAACTCATGTAGAAAAGGCCGTGTCCCTCAAGGCTTTCATTGTCACCAACAAATCTGGTATTGAGATTGCCAAGAATGATTACTCAGCCATTAATTTTGCAGAGTAAGAAGAACCAATTTTTAAAATGAGGCTGGGTGTATGGCAGCTCTGAGCATGCCCATATTTAGTATGAAAATGGATGGCACCCCCATTCTAGGAAATCTCCGCCTTTTCCCTAGAAAACCACATGATTATTCCACCCCCTAATTAGAAGAGCACATAAAGTTAGAAACCCAAACTCCTTTGTGCATGACCTCTGTCCTAAGTGTGAGCTTTCGCTTTGCAATCAAAGCTCCTGGCTTTCCACTTCACGGACTCGGCCCTGAATTCTTTCTCACTGTGGTGCCAAAAACCTGGACACCAGCTGTGGCTGGCATCCCACAGGCATCGGTAGACCCTCTTGAACCCTCCAGCAACAGGTGAGGGACAGGAAGATGGCAGGGAGGGAGGCCAGGATGTCCTCAGGTGAGTCCAAGTAGGAAGGCCCACTGCTGGGAAGGGGGCCTGTTGTCCAGTTGGTCACCCTTGAGCTGTCCTGGGAGATGGGTGTGTCTGTCCAGCTTCAGCCTGGCCAAGCTTACGCACTGACTGCGGCTTTCTCTGCTGTCTTGGCTCCTGGGTGGTCATCATCATATGTCATCCTCTGTGGATGACATTTCCTCAAGTCCAGCGCTGGGTGGCTAGGATAGGCCTAGGATGTCCATCCAGCTGGCTACATCCTCAAGAGCTCATGGGCCCAGCAATGGCCTGAGGAGTACTTCAAGGTGTGTCCAGCACAGGTCCTGTGCAGTGTGACACCCCACCAGGTGACTTCAGGGTGTGTGCCTGCTGCCTGGACCCAGAGGGCAAGCATGTGAAATCACAGCTCTCTCTTTGGGAACAAAAGGAGAAGCAGTTTTTGCATGACTTAGTTCCCAAGCTTAGTTTTCCTTTGGAATTGTGAGTTTGGGGTCTTGAAATTCTATTTTCCTTCCACAGCTTCTTTCTCTTCCCTTTTCCTTGTCTCTTCAGTTATAATTTTTTTGTTGTTGTTAATATTAACTGTCAGGAATTTCTGTTTCCAGAACCTGGCTGATTACATGGTCAGTGATTTCTAGGGCAGCAGGAGAAATATTTTAAAAGCTACTTTTAAGAAGCATTATTTTATTGGAGATGGTGTATTTGTTCATTCTCATGCTGCTATGAAAAAACACCTGAGAATAGGTAATTCATAAAGGAAAGGGGTTTAAGTGACTCACGGTTCCACATTGCTGGGGAGGCCTCAGGAAATTTACAATCAATGCAGAAGGCAGGTACCCTCTCCACAGGGCTGCAGGATGCAATGAATGCAAGCAGGGCAAATGCCAGACGCTTAACAAAACCATCAGATCCCGTGAGACTCACTCACTATCACAACAGCACGGGGAAAACCACCCCCACGATCCGGTCACCTCCGCTTGGTCCTGCTCTTGACACATGGGGATTACAATTCAAGATGAGATTTTGGGTGGGGACACAGCCAGACCATGTCAGATAGGTCACTGGTCTCAAAGTCCTGGCTTCAAGAAATCATTCCTTCTTATCCTCCCATATTTCTGGGATCACAGGCATGAGCCACCATAAGCTACTTAAAAAAAAAAAAAAGCCTGGCAGTGTAGGCAGGAAAGTTAAGGGATTCCTTGGGGCAGGGTTGGCAGGTAAGTAGAGGGATTCCCTGAGGTTTATGTTTCCTCCAGGGCTGTTGCTTGCCAGGCGTTTGATGTGCCTGCCCTGAGGGCAGCCTGAGGCCTGACACCACCACCCAAAGCCTGGACTCTGGGACCGTGGCTCTCAGTGCATGAACTCAGGGAAACTCTCCCTTCAGAGAAAGGTGGGTAGAGGTGGGTGCCTCTCCCACCTTACCTGTGGGTAGGAAGGGGGCTGCATCTCTCAAGCCAGAAACCTGAAGCAGGCACCGAGTGCTCCCTGTCTGAGCCTGGGTGGAAGGGCAGAGATATGTTCCTGAGAATTCCCAGCAATCTGGGGGGGATTCGCACTTCCTTGCAGCAGGAGCTCTGGGTTACTTTGCTGGTTGAAGAGGAAAGTAAGTGCCAGGCCCTCGGCTTCGTGAAAGGGGTGGGTGGGCAGGTCAAGGTGGGCTGTGGAACTCCTCTGTGTACACATTGAATTTAGAACTTTAGCTTTGACCCATGCAGAAGTGAATGTGCACGCTCTGAGAACTCATGAGAAAATCACCAGAGAAAACAAGCCTTGAGCAGAGTCCCAAGAAACCACAAACAAAACATCGAGTGCGCAGTGGCTGCCGGTCCTGAGATGATCAGACCCAGAATAGGAATGCATCTGTGTTTAAAGGAGTGCAAAGCAGTGAGGAGGAGAAAGCATCAGAACTATTGAAGAGTCCAGAACAGAAGCCAGGGAAATTCCCAGAAATGAAAATCAGGACAACTAACATTAGAAACAGGATGAATTGGCTAAAAAGGTTAGACATAGCTAAAGAGCTGCAGTGATAAAAGGGCTGGACTGAATGAGCCCGCTTATGTGAAGTTCAAACACAGGCAAAGCCAAACGTGACCTAGAGACACAGACGTGCAGTAGAACCATGAGGAAGGGCAAGGGATGGTTAACACGAGAGTCTCGTGAGATTGTGATGATCTCCTGGGGGAACAGCATGCAGAGGGAAGGCCCTGGTGACACCTGAGGCCAATGGGGCATTCTGGACTCGAAGGTTGTTGAGCAGCGGCCCTGGCCTCCACCCACCAGATGCCAGTGGTGGCCCCTCCCTGTGATGACAACCCAGGCTGTCTGCAGACTTGGCAAGCTCCCCTGGGGGGAGAAAAATTGCCCCCAGGTGACAGCCATTGAATTAGAGGTTAAGAGTGTTTCAATTGCTTATGCTGTCTTTCTTAGGGTGGGCAGTGCCTATGTAGGTATTCATTCTGTATTATTTAAAATGTCTACATGTGCACCCTTTATTTTAGGATATGTTTTTCAGGAATAAAATAATAATATACATTCTCTGGCCTAGTAACAGAGAATCCTACTGGATAAATGAATATGGAAAATAGTTTTCCTGGGAGCTTATAGCAGGGCTTCTCAGTGTTATTTGCTATTTAACTCCGTATTGAAAAATGTTGGCAGGGCACAGTGGCTCACATCTGTAATCCCAACACTTTGGGAGGCTGAGGCGGGCAGATCACTTGAGGTCAGAAGTTCAAGACCAGCCTGGCCAACATGGCAAAACCCTGTCTCTACTAAAAGTACAAGAATTAGCCAGCATGATGGTGCATGCCTGTAATCCCAGCTACTTGGGAGGCTGAGGCAGGAGAATTGCTTGAACCGCGAGGCAGAGGTTGCAGTTAGCTGAGATCGCACCACTGCACTCCAGCCTGGGTGACAGAGCAAGACTCTGTTTCAAAAAAGAAAAAAGAAAAAGAATAAGAAAAAATATCTAGGAAGAAGAACTTTCCAAAAACAGCTTTATCTAGTGTGGGGACACAATTTTGTAGTCCCAAGTACTCAGGAGGCTGAGGCAGGAGGACCACTTGACCTTGGGGGTTTGAGGCCAGCCTGGGCAAGATAGACCTTATCTCTAAAAAATAAACAAGGCCAGGTGTGGTGGCTCACGCCTGTAATCCCAGCACTTTGGGAGGCTAAGGCGGGCGGATCACGAGGTCAGGAGTTCGAGACCAGCCTGGCCAATATGGTGAAACCTTGTCTCTACTAAAAATACGAAAATTAGCCGGGTGTGGTGGCATGCGCCTGTAGTCCCAGCTACTTGGGAGGCTGAGGCAGGAGAATCGCTTGAACCCAGGAGGCAGAGGTTGCAGTGAGCCAAGATCATGCCATTGCACTCCAGCCTGGGTGACAGAGTGAGACTCTGTCTCAAAAAAAAAAGGAAAGTTTATTAGGAAGAATGCTGTAACAGAGTGCAGTGGGGCGCCTCAGAGAGAGGATTGAGCGCCCAGTGGTGGATTTTCCATAGGAGCATTTATGGACCTTAAGGCTGGAGCTTAGGGTTGTAAACTGAGTTTCAGCATGGCATTCCAGAGATGTTTAGAAATTTTATTTACTTATAAAAGTTGAAAGAGGCCTGGAATTGAAGCGGTGTCATTTGTCTGGGGTAATACCTGAGGTTTGTTGCCTCATGTCAAGGAAATTGAGGACGTAGACCCACAATGAGTGAGTTTTAGAGTGGGAGTTTAATAGGCAAAAGAGAAAAGTTCCCTTGTGCAGAGTGAGGGGGGTTCTGAGAGGATTTCCCCCTTTGCAACCAGATGGTTTTATCGATGAGCTTGAGAAGGTGGTGTCTGATTTACATAGGGCACAGAGGATTGGTTGGACCAGGTGTGCCATTTACATAGCACTGGAAGAAGCGGCCAACTCATCCTTTTATTATGCAAATCTTTTTATGCAAATGGAGTCTCTACGCGCCAGGCGCCACGTTGCCTGCTTTTTTACTGCACATGTGATGACAAAGAAAATGGAAGGGGAACCTCCATGTTGAACATACTTGGCTTCCAGGTATCCCTTTTCTATTGGCACAGCTGCCGGCATTCACCTATGCAGGCTTCCAGCTGGCTTATCTGTGTCTGCAGCTCAATTTTACAAGCTGCTCTTTGTTAGAAAAGAAATAATTTGGGGGCTGCTTTTTGTTAAAAGGAAAGCCTTACTGAGGACTCTCTTACCCTTGCAGCAGGACGAGCCACAGACAAAACCTCTCAGACACCGAGTTGTAGAAGGAAGGGCTTTATTCAGCTGGGAGCATCGGCAAGCTACTGTCTCAAAATGCGAGGTCCCTGAATGCACAATTTCTGTCCTTTTTAAGGGCTCACAACACTAAAGATTTCATATGAAAGGATTGTGATTGACTGAGCAATCTAGGGGATACGTAACAGGGGTGTCGTGCAGAGAGAGTCGGAGAGAAACAGAACAGAGCAGGGAGTTTCACAATGTTCTTCCATACAATGCCTGAAATCTATGGGTAACATCGGGTTCTAAGTCAAGAGTTGATTTTTAACTACTAGGTTTAGGCCAGGCAGGCCCAGGCCTGGTTTTGGGCCTGGCGCTGGGCTGCCTGTCTTTGATTTCACTTCCTTGGTTTTTTTTTTTAATCAGGTACTGAGTATAAAACAATATGAAACAATATGAGAGGGTCTCTCTCTTCCCTCACCCTCACTAATGGCCTAAATAAACAATATGAGAGGGCCTCTCTCTTCCCTCACCCTCACTAACTGCCTAAATGATTTCTTTCTAGTTCCTGTATCATGATCAGATGCCGTCTTCAGATACTAGGGAAGTTTGATTACTTCTAAATTCCCCAGATAAGGAGTTTTGCCTCCAGATGGCCTGTTTGATGGTCACCAGGTGGTCTTGGCTCCCTTCTGAATTGCCCAGGTAAGAAGATTTGTCTCTGGGGCCTGTCCAATGGTCACCAGATGATTTTTGCCCTCCTCACAGCCTAGGCAACATAGTAAGACCCCCATCTCTACAAAAAATGCAAAATCAGCCAGGCGTGGCAGCGCACGCCTGTGGTCCCAGCTACTCAGAGGGGCTGAGACAGGAGGATCGCTTGAACCCAGGAGGTCTGGGTTGTAATGAGCCGTGACTGCACCTCTGCACTCCAGCCTGGGAGATGGAGTCTTAAAAAAAAATGTTTTTCCGGGTGTTATGAGTGTGCTCTCCAGCTTCAGTGTGACTTTGTTTGTTGGAGACTTGGGTAAGTATCCAAATTGTTTTTCAGATGTAAATGTTAGTAGCTCTCATTCATGGGAAGTTATGGTCTGCTCTTTAAGTTCTATGGGGCTATCTTCACATCTGTGGCACAAGGCTGGTCAGTTTTACATCTGAGAAAAGTGAGTCTGGGGAAGTGCCCCTGCCATCCATCCCACAGCAGGCAAGCAGCCTCCTCCGCATTCTCCTCTTCCTCTTCTCATGCCTGGTCCTCTCCTTTTGTCATCTTTTCTTCCCTCACCCCATCTTTATTGTATCTCTTTTTGTCTGTCTCTAAACAATATTTTAATTGGTTGCATTGTTTTTATGTTCCCTGTTTTTAATATTCATGACATTCCCTTCCTCTCCCCCTTCCTGTCTTCTCCACATTAAGTTCACCCTCTTTGTACTTTTACCTGAGTGCTTCCCCCCGTTCTCCTCCACCCCACCCCACTTCAGGCAATTCTGAGTGGTACAGAGGTGTCACATCCATCTCCTGGGACTGTATGAGTCTGTCTCACTTTCCTTTGAAAGAAGCAGTTGGAAATTCATTCTACTTCATTTTTCTTTCTTTCTTTCTTTCTTTTGAGATGGAGTCTCGCTCTGTCCCCCAGGCTGGAGTGCAGTGGCACGATCGTGGCTCACTGCAACCTCCGCCTCCTGAGTTCAAGCGATTCTTCTGCCTCAGACTCCCAAGTAGCTGGGATTACAGGCGTGAGCCACCACGCCCGACTAATTTTTGTATTTTCAGTAGAGACAAGGTGTCACCATATTGGCCAGGCTGGTCTCCAGCTCCTAGACCTCGTGATCCGCCCTCCTCGGCCTCCCAAAGTGCTGGGATTACAGGCGTGAGCCACTGCGCCCGGCCTACTTTATTTTTCTTTCTAGGTCTCAATTTTCCAGGGGCTTTAAAGGAAGACAATCCTGTATTTAGAGCCTTAAGTCTGTTGAAGGCAATTTCAACGAAAGTAATACTTTTTTTTTGTAAATTAAGCCATCATCTTACAAGAAGAAAATGCCTTTCACTGTTTAGCAGCTCGAATGGAATGGCAGGAGGAAAGTGCGGACAGCAGTCAGGAAACATCAGTGCCTCAGTTATTGCTCTGTTGGGCAAAAGCAAAGCTGTAAACATTTTGACTTTTCCATATTTCACGGGGCGTTTATCCTCCGACTTCACACGATTCAGGTGGTTAATGACACACCTGCTTAGCTGTGCACTCCTGTTGTTGGGAGGCCCCTGCCTGTGGATCCTCTCAAGTTTGTCAGGACGGGACACCAACAGGGCTGTTACCAGTGGCAAGTTTATACGGGTCTGCAGCAA
Source organism: Homo sapiens (assembly GCF_000001405.40). NCBI lineage: Eukaryota > Metazoa > Chordata > Mammalia > Primates > Hominidae > Homo > Homo sapiens. The sequence goes on from NC_000018.10 coordinate 80,009,530, forward strand.
CTTTATTCTTGCCTCCTTGGAGGAAAGAATTTGGCTGAGAGGAAGAAATAGTTTTAAGGCAGAGATAGAGACCAAGGCCAGATTTAGAGCAAGAGTGAGAGTTTATTACAAAGTTTTAGAGCAAGAATGAAAGGAAGTGAAGTGCACTTGCAAGAGGGCCAGGTCGGCAACTTGAGAGATGAGTGTCCCACCTGACCCTCGATTTGGGATTTTTGGGGTTTTGTGTTTCTTCTCCCTTGATTCTTCCCTTGGAGCTGGCTGTCCACTTGCATGGTGTCCCGCCAGAGCTTGGGAGGGGCTGCGTGCGCAGTGTTTACTGAAATTGTACGCAGGCTCACTTGAGGCATTTTTCCCTTATCAGTTGAGTGTTCCTAGAGGAAGGTCATATACCAGTTAAACTTCACCATTTTGCCTCTTGGTGCCATGTGTGAGCCCACTCACCCAACTCCTGAGGTCTTATCAGCAAGCTGCTCATCACCAGCTTCAGGTATTTTCTGTCTGTTTGGGAGATGGCCTTTCCCTGGCTCCTGCTGTAACCAGTTATTACGCAATGCACCAAGATGTAACAGTTTTTGTTCTTTGAGATAATAACTGGACTCTTGTTTTACCTTCAAGAAGATTAAGGAGTACAGACACAAAGGTGAAGTTGGGGCGAAGGTTTAATAAGCGAAAGAAGAAAGCTCTCTGCCAGCAGAGAGGGGGTCCTGAATGGGGTGGCCACTATGAGTCCCGTTCTGGGTTCTCTATGAACTGGAAAGAGGAAGAAAGGTGCTTAGTCTGCAGGCTGTCTTCGAGAACACGTGACTCAGCTTGTCCCGGGACCTTGGCCCAGGACCTACTGGAAAGCTTGGCCCAGCACCAGTTAGAAGATGAAGCGATGATTCACAGAGGCTGCTTAGCCTGGCCCAGGACCTATTAGGAGCTGAAGTGACAGCTTGGCCTGGGACCAACCAGAGGCTGAAGTGATGATTCACAGAGGGCAGACGTACAGTCCAAACAAAGGAAAGGAGAGTGTCCACGGGAACCCACTGAAGCCCACTGTGCCCATGCCCAAAAATGAGAAGAAACATCTTCCTGGGAGCCCACTGTCTATACAAAGGACGAAGGCATTTTTATGCCCAGCCTTGTTCCCTTATTTGAGTGAGTTGGAGGTTTGTGCAAGATTTTATCCAAGTGGAGGTTTTTCCATCTGTGTAGCCACGGGCATGTCTCCAGGCACAACGCCACGTGCTAGTTCCCTTACTGGTTCCTGCAGCCTGATTTCCCCCCACCCCAGGCTGCTTTCTATTTTATGTGGGGATAAGGCTCTGACCTTGGGCCGGGGGCTCTCCAGGGACTCTTCCCTTGCTGTCTACCTAAGGCAAGCTAACTCCTTTCAGTCCCCCCGTGGAGTAGAGACCCAACTGCTGTTGGGGAGGTTGGGCATTGCTTTTTTTTTTTCTTTGGCTACTTCCTGCTGGAAAGGGGCATTGTGTGGGGGAAGAGCAGCTAGGGTTCCTCCTGGGGTTGGTTTAAGGGTCCGCGGAAGAAAGGCACATCCATGTGTGGTTTTATTTGCATTACCATTTGGTGCTTGTTAGCCCCTCGGGAAAGGAAACAATTTGGGTTATATCATTGAGTATGCAAAGGCCAAACACTAATATAAAACATATAAGGAAAAGAGGTTTTCGTAGGGGAGCTAACCAGGCCCAAAACCAAGACTCGAATTTATTAAAAAGGGATTGTAGCCAACTGGGACGGGAGTTTGCATTTTCCCTTAATTTGTTAGTGATTTCAATTTGGTTTTTAAGGACTTGTAAATTTTTCTCTACCTGACTGGAAGTGTTGATCCAGAAACAGCATGTTTTATTTAAGAGTGCACAGGCGCCCACTACTTCAGCTATAAGGACATTGAGAGTTTATTTTGCATTACCACTGAGGCTACAGAATTTTGGATTGTTGTGCCTTTATGGCTGCTACAGTTGCCTTCCACCCTTGCTGCAATATTGTGGGAAAGAGTTTCTGGGGCGCCAGATGAGTTGGTCTCCCCTGTGTGAGACACCCATGGGGAGCCATGAGCAGCCTCTGAGGAGAAAAGTCTCCTTATTGCCTTCATGTCTTTATGCCCCGAGAGCACAACCGCTCGGCGGCATTCCACAGGTGGCTCAGGGAGATAACACTTCCTTGAAGCAATGGAGTATAATCAAACATCTTGGCTCCTCCTGAAACCCACTCCCACCTTTTCCGTCCCTATAAGTTAAAGATCTTTTTTTTTTAAGAACTATATATATATATTTTATGTGAAGTTTACTCTCTATAAAGTTTGGATGAAGACATTTTTTAAAGATCTTAAGTAGTTTAGACACACGCCTTTGCTCGAGGAAATTCACAGAAACCGAGACTGCTAAACATCTTATTGAGTGACTAACGAGTTCTCCTTCACTGATTAATCCTTTTCCTCATCCCTTCCTCCCCCTCCCATCTGCCCTAAGAACAAAGAGCTTGTAAACCAATAAATTAGGTGGAGCTAAAGAGCTCTGGACGCGCCTTTTAAACTCTTACTCTGTCTCTTTCTAACTCCTTTGTTTCTGCTGGACTCGGGGTACCCACCGGGTAGTGTGGGGCTGGTTTCCCCAATAATTTTGATAGAAATATTAAGCACTGATTTTCTTAAGAAGGGGACACCGCCAAACCAAGATAGGCCTTTGGCTACTGCATGTCCTATTCCTGGTTTTTCTAATATAGGATTCTTGTGTGCATGTCCTTTTAAGTTTTTTCTGTTAAATCTCCATATGATGACATAGAGATAAGTGACCTTCCGTTTTGGTATGTGTGAGAGAATGCACTTTCCAGAAAAGAGGCTAAATTAGGGATGTTACCTGACAATGCTACCGTGTTAGAAGGGTTTAAAAATAACACACTGGGGACCACTGCCACTATAGTGCCTGCTCCTCTCCAGTGCCTGGGGAGAATTAAGTGTACCCAGGAGCCATAGAGAAAGTAAAGCCCTGTTCCCTGAAGGGATGGTTTTATGTTGTGGTTCATGAGAGTTTCAGCTAGATTTAGTCCAGGCCTTATAAGGTTGCCTTCCCTATATCTAATGGCAATATCTTTAGGATAAGGATATCCATACTTAGTCTAGTTATCCACAGTACCATTTGGAACTATACATGCTGCGTAGGAAGAATCTTTTTGGCAAATAGAGTTTTGAAAAATTAGAGACACAGAATGTCCTGGCCAATATCTTAGACAACCCTCTTTACAGGGTCTGTTGGTTTAGACATCCCATTAGTCCACAAATTTGCAGATTACTTCCATTAAATTTTTTTTTTTTTTTTGGGACCGGGGTCCAGTGCGGAGTGCCCTTCCTCCTGGGAAACGGGGTGAGGCCGGAAAGGCGGCCGGCCGCCCCCTCGCCCGTCACGCAACGCACGTTCCTGGGGAACCTGGTGCTAAAGCATTCGTCGACGACCTGCTTCTGGGTCGGGGTTTCGTACATAGCAGAGCAGCTCCCTCGCTGCGATCTGTTGAAAGTCAGCCCTCGACACAAGGGTTTGAAGAAAGAAAAAATAAGAGAGAGAGAACAAAAAAAATTAAAAAAGGAAAAAAAAAAATTTTTTTTTTTTTTTTGAGACGGAGTCTGGCTCTGTCCCCCAGGCTGGAGCACAGTGGCGCGCGATCTTGGCTCACTGCAAGCTCCGCCTCCTGGGTTCACACCATTCTCCTGCCTCAGCCTCCTGAGTAGCTGGGACTATAGGTGCCCGCCACCATGCCCAGCTAATTTTTTGTATTTTTAGTAGAGACGGGGTTTCACCATGTTAACCAGGATGCTCTCGATCTCCTACCTCATGATCCCCCCGCCTCGGCCTCCCAAAGTGCTGGGATTACAGGCGTGAGCCACCACACCTGGCCCCATTAAATATTTTATTATTATTATTATTTTTGAGATGGAGTCTCACTCTGTTGCCCAGGCTGGAGTGCAGTGGCATGATCTCAACTCACTGCAACCTCTACCTCCCAGGTTCAAACGATTCTCCTGCCTCAGCCTCCCAAGTAGCTGGGATTACTGGCATGCGCCACCACGCCCGGCTAATTTTTTATTTCTTTTTGTATTTATAGTAGAAAGGGGGTTTCACCATGTTGGTCAGGCTGGTCTCGAACTCCTGACCTCGTGATCCACCCACCTCAGTCTCCCAAAGTGCTGGGATTACAGGCGTGAGCCATTGCACCCAGCCTACTTCTGTTAAATATTACACAAGGGTCCGAGATTTCATGTGTGGGCATCTTTGGGAAGGACTGTATTAGTTCATTTTCATGCTGCTGATAAAGACGTACCTGAAACTAGGAACAACAACAACAAAAAGGCTTAATTAGACTTATATTTCCACATAGCTGGGCAGATCTCAGAAACAGGGAGGGAGGTGAAGGCACTTCTTACATGGTGGCAGCAAGACAAAATGAGGAAGAAACAAAAGCAGAAGGCCCTGATAAACCCATCAGCTCTCAAGAGACTTATTCACTATCCTGAGACTAGCAGAGGAAAGACCAGCCCCCATGATTCAATTACCTCCCCCTGGGTCCCTCCCACAACATGTAGGAATTCTGGGAGATACAATTCATGTTGAGATTTCGGTGGGGACACAGTCAAGCCATATCATTCTTCCCCGGCCCCTCCAAATCTCATATCCTCACATTTCAAAACCAATCATGCCTTCCCAACAGTCCCCCAAAGTCTTAACTCATTTCAGAATTACCCCAAAAGTCCATAGTCCAAAGTCTCATCAGAAACACAGCAAGTCCCTTCTACCTATGAGCCTGTAAAATCAAAACAAGCTAGTTACTTCCTATATACAATAAAGGTACAGGTATTGGGTAAATACAGCCATTCCAAATGGGAGAAACTGGCCAAAACAAAGGGGTTACAGGACCCATGCAAGTCTGAAATCCAGCAGGGCAGTCAAATATTAAGGCTCCAAAATGATCTCCTTTGACTTCGGGTCTCGCATCCAGGTCACACTGATGCAAGAGGTGGGTTCCCATGGTCTTGGGCAGCTCCACCCCTGTGGCTTTGCAGGGTACAGCCTCCCTCCAGGCTGCTTTCATGGGCTGGCGTTGAGTGTCTGCTACACGCCATGTTTAGTTTTCCAGGTAGACGGTGCAAACTGTCAGTGGATCTACCATTCTGGGGTCTGGAGGATTCTGGCCCTCTTCTCACAGTTCCACTAGGCAGTTTCCCAGTAGGGACTCTGTGTGGGGGCTCCAACCCCAAATTTCCCTTCTGCACCACCCTAGCAGAGGTTCTCCATGAGCGCCCAGCCCCTGCAGCAAACTTTTGTCTGGGCATCCAGGCATTTCCATACATCTTCTGAAATCTAGGAAGAGGTTCCCAAACTTCAGTTCTTGACTTCTGTGCGGTCACAGGCTCAACACCACATGGAAACTGCCAAGGTTTGTGGCTTCCAGCCTCTGAAGTCACAGCCCAAGCTGTATGTTGGCCCCTTTCTGCCACAGCTGGAGTGGCTGGGACACAGGGCACCAAGTCCCTAGGCCGCACACAGCAAGGGGACCCTGGGCCCAGCCCACAAAAACATTTTTTCCTCCTTGGCTTCTGGGTCTGTGATGGCAGGGGCCACCATGAAGACCTATGACGTGCCCTGGAGACATTTTCCCCATTGTCTTGGGGACTAACATTTGGCTCCTTGTTACTTATGCAGATTTCTGCAGCCAGCTTGAATTTCTCCTCAAAAAAAAAAATGGACTTTTCTTTTCTACTTCATTGATCAGGCTGCAAATTTTCTGAACTTTTATGTTCTGTTTCCCTTTTAAAACAAAATGCTTTTTTAAAAAATTATTATTATTATTATTATTATACTTTAAGTTTTAGGGTACATGTGCACAATGTGCAAGTCAGTTACATATGTATACATGTGCCATGCTGGTGTGCTGCACCCATTAACTCGTCATTTAGCATTAGGTATATCTCCTAATGCTATCCCTCCCCCCTACCCCCACCCCACAACAGTCCCCAGAGTGTGATGTTCCCCTTCCTGTGTCCATGTGTTCTCATGGTTTAATTCCCATCTATAAGTGAGAACATGCGGTGTTTGGTTTTTTGTCCTTGTGATAGTTTACTGAGAATGATGATTTCCAATTTCATCCATGTCCCTACAAAGGACATGAACTCATCATTTTTTATGGCTGCATAGTATTCCATGGTGTATATGTGCCACATTTTCTTAATCCAGTCTGTCATTGTTGGATATTTGGGTTGGTTCCAAGTCTTTGCTATTGTGAATAGTGCTGCAATAAACATATGTGTGCATGTGTCTTTATAGCAGCATGATTTATAGTCCTTTGGGTATATACCCAGTAATGGGATGGCTGGGTCAAATGGTATTTCTAGTTCTAGATCCCTGAGGAATCGCCACACTGACTTCCACAATGGTTGAACTAGTTTACAGTCCCACCAACAGTGTAAAAGTGTTCCTATTTCTCCACATCCTCTCCAGCACCTGTTGTTTCCTGACTTTTTAATGATTGCCATTCTAACTGGTGTGAGATGGTATCTCATTGTGGTTTTGATTTGCATTTCTCTGATGGCCAGTGATGATGAGCATTTTTTCATGTGTCTTTTGGCTGCATAAATGTCTTCTTTTGAGAAGTGTCTGTTCATATCCTTTGCCCACTTGTTGATGGGGTTGTTTGTTTTTTTCTTGTAAATTTGTTTGAGTTCATTGTAGATTCTGGATATTAGCCCTTTGTCAGATAAGTGGGTTGCGAAAATTTTCTCCCATTTTGTAGGCTGCCTGTTCACTCTGATGGTAGTTTCTTTTGCTGCGCAGAAGCTCTTTAGTTTAATTAGATCCCATTTGTCAATTTTGGCTTTTGTTGCCATTGCTTTTGGTGTTTTAGACATGAAGTCCTTGCCCATGCCTATGTCCTGAATGGTAATGCCTAGGTTTTCTTCTAGGGTTTTTATGGTTTTAGGTCTAACTTTTAAGTCTTTAATCCATCTTGAATTAATTTTTGTATAAGGTGTAAGGAAGGGATCCAGTTTCAGCTTTCTACATATGGCTAGCCAGTTTTCCCAGCACCATTTATTAAATAGGGAATCCTTTCCACATTGCTTGTTTTTCTCAGGTTCGTCAAAGATCAGATAGTTGTAGATATGCAGCGTTATTTCTGAGGGCTCTGTTCTGTTCCATTGATCTATATCTCTGTTTTGGTACCAGTACCATGCTGTTTTGGTTACTGTAGCCTTGTAGTATAGTTTGAAGTCAGGTAGCGTGATGCCTCCAGCTTTGTTCTTTTGGCTTAGGATTGACTTGGCGATGCGGGCTCTTTTTTGGTTCCATATGAACTTTAAAGTAGTTTTTTCCAATTCTGTGAAGAAAGTCATTGGTAGCTTGATGGGGATGGCATTGAATCTATAATTACCTTGGGCAGTACGGCCATTTTCACGATATTGATTCTTCCTACCCATGAGCATGGAATGTTCTTCCATTTGTTTGTATCCTCTTTTATTTCATTGAGCAGTGGTTTGTAGTTCTCCTTGAAGAGGTCCTTCACATCCCTTGTAAGTTGGATTCCTAGGTATTTTATTCTCTTTGAAGCAATTGTGAATGGGAGTTCACTCATGATTTGGCTCTCTGTTTGTCTGTTATTGGTGTATAAGAATGCTTGTGATTTTTGTACATTGATTTTGTATCCTGAGACTTTGCCAAAGTTGCTTATCAGCTTAAGGAGATTTTGGGCTGAGACGATGGGGTTTTCTAGATATACAATCATGTCATCTGCAAACAGGGACAATTTGACTACCTCTTTTCCTAATTGAATACCCTTTATTTCCTTCTCCTGCCTAATTGCCCTGGCCAGAACTTCCAACACTATGTTGAATAGGAGTGGTGAGAGAGGGCATCCCTGTCTTGTGCCAATTTTCAAAGGGAATGCTTCCAGTTTTTGCCCATTCAGTATGATATTGGCTGTGGGTTTGTCATAGATAGCTCTTATTATTTTGAGATACGTCCCATCAATACCTAATTTATTGAGAGTTTTTAGCATGAAGTGTTGTTGAATTTTGTCAAAGGCCTTTTCTGCATGTATTGAGATAATCATGTGGTTTTTGTCTTTGGTTCTGTTTATATGCTGGATTACATTTATTGATTTGTGTATATTGAACCAGCCTTGCATCCCAGGGATGAAGCCCACTTGATCATGGTGGATAAGCTTTTTGATGTGCTGCTGGATTCGGTTTGCCAGTATTTTATTGAGGATTTTTACATCAATGTTCATCACGGATATTGGTCTAAAATTCTCTTTTTTGGTTGTGTCTCTGCCCAGCTTTGGTATCAGGATGATGCTGGCCTCATAAAATGAGTTAGGGAGGATTCCCTCTTTTTCTATTGATTGGAATAGTTTCAGAAGGAATGGTACCAGTTCCTCCTTGTACCTCTGGTAGAATTCGGCTGTGAATCCATCTGGTCCTGGACTCTTTTTGGTTGGTAAGCTATTGATTATTGCCACAATTTCAGATCCTGTTATTGGTCTATTCAGAGATTCAACTTCTTCCTGGTTTAGTCTTGGGAGAGTGTATGTGTCAAGGAATTTATCCATTATAACAAACTGTCTCTCAGACCACAGTGCAATCAAACTAGAACTCAGGATTAAGAAACTCACTCAAAACTGCTCAACTATGTGGAAACTGAACAGCCTGCTCCTGAATGACTACTGGGTACATAACGAAATGAAGGCAGAAATACACATGTTCTTTGAAACCAACGAGAACAAAGACACAACATACCAGAATCTCTGGGACACATTCAAAGCAGTGTGTAGAGGGAAATTTATAGCACTAAATGCCCACAAGAGAAAGCACGAAAGATCCAAAATTGACACGCTAACATCGCAATTAAAAGAACTAGAAAAGCAAGAGCAAACACATTCAAAAGCTAGCAGAAGGCAAGAAATAACTAAAATCAGAGCAGAACTGAAGGAAATAGAGACCAAAAAAACCCTTCAAAAAATTAATGAATCCAGGAGCTGGTTTTTTGAAAGGATCAACAAAATTGATAGACTGCTAGCAAGACTAATAAAGAAAAAAAGAGAGAAGAATCAAAAAGACGCAATAAAAATGATAAAGGGGATATCATCACCGATCCCACAGAAATACAAACTACCATCAGAGAATACTACAAACACCTCTACGCAAATAAACTAGAAAATCTAGAAGAAATGGATAAATTCCTTGAAACAAAATGCTTTTAACAGCACCCGTCACTTTTTGAATGCTTTGCTTAGAAATTTCTTCTGCCAGATACCCTAAATCATCTCTCTCGAGTTAAAAGTTCCACAGTTCTCTAGGGCAGGGGCAAAATGCCACCAGTATCTTTGCTAAAACAAAACAAGAGTCACCTTTGCTCCAGTTCCCAACAAATTCCTCATCTTCATCTGAAATTACCTCAGCTAGAATTTTATTGTCCATATCGCTATCAAAATGTTGGACAAAGCCATTCAACAAGCCTCTAGGAAGTTCCAAACTTTCCTACACTTTCCTGTCTTCTCTTGAGCCCTTCAAACTTTTCCAATCTCTGCCTGTTACCTAGTTCCAAAGTCACTTCTGCATTTTCGGATATCTTCTCAGCAACACCCGACTCTACTGGTACCAATGTACTGCATTAGTTTGTTTTCATGCTGCTGATAAAGACATACCTGAAACTAGGAACAAGAAAAGGTTTAATTGGACTTATTTCCAAATGGCTGGGGAGGTCTCAAAATCATGGTGGGAGGTGAAAGGCACTTCTTACATGGTGGCAGCAAGAGAAAATGAGGAAGAAGCAAAAGCAAAAACCCCTGATAAACCCATCAGGTCTCAAGAGAATTTATCATGAGAACAGCACAGGAAAGACTGGTTCCCATGATTCAAGTACCTCCCCCTGGGTCCCTCCCACAACACATGGGAATTCTGGGAGATAAAATTCAAGTTGAGATTTTGGTGGGGACACAGCCAAACCATATCAAGGACCATGTGTTATTTATTACCTGATAATAAGGTTGGCAAGGGGTGGCATTTCTGCCCAGGGATAGCTATTCCCATTGGGAATTCCACCTAGGAGGTCTGGCTAGATTAAAATTTTTCTATAGTCTCTCCCAGTTTGGTGTCACCCTTGTTCCTTCTTAGTCTCCAGATCTCTGTACTCTTAGCAATTATGAGCATACTTTTGGAATATTTAAAGGTTTCCCAAGTATGGTTCTTTTCCTCTGCTTTTAAAGCAGAAGAAGGCATTTGCTATCTTATTAACTTTACCTAGTCTAAAGGAGTAAGTCTTACCCTCAGGGTGTGTGTTTTTTTGCGTAGCGTTAAAAATGCTCCCATACCATGCTTTATTTATATCCATTTTTAATGGTTAAAGGTAAAGCCAGCAGAGGGAACCCCAAGATAGTGATATGGTTTGGCTGTGTCCCCACCCAAATCTCATCTTGAATTGTAACTCCCACAATTCCCTTGTGTTGTGGGAGGAACCCGGTGAAAGGTGATTGAATTGTGGGGGCGGGTCTTTCCTGCACTGTTCTCATGATAGTGAATGAGTCTCAGGAAATCTGATGGCTTTAAAAACGGGAGTTTGCCAGCACAGGCTCTCTCTTTGCCCACCACCATCCACGTAAGATGTGACTTCCTCCTCCTATTTCCTTGAGGTTTTTTTGGCTGCATAGATTTGCACCACCATTTGTTTACACTCCTGTTCAGGTTCTCCAGTTTCCTCTGGGAGGAAAGTGGCTGGGTTCAGGCCAGGACAGGTCTTTAACTGAACTGCAGGTTTTTCCAGCAGCAAAGCTTGATATTTGAGGAGGTGATTACCTGTTAGCCACAGACTTCCTTTAGAGGATAGCAGTGCTGCTACATTATGGGGTGTGTAAACAGTTAACTTATTCCTCATGGCTAACTCAACCATGCAACTGCAACTGCTCAGAGGCAAGCTGGCCATTTTTTAGCCACCAAGTTAAGCTTTTTGCTTAGGTAACCAAATGGCTGCTGGGGTGGACCTTGAGCCTAAGTTAAAACTCCCAAGGCTATTCCCTTTCTTTTTGAGACATAAAGATTAAACGCCTTCCCTATGGGAAGACTGAGCGTAGGTGCTTTAAGTCAGGCTTTAGCTGATTAAAGGCCTTCTGAGCCTCAGGTTTTTAAGTTAGGGAGTGAGTTTATAGCTGATTGAGTTTATTTTATAAGGCAGTATAAAGGGCAAGCCATTTTACTGTACCCAGGTATTTACAATTTACAAAAACCTGTAATGCCCAAAAATCCTCTTAGCTGTTTGAGTGTTCCAGGGAGGAGAAATGGGGAAATAGTCTTAATTATCTTCTCACCTAATGTTTTGGTTCTTTCTGACAAGACTAGACCAAGGTACCTCACTGAAGTTTGACAGAGCTGAGCATTAGATTTGGAAACTTTATATCCTCTACCTGCTAGAAAATAAAGAGCGTTAGTGCCTTCTTGAGAAACCCCCTCAGTTGGGGCACAGAGGATAATATTATATACATATTGTAAAACTTTAACCTGAGGATGAGAAAACTCAGAGAGATTTTTTGATAATGCTTGCCCAAACAGGTGGGCACTGTTTTGGACTCCCTGAGGCAGCACTGTACAGGTTAACTAGTTAGCCTGGTTGGAGGGATCTTTTTTTTTTTTGAGATGGAGTCTTGCTCTGTTGCCCAGGCTGGACTACAGTGCCATGATCTCAGCTCACTGCAAGCTCCACCTCCCAGGTTCATGCCATTCTCCTGCCTCAGCCTCCCGAGTAGCTGGGACTATGGGCACCCGCCACCATGCCTGGCTAATTTTTTGTATTTTTTAGTGGAGACGGGGTTTCACTGTGTTAGCCAGGATGGTCTTGATCTCCTGACCTCGTGATCTGCCCCCCTCGGCCTCCCAAAGTGCTGGGATTACAGGCATGAGCCACTGCCCCTGGCTGGTTGGAGGGACTTTCTTAAAGCAAACAAGTATTGGGAGTTAGGGTGCAATGGTATGCAGAAAAAGGCACTTGTTAGGTTTAAAACTGAATCATTTAGTTCCCTCAGGTATTTGAGTTAGCAAAGTATACGGATTAGGAACCACTGGATGGATTGGAACTATAGCTTTATTAACAAGATGGAGGTTCTGAACTAGCCTGCATTTCCCACTGGGTTTCTGTACCCCTAATATTGGGGTGTTGCAATGCTTGAGAAGGTTTTGTGCTTTTAATTTATTCATAATGGCTTTTAGGTTTTTGTTCTGTTTTTCAGCTTTTGGCTTTAGCGGGTACTGCTTTTGGTTACGGAAGAAGGTGGAATTTTTAAGGTGAATTTGGACCAGTATAACAGTTGTAGCCTGGCCAATTTTCCCGTGACTTGTCCACACCTCTGGGTTAACATTGGTTTTTAATAAGGGGAGGACAAAGAGTTTGTTCTGGAGCCATAAGGATGGTGGCTCCCATATGGGCTAGAATACCTTTTTTTTTTGCAATAGGGTTTGGCTTAGAAGTAGCATAGCATCTTTTAAGTTAGATTAAACACTTGGATTAAATTTTGGAAAGCCTCTATATATTTATTAGGGTTATTAGAGAACCTGCCCAGGTCCCCCTTTATTTGTTTAAGGTCCTGCAATGAGCAGGAAACTTGAGCCCTAGTAGCACCATTGGGCATTTCCTGCAGGGGCAACAGTGAAGTTGGGAATTTCTTGAGGGGCACTACCAGAGGAGCTAATGATCTGGCTATTGTGGGGCAGGTAGGACACCCGGAAGTTTTTTTCGAGGGTTCCCCAAGGGTTTTTTTCTTGACTCTGGGGAACCATCCTTTGCAGGCTTGCCTGACGTGGCTGCCAAAAGGGTGGGGTTAACTGTACAATGCTTACAAAGATTTAGGTTATCTTGCAAGGCAAAGAAAACCTGTACACTGGGAACCTTGGACTATTTGCCCTTTTGCCTACAGAAAAGTTTTAGTTGTTGAATAGTATAGAAATCAAGACTTTCCTCAGGCCAGGTTTGTTTGTTCCCAAGATGGTAATAAGGCCACGCCCTTGTGTAATAGAATATACGCCACTTTCTCTTTAGAGTCGTAGGGTTAAAGGAGTTCCAGTGATTTAGAATGCACTCAAGGGAAGTACAGAATGCAGATGGTTTGTTACCCATCTAGAGAGTGGGAGACAAGGTGTTCCTTAGTCCCCTTCCTTGCTTTGGCGTGACCAAGGGTGGAAGGAAAGAGAGAAAAGGTGTTGCCCTTTTGCCCTTCTCCTCTTTCCTTCTCTTCTCTGGGTCCTGGCAACCATTATAGGTGCCACCCCATGGATACAAGTGTGACCTTTACTCATGGATCCAGAGGAGGTAGTATGCAGGACTAGTCACACTTACCTGTGCAAGACCCTAGCTTTCCACCCTGTTGGATTCTTAGACCCACTCAGCCTAAAGGCTCCCAAGGTACCCAATAGGCCTGGGAGAGATTATGTAGTAGTTGGACTTGGGCAAGACTCTTTAATGGAGGGTGTTTTAATACCATATTTGGCTTCCCCTGCTATGGCCCCAGTGAAAAATTGGAATCCCACAGAATGGGACTGATTAACTTTCAAACACAAAATTCTTTTTTTTCTTTAAATCCCATTGTCATTGAATGCAGAACAGGTGCCTTAAAAGAACATAAGAATTGAATGGCTGCCCTTCCTTTGATGGGGACAGTATTGAAGCTAAGACCTGTTTTATTAGGATAGCTTCCTCCTGGCTGTTGAAAGTGGAGTTTTTTTGTTTACAAATAGGACATGTTGCCTGATCACTGATAGAGGGACATAAAAGGAAAAAGAATTAGGAAACTAGAAGTTTGGGGAAGAGGGCTGACAGGGCTTCCCATGGAGAAAAATCCTATTCCACTAGGTGGCGCCGTAGGGTTGCAAACGTTACGTAAAAACTCTGACTCCAAATTCTTTCCAGGCAAAAGTTAGAGAGGTTTGGGGTTTGATAGGATGTCCCCATAGCATGCCCCCCACCCCCATGCAACCAGCATAAGAAAATTAACTTGTCTTATAAAGGAACTGCTTAAATTTATTGAACAATGCTGAACTTTTATATGAAAGAAAAAAGAACCAAATGGAGAGGAGGATATTCACTGAGGGTGAAATATCCTCCCATATGTTACCATGAATATTTATTATTGAGGGATAGAAGGGACCTTACTAGGTAAAAATTTAGACTAAAATATTGAATTCCCTGCTTCTAGGAAGTTACAAAAACAATAACTTTTTGAATTACATTCCTGATTACTAAGACACTGACTAACTTTACCCAGCAAGATCTCAGTATTCTGTGCTTCTCAATATCCCACCCTTTCCCCTTTAAATTTGAAGCCCTCAAAGTCATCTCTGAAGAAAAGCATAGGCCTGTCTCCTGGGCACGTCCTTAACTTTGGCAAATAAATTTTCTAAAATGATTGAGATTTGTCTTGTCACTTTCTTCGATTGACATCCGGTAACCACGAAGGGATCCTGAGTGAAAGTAGCCTGGCCTGGGGCAGTTTGCCTTTCAGTGCTTGGTACTGGCTCGGGCACCTTGTAGCCCAAACCAACAGGACAATTTGCCGAAGTCTGGGACCTCTTCCTCCAGGGATCCCTGATCTTCCAATGTTTCTCAGCTGGGGGGGTCTGAGGTTTATTCACTGTTTAAAAAAAAAAAAACTCCCTTTTTGTGGGAGTTTTTCCACTGGCTTCCATCATGGAAGGTGAGTTTGTCTGTTTTTGCATTGGCAGAGAGCAGTCTCCAGCTTGGGCCCTATCACTAGGTAAGAAACTGGTTTGGAATTCTGTCTTGCAAATTCTTTAAATGACTAAAATTAGCACTAACAACCAGCTGGTGCTAACTTCCTGCTTACACTTGGAGTGCTTAGAAATCGTATATTTTGTGTGATCATTGTTAGTTTTGCTTAACTGTTTTTGTTGCTTGTCTCTGCTTTGTGTGTGTGTGTATGTGTATATGTTTCAGTCCTTTCCCCAATCAGATGTGACCAACTCTGAACCCTCTAGCTCATGACTGTGGAATCTTCCATGCTGGAGAAATAGAGCACCTTGCTTCCCTCAGCCTTCCGGGGCATTCTCAGGCAACTGAGAATCACCTGAGGGTGTCTGGGAGAAACGCTCCCTAAGACGTGCAGCAGCTCCAAATAGGTTTCCTCTTTCAGAAGAACATATTTAGGGTCTCATCTCAGCCGGCAGGTGCATATAAGGAACCGACCCGTCCTGCAACTTGAGCCCCTGACACACTTGTGCCAGGTAGCCGTGACACAGGTAGACCAAACCGGTTCAGGAGGTAACGGCCCTGAAAAGCCAGGTCTGCAAGCAGCACATTTTGGGTCCGACATATGTCCCGACTTCATCAAATCTGAAAAGGAGCTCTAAATTATGAGGAACAAGTCCTCTAAGACCCCAGCAGCTGCAGAACACAAAATTCCCCTTTAGAAACTCTGGCTGGCTATATGCAAAGTACTTATGGCAAATCACAAATCATCATGCAAATATTTAAACAAGTGGACCACTATAACTAAAGCAGATTCTAAGTTACAATGACCTAAATGGGGATCTTTTGAGATGCCCGAATTAGTGTACCTGAGAACCAGGATAAAAAATGCAGGCACAACAAATAAGCAACCAGAATGGGAGAGTTATTTTCAGTGGTACCTGGAGAGTAGCAAAAGGGGTGAAGACTGCCTCATCTCCCTATAGGAGGCAAACCAGCAACTTAGAAATGCTAATCAAGAACTCTCTAATCTTTTACGTCTCTTAAAGAAATCCTTGAAATCCCTTATTCCCACTTGGTAACTCCACCTACACTCCCACTGTACCCTGACCTCTCTGAACTTCCCCAGACCAGATCTGTCCCACTTTTCTCCTTCATGTTTAACACTCGCTCAACAAAAGGCAGGCAGGAATCGGACTTCAAAGACCCCAGCTGCTGCTGATTCCCCGACAGCCCCAATGGCAGCGTCTCATCTGGAAGATGTAGAAAAGGGGAATCCTATGGAGATTTCTCTTATGACCACCCCATTTTGGGAACAACTGGTAACAGGTAGCGGAGCCCCAGCGATTGTCTACCAACCTTGGTCAAAGGCTGAATTGTGAGTCATAGTTAAAGAATTTCCTGGCCCCCATAAAGATCCAATCAGGTTTGCCCAAGAATTTGAGCTCAGTATCAGAACCTATGACCCAGGTCATTCAGACCTTTATCAGCTGGTCCACATGTTGGTCTCAGAAGCTAAAGCTAAAGAACAGCTAGAAAAAGCACAATGGTCAGACCCTATAACAGATTTGACCCCTGAAGGCCCAGTAGAGCCACAACAACCAGCACCCCCCAAATCCAGAAGACAGGTGTAAAGATGCACAGGAGCAAGCAATGACTGTTAAATACTATTCCTCCAGTGCTCCAAAGGGCTGTGGATTGGAGAAAAATCCAGCAATGCTGCCAGAACCCAAATGCATTAGTTTTAGATTATTTCACACATCTTGATATAACTTTTAGACAATATTGTGAGATGACAGCTGATTGCTTTGAAAATAAAAATGATACATTATTAAAGGCAAATTTATTAAACGGACTAGATGATGATTTAGCCACACTTGTAAAATGCCACATGATAAACTGGGCCATAGCCAGAACTAATGAACTGGTTAACTTAGCTGACCGATTATCCCACGCTACGATAAAAAAGGAAAAACAGAAGATTGCTGGAGTTATGCATGTACAGCTAAAGCAATTAACTTCAAAACCTATCAGCCCCAGACAGGTTTTTAAGTTCTCTAGGTCTGAGAACCCTTCCCTCCCAGTCTGTTGCTGCTGTAAAAGTCCGGGACCCCTTAAAAGGGATTGCCTTAGGCTGAAATGAAAGAAAAGGCAGGAAAATGCAACTCAGGAAGACTAGGGGTGCTCCGAGAAAGTACAGGAGTTTCACGTCTCCAAATATTCTACCCTGACAAAAAAAACTGAGGGAGATTAATATAATAACCATGAGCTGACAACTGCCTTTATTGACACAGGCATGACTGTATCTCTGACAAATCCCAGCTTATTTAGAAACCCCATTCCTCGGAGTAATAAAAAAGTTAACATGGTGGGTATGTCTAATAAAACAATCTTACGTTTTAAGTACAAACCTTTACTTTCCCGTTTCATTGGGTTCAGCTCCCCCACCACAGACTCTAAGTGTGACGTGCTCAGCAGGTCCCACATGTCTCTTATATGCCTTGCGGCCCTTGTCAATCTTTTGGGCCATGATCTCCTCAACATCCATAATGCCGACATATCTTTTTCATCAAAAGGTGAACTTTTTTAAGAATTGGAACCAGAGGACCAAAAATACCAAATTAAAATAATGTCCTGACAATGTACCACAATTTAGTACCAGTAATGTTAAAACATAATCTTGTGACCAGGAAAATGAATTGGAGAGAGAGGAGGAAATATTAGGGGAGAAGAGAAGACATTGGAATAAAGAATAGGAAATGATAAAACTCCTCTTAGCTTCCCCAATTTTCCTGTTTACACCAGAAGCAGAACGCTTGCTCAAGGATGTCCGTTCCACTTACGGTCTCAGTCAAATACAGATATAGGGAAAATATTCTCAGCCATTCCCATAAAGGTAGAGATAAACCCTAAGAAACCCCTACTCAACCTTAAACAGTTTTGTCTCCGATATTGTAGAGGAAGCCATAGATGGAATCGCCCCTATCATAGAAGATTACCTGAAAAGGGGACTCACTATTCCCTGCACAAGCCCCTGCAACAGCCCCATATTCCCTGTAAAACAAAAACAAAAACAAAAAAACAAGCAGGAGGGGATGGAGATTTGTACAGGACTTGAGGGCAATAAATAATATCGCAATACCCAGACACCCAATAGTCCCAAACCACATATCCTATCAGCTACACCCACTATCAGCCAGTATTTCTCAGTTGCAGATCTCTGCAGTGCCTTCTTTAGTATTCCTGTAGATCCAGACAGCTGGTATTTGTTTACCTTTACTTGGAAAGAAGGGCAATATATGTGGACGGTAATGCCTCAAGGGTATACACAAAGTCCCACTTACTTTTCCCAAATATTAAAAGCTGATTTAGAGGATTTAATTTTTCCCCAGGGCTCAACACTCATTCAGTATGTAGGTGACCTTCTCCTTTGTTCAGGCACACTATCTTCCTCCCAGGAAGATGGTCTATATTTACTCAAACAGCCACCAAAGGACACAAAGTGTCCAAAGACAAACTTCAGCCATGCTTGCTGCAAGTTAAGCATTTGGAGGCATATTATCTCAGTCAAAGGACTGAGTATTAACCCTGACAGAGTGAGAGGAATTTTAGCTTTCCCAATGCCTGTGACTAATAAACAACTTAGAGGATTTTGGGTCCTGGCTGGCTATTGTAGAAACTGGATACCAAATTCTTCTTTATGACTCAAACTCTGTAGGCATACTTAAAAAATGAACAAACTGATCCCATCTTGTGGACTCTTGAGGGACAATCAGCTATACAACAAATAAAGGAAATTCTAACTAATGCCCCAGCCTTAGGGCACCCAAACTACAAACTGCCTTTCTCCCTTTTCACACACAAAACTGGAGGTACTGCATCCAGGGTACTGATCCAGAAACATGGTGATCATCAGAGGCCTATAGGCTATTTTAGCCAACACCTGGACCCGGTGGCTTGAGGGCTGCCTCCTTGTGTGAGAGCAGTAGCAACCATGGCCCTTCTGTACAAGTCTGTTGAAGAAATAAGTATGGGTTCCCCCCTTACCATTTCTGTGCCACATTCTCCTGAGACCCTTCTAAACTCTCATCATACTCAACGTGTGTCTGTCAACCGGTCAGCCTCTTATCAAATTTTGCTTGTACCATCTTCCAATATTACTACTTCCAGTATAATAATCTTAATCTGGCCACTCTCTTGTCAGGCCCTTCTGACAAGACCCCTCATGACTGTGTTCTGATGACTGACTGACTTCTCACCTCCAGGACAGACCTACAAGAGATGCCACTGGATCATGCTAAAATAGAATGGTATACAGATGGGTCTTATTTAAGAGGAGAGATGGAAATTTTGGAGCAGGATATGCTATAGTTTCCTTATCAGAGGTAATTAAAGCCGGTCCTCTTCTGGAAGCCAGATCATCTCAAGTGGCCGAGTTGATTGCCCTGACCCGTGGTTGTCAATTGGCAAAATACAAGGCTGCAAACATTTACACTGACAGCTGCTATGCTTCTAGGGTTTGCATGACTTTGGGATGCTATGGAAAGACGGAGGATATTTAGCCTCCTCAGGGCAACCCATAAAAAATGTACAACATGTATCAGAGCTGTTAGAAGCTATTCTAAAACCCAAATGTTTGGCAATTATAAAAATCCCAGTCACTCAAAATTAGACACCACAGAAAGGGTAACCAATTGGCTGATGCCACTGCTAAAAGAGCAGCACCCGAGCCACCAGCCCCAATCCAGGACCAAACGGCCATAAAACCCGAAACACTTAGAAACATGTTGAAAGAAACCCAGAGCAGAGCTCCTGCAAAAGAGAAATCTACCTGGAAACAGTCAGGGAGACACTTTTCTCCCGAAACTGAAATACAGTGTGGACCTAATAACCATTATTCCAGTGGGATGTCAGGTGCCCCTTATGGAATATGTCCATAATCTAACCCATTGTAACCCAGATAAAATGATATCCCAGCATAAACAATATTACTGGAAACCATCCTTCACAGTGGCACAAAATATTTACTCTTGATGTGTTATTTGTCCCTAATATAAAGGAAAGTCGCCCAGGGTCACTTTCCCCTTCCAGCTGGACCTTTTGAGGTATGGCAGCTTGATTTTATTCAGCTGCTATCATCTCAAGATTACAAGTATGTTTTACTAATGCTCTGCATGTTTTCTCATTGGGTTAAAGCTTTCCCTGCAGGCAAGCCACAGCCATGGCAGTTGGAAAAATCCTACTAGAAAAAATTATCCCACTGTGGTGAGTCCCAGGTGAACGTCACAGCGACAGGGGAACTCACTTTACTGGCCAGGTTATTCAAAATATTTGTAAAACTTGGCTCATATTTTCACATTTCCATTGTGCCTACCATCCCCAATCCTCAGGCCTAGTGGAGAGGCACAACTGGCTAAATTCACCTCCAGGCATTTCACCTCCCCTAGCCCAAAGCACTCCCCCTAGTGCTGCTTAAACTCCAATCCACCCCTTTTGGAAAACAACTGTGTCCTCAAGAAATAATAACAGAGGCCCATGTGTATGGGAACAAACATAATCAACCCAACTTTTCTCAAGGGAGATATATTGCAACATTGTGAGGGACTTATCGCCTTAAAAAAAAGCCAAGATTTGATAAAGAATTCCTTTCATAGTGTGCTCCATGAAGATAAGGTGCCTGGTCACAATCTGCAACCCAGAGATTTTGTCTATTGGAAAAGACATCTAATAAAGAATTCCCTTCAACCCCAATGGAAGGGCCCACACCAGGTACTATTGACTAATCTATGTCCCATAAAATTAGAAGGTGTAGACTCATGGATTCATCTCTCTCATCTTAAGGCACAACCTCCTGAGTGGATTGTAACTCCCACCAAAGACCTTTGCCTCCAGTTCACTAAACATTGACCTTCAACCCAGGATTAGAAGCAGACAACAGCTGTTGTGGACTGCTTAAACCCAAGACACAGGACCAGGCCTGTACACAAAGAAATGCCTATGTTTACTGCACAATAACCATTACAATTATTGTCCTAGATATACTGTCATCTGCTGTCTAATAAAGAACAGGGCACTTGCCTTGTCTGATTTAACACCCTTTAGTAACTAAGATGAATTTCACAACCTTGCTATTATTAATCATGTATCCCTTCACCTTCTTGCCACTGCCACCCACTGATGCCCATGAAACAAACCTGTTTCTACAATGGGCTCAGGATTATGCAGACAAATTACATAAGAACACCTGCTTGATATGCGGACTTACGCCTCTTTCCAGTGGCTCCAGCCTCCAGTGGTGGGTATCCTCCTTCCAAGGTCAGGACTGGATAGAATACCAAAAATTTATTACATCACAGAAACAGTTTGGTATCCTTCATGCTGGCATAACAAAAGACAATATATATAGTTGGCCCATTAAAAACACTCTTGGCCAGGCGCAGTGGCTCACGCCTGTAATCCTAGCACTTTAGGAGGCCGAGGTGGGTGGATCATTTGAGATCAGGAGTTTCAGACCAGGCCTGGTCAACATGGTGAAACCCTGTCTCTACTAAAAATGCAAAAATTAGCCAGGTGTGGTGGTGCATGCCTGTAATCCCAGCTACTTGGCAGGCTGAGGCAGGAGAATTGCTTGAACCCGGGAGTTGGAGGTTGCAGTGAGCTGAGAACACGCCACTGCACTCCAGCCTGGGCGATGGAGTGAGATTCCATGTCAAAATAAATGAACAAATAAAAACACTCTTAAGAACAAAGGACATGGGAAAAGTTTTTCAGTGGAAAGGACCAGCTCATTAGCTCTCACTTCAGCATTTCCCCCAACTAAAACAAAGTGGTGACCATGCCCCAAACAATGGCCCGTTTTCACAATGGAATAATGCAAACTTGGGATGGATTTATCTGGTTCACCCCTTCGTTTGGCCAACTCAGTCAAAATGTTCCTTTGTGCTGGGAGCAAAGAAATCACACCCAGGACCTGTGGCCAAACAGTAGGAAGATATATGGGGTGGACACCTGGAGAATGTTGTGACCACATTATTGTATTATGAGACACTGACTGGCATGCCACTGACTGGGTGCAGTGACCAACTATTTATTGGCTAGCTCCAAGTGGGACATATTGGCTATGTGGCACTAACTTATGGCTGTGGTCACCTCCAGGGTGGTTGGGATGATGCTCCCCAGGTTATGCTTGGGCACAAGGACGAGTAATTCAGACCCTGCCAAAAACAGCAAACCTTTTTCATTTACAATCTCGTTGGACACGTTCAGTATTCCAATGGTATGATCATTTAACTTCAATCTTTGTACCACAGATAGCTATTGAAGATGCTATATGGGATATAGAAGCCTTAACAAATTACACCCAAAAGGCCCTGAATGATGGCTACATGAGTTACCTCTTTGCCAAACGACGGGGTCATGCTTATGAGGAAAGCAGTGCTGCAAAATCATATGGCTTTAGATACACTAACGGCAGCACAAGGGGGCACTTGCACCAGAACAACTGAATGTTGTGTGTATATTCCAGAAAATGAAGAACATAACCCGGCTTATGACTGATATGAAAACCCAGATAATCAACCTGTCAGACCCAAAACCCTCACTGATTGGTTGAGCAGCTGGTTTGGATTCTGGGGAACTTGGTGGCACAAGCTAGTGCTTATAATAAGAACAATTTCTGATCTGTCCTGTTTTTGCTTATAATGTTGTTGTGGTATATGTTTGCAAATAAGTCCATGTGTAACTGAAAGGGCTAGGGTAATGACTGCTCAGAGAATTGCTCTAATTCAGGAGGCAGTAATGTAGCCTGACCTAGCTTCCAGTTTTGCCCTCCTTTTGTTGCTATAAGTCTGGCCTAGGTCCCTATACATTTTTCTTTTTTTCCTCTTTTTTCCTTTCCTCCCTATTTTTTATCTTCGTGGGACATGATCTCCTAGGAATGAGCATTCCTCGTGACGGAGGACTTGAACTTCTAGGAATAAACCATCCCAGCAACAACAAACCAGCAGGTGGGAAGAAAGGAGGAAGCAGCAACCTGAGGCCAGGAACCCACATTCCTTTTTAAAATGCTTTTCTCCAAAAGATTTTAAAGAAAAAAAAGGGGGGAAATGTGAAAGGAAATTAAATTTTGGGACGCCAAATTCACTTAGCCAAAGGGAAGAGTCAAGCTGGGAACTGGGTCACGCAAACCTGTCTCCCCCTTTTGGTTCCTAAATAAGATGGCTACAAGATGAAAGGCTACACGCCTCCCCCATATTTTGCCCACAAGGAGATTCCTGGTGAGCTGTTGAAATTTCACCATGGTGGCCAGGCGCGGTGGCTCACGCCTGTAATCCCAGCACTTTGGAAGGCCGAGTTGGGCGGATCACTTGAGGTCAGGAGTTTGAGACCAGCTTGGCCAACATGGGGAAACACCGTCTCTATTAAAAATACAAAAAGTAGCTGGGTGTGGTGGCACACAGCTGTAATCCCAGCTACACGAGAGGCTGAGGCGGGAGAATTGTTTGAACCTGGAAGGTGGAGGTTGCAGTGAGCCGGGATCACGCCAGTGCCCTCCAGCCTGGGCGGCAGAGAGAGATTCCATTTCAAAAAAATAAAACTTAACCATGGCAATGCAAATTGATAGCTTATCTTTACAGGTGCAGTCACCCTAGCCCATCTGATTGTTCCCCTACCACATTTTGTCTGCGTTATCTTATGTAAAATGCAGATTCCCCACGTTTTTCCTCTGCCCGTTTGTTTGTGAAAACTCTGCTTCTCAATACTCCGCCCTTTCCCCTTTAAATCTGGGGCCCTCAAAATCATTTTTGGAGAAAGGCGTAGACCTGTCTCCTGGGTGCGTCCTTAACTTTGGCAAATAAATCTCCTAAAATGATTAGAGACTTGTCTCGTCGTTTTCTTCGATTGACAATATATACACACATACATACGCATACACACACACATATATACGCGCACGCACATGCACACATATACATGTCCACACACATGCACACACACGTACATATGCACACATACACATGTACACATCCACACGCGCCCACACACACACACACACACAGACGTGTCTCACACCACAGCAGCCGCCTCGGGGGAGTCACAGCCCACGCATCCCCAACACTGCGGTCGCGCTCACTTCTCTTTCCACGCCCGGGGGGAGCAGCTTCCCCGCTGGGCCACGCTGACTCTGGGGAGGCGGGCGGGGCGAGACCACTTCTGGGGAGGACGCCCAATCTGGGGACTTTCTCTAGGTGCCCGGGGAGAAGGCGGCGCAGCAGCAAAGCCCTGGAGGGCCCAGTGGCGGAAACAGACGGACCCCTCGCAGCCTCCCGCCGACAGCGGCCCTGCCCAGGTCTCCAGGCTTCGATGCCTTCGTTGCTTTGTGCGGCGCACCCGCCTACGTCAGTTCCCAGTATTTAAACAAAACGTGTTCCTAGCTACGCAGCGCCAGGCAACCAGGCGGTTCCCACGCTTCCCCGAGTGGCACACCCTCCGCGCAGCCCACGCGGCCTCCCCACGCCCAGCTCCCGCCGGCCCCGCCTCGCGTCGTCCTTCGCCCCGCCCCCGTTGCCGCCCCCCCCGCCCGCACACTGCCCACCTGGCGTTGTCTTCACCCCGCTTACACGCCGCTCGCTTCGCTCTGGTAGTCGCCCACCTCGCGCTGCCCTTCTCGCTTCAGTCTTCGCCCTGCCCACCCACCGCCCACCTCGCGCCAGTCTTCGCCCCGCCCATTCACCGCCCGCCTCGCGTCAGTCTTCGCCCCGCCCAACCACCGCCCGCTTCGCGTCGGTCTTCACCCCGCCCACTCGCCGTTCGCCTCGCGCCTTCGCCCCTCCGCCGTTGTCGCCCCGCCCCTTCTTGCGTCCAGTCTTTGCCCCGTCCCTCGCCGTCGCCCCGTCCACACGCCGTCAGCTTCGCGTCTGTCCTCGCCCCGCCCACCTACCGCCCCCCTCGGGCCTTCGCCCCTCCGCCGTCGTTGCCCCGCCCGCCTTGCACCCCGTCTTCGTCCCGCCCCGCGCCGTGGCCCCGCCCACACGCCGTCAGCTTCGCGTCTGTCCTCGCCCCGCCCTGCATCATCGCCCCGCCCTGCATCATCGCCCCGCCCACACGCCGCCTGCCAGGCGTGAGTCTTCCTCCCGCTCTGCGCCGTCGCCCCGCCCACACGCCGCCACCCTCGCGTCAGTTGTCGCTCCGCGCCTGCGCCCGTTGTCTCCCTGCTCGCTCCGGGTCCCGGCGCCGCGCCATGTGGGCTGCGGCGGGCGGGCTGTGGCGCTCCCGCGCGGGTCTCCGGGCCCTGTTCCGTAGCCGCGATGCTGCGCTATTTCCAGGCTGCGAGCGGGGACTTCACTGCTCTGCTGTCTCCTGCAAGAACTGGCTCAAGAAATTTGCCTCGAAAACCAAGTAATGCGGCGGGGGCGGTGTCCCTGGGCGCGGTATTCCCTAGGGGGCGGTGTCCCCGGGTTGCGGTGTCCGCTCATCCGCGTTCTTGCGCCCATGCGGCCTAGCTCGCCAGTTCCTGCCTCCTGGGGTCTGCAGCAGTTCTAGCTCTCACTGTCAGCATTTGCAGCTTTTGTGTTCGTGGACGTGTGTCGGGTTAAGAAAACAAAGTGACAATGTGTGTTTATTTTGATTCTTGTCACCAGACGTATTTTTCAGAAGATTAGTTTCAGAAAATGAGGAAAAATGAAAAAATATAAGAATTTCCTTGCTAATGTTGACTTTCTGTGTGAATTTGAAGACTAAAGCTTGTCATGATAATTAGTGTTTTTAAATTATGAAAGATAAGTACAATAAAATACATTGACTTTTCACACTGCTTTTAGTTCTTCTAAGTATGGTAGGTGGTTGTATGTTTTCTACTTTAATACACTACTTTTAAAGACAGTTTTAGACCCTGCAGAAAAATTGCAAAAATAGTACCGCGTTCCTGTGTCCTGGCACCCAGCTCCCCCTGTGTTAGCGTCGGACTTTAGCTTCCAACGTGTTCCAGTTAATGAGCCGATATTGATAAGAGTGTTGCTAACTGAAGCTCATACTTTATTCACTTTTCCTTGGTTCTGCCTGCTGTCCCTTCCTGTCCCAGGTGCCCACCCAAGGTCCACGTTACATTGAATTGTCTTGTTTCCTTAGGCTGGGGTAGTGTCCCAGACTGTCCCTGGTTTTGATGGCTGTGCCAGTTTTGAGGGGTACTGGTCAGGTGCTTTGCAGGATGCCTCTCTGTTGGAATGTGCCTGTTTTTTTAATGCTTAGACGTGGATTATGGCTTTTGGGGAGGAAGACTACAGAGGTAAAGGCCATTCTCATCGCACCGTATCCAGGGTCCACGCTGGCCGTGATCCCCTGCATGAGGTGCTTGCCAGGTTTCTCTACCGTAAAGTTACTCTTTTTGCCCCCTTTCCTTACTGTACTCTGGGAGAAAGTCGCTGTGTGCAGCCCATGCCTAATGAGTGGGGAATTTTGCTCATAAGTGGTTTGCATTCTGCACAAGGGATATGTCTCTTCACCCCATGTATTAATTCATTCATATCACCAAGAACTCATGGGTTATAATCCCGTGTTACTTAGTTTTGTTCGAATGTTTCCAGCTCAGGCCCTTAGGAGCTCACTAAGCTCCTATGTCCTGTTTGCATACCCTGTCATTGTGGGGTTTTGCTGGGTTCTGTGTGTGTTAAACACTTTCCTACTTTCTGGCACTACAAGATACTCCAGGCTCATCTTGTGTGTTTCGTACCACAGCCCTAAAATCAGCCATTTCTCCAAGAAGCCCTCGTTCCTTTTATTGGAGAGAGAGATTAGAAACCATGGGTGCTGGGTGTGTTCATTGCTTCTGGGGTGTCTGTCTTTTGGGCCATCTCATCTGACGAAAGGATATATGTGTTTCTACTAACCCTTGTGTAAATATGCACCTATAAACATTTCCGTGTATAGCCATCTGTCTCCAACTCCAGACGTACTGTGTGGATCATTCTAGCCTCCTCTCCTTGCTGATCTGTAAGTCGCACTCCAATGGTGAGCGTGGCTCCCACCATCCATTTGCTTAATTGTTCAGTCTCAGTCTATGCCTATAACAGTATCTGAATCCTTTACTTGAACTTCCATGGGAAACATCTTTATCAATTAGCGTATAGTGTTTATGTGCAGTTTGGTAGGTGTCTTTTTAAGATCCTCTCTCTAACCTTGGGACTAGAAGTAGAATTTAGGTAAAAATTATGAGGTTGAATTAAAACCATCTTCAGCCTCTTCCCCACAACCCATGTTGTTATCAATTAAATTCTGAAATTTTTTAAGATGTCCAGTAATGTAACATCTAAGTTTAGCCCCCTATAAACAGTTATGGTATCATAACCTCTTAAATTAGCTTATGTAACTTTTTGACTTTGCCATCACTAACATAATGCTTATTTTCTCCCCAAAGAAAAAAGGTTTGGTATGAAAGTCCTTCCTTGGGTTCTCACTCGGTGAGTATAAGCCATGAGCCACTTTATAATCTTGATGGGAGTGAGGGTTTAAAAGTTGGCAAAACTCTTACCTGGAGGTCTTTCCATTTCTGTATTGGAGGGGATAGTGTCTATGTGGATGCGACTGGATGCCATTGGCAACATGGAGTTTTGATCTTTTCAAAAAAAAATGTACTGACATTAATGTTTTCTGGAAAGTCATATCTTTTATCAAATTATAATATGGTAATATCCATTCAGTTTTTAGTGTGTGTGTACTGTAAAAGTTTATACAATATATGGCTCCCATTCTGAAAAATAAATACATCACGTTTCCAAAAAATTACTGAATTATTCCCTTTAGCACGGTGAACTTTATGGTATGTGAATTATATCTCAACAAAAACTTTTTTTGAGAAAATATTTACTGGCAGTACTTTTAATCTTGGAGGGTTACCAGGTAAAATTTAAAAGGATCCCGGTTTATAAAACTTTATCTTAATGAAAGCTGAGGCAGCTGAGAGTGATAGCTGCTGTTGATCTGGTTGCCCATCCAGCCCTCCCCCAGCCCCTGCTGTGTGACTTGGTGAGTTTGGAGTTGTAACGCTGCCCTTGGGGTGTGCTCTTCTTCCTGATGGAGACTTACAAACCATCCAAGTTGGAATTCCTCATGAGGAGCACCTCAAAGAAAACCAGGAAGGAAGACCATGCGCGCCTGAGGGCCCTGAACGGCCTCCTCTATAAGGCACTGACAGACCTGCTGTGTACCCCTGAAGTGAGTCAGGAGCTGTATGACCTTAACGTGGAGCTCTCCAAGGTAGGCTGTGTGGCCAAAGAGAAGAAATGGGTTGAGACAGCAGGCCTGGCACTTACTTTACCTGGCCCAGTCTTGCCTGACAATTAAAAAAAGACGCTTTAGACTGGGCGCGGTGGCTCACGCCTGTAATCCTAGCACTTTGGGAGGCTGAGGCGGGCGGATCACGAGGCCAGGAGATTGAGACGATCCTGGCTAACACAGTGAAATCCCATCTCCACTAAAAATACAAAAACTTAGCCGGGCATGGTGGCGGGCGCCTGTAGTCCCAGCTACTCGGGCGGCTGAGGCAGGAGAATCGCTTGAACCCAGGAGGCGGAGGTTGCAGTGAGCTGAGGCCGCGCCTCTGCACTCCACCCTGGGTGACAGAGCGAGACTCCATCTCAAAAAAAAAAAAAGCCACTTTAGCACTTATGAAGTCTTAGTTCTGGGTTGCAGAAATAGAAATGATGCTCAGTCTGGTCATTGGAGCCCTGGAGACAGATGGTGAGTGTCTGTGCTGTGCAGAGGCAGATGTCTCACTGCAAGGCGGGAGTCCTGTGACCAAACAGCACCTGGCACATTGTCAGATAGTAGAAGGTCTAAGCCTGCCGTGGGAAGAGGATGCATCTGCATGTACCTCAGTACAGAGGTACAGGAGATGACTTCCTCTGACCCACTCAGTGAGTTGTAAGGAGAAAAGGCAGCATCGAGCATTTTTGATTAGTGTCTCAGGGCAAGTGGCTGTGAGGCAAGCGTGGGGTCAGGGTTCCGGTTTGGTTCTGCAAACCAGGTGGTTTGGTTTGCGGGTCCTGGTGAAGAGAGGAGGGAGGTTTTGGTTTCTGGGGCCCTACTTCACCTGGGGACATGGTGCGGCAGCAGGAGGTGGCCTCCAGCAGCATGCCAGAGCCCTGGCTTGGGTGGGAGGGGCGTCTGCAGCTGTCGTTTTCATCTCCTGGATGTTGTTTGTCTTGAAAACCCATGTAAGCTAAAAAGTGACCTGTGGAGGGGCGGGGTCTCAGGTTTCCCTGACTCCAGACTTCTCAGCCTGCCGAGCGTACTGGAAGACAACGCTCTCTGCTGAGCAGAACGCACACATGGAGGCTGTCCTGCAGAGAAGTGCCGCGCACATGAGGTGATGACCTTTGCTTTCTGAATGTACTTGCTTTTTGCTCATACCCTAAATTTCTCAGCTGTTTCACTTGTAGGTGGACTTGAACTTTTCATTGAGTATTTTTGCTTTTAAAGAAAATTTTGGAGGCATTTTCTTGAAGTTCATAGTATAATTTGCATTTTTGTATAAGCTATAATGTAGGTTAGCATTTATTAAAGTGTGCCAGGATCACTAGGGATCTGGAGATCCTGTCAGGGAGTTCATTAGGGTAAGACGTTATTTCACCTCTCCTGCTGTGTTGACATTTGCACTGAGGGTACAGAAACCATGAGGGAAGACTGCTGGTGCCATGCTGCCAGCCAGTGCTGTAGGGGCGCCATGCCACATGCCTAGAGTAAAAGACAATGTTACTTTTACTTAAGAATATCCCAGATGAGGCTGGACATGGTGCCTCTCACCTGTAATCCCCGCAACTCGGGATGCCGAGGCGGGAGGATCACTTGAGGCCAGGAGTTCAGGACCAGTCTGGGCAAGATGGCGAGACCCTGTCTCTACAAAAAATTAAAAAATTAACCAGGCACAGTGGCAGCACACGCATATAGTCCCACCTACTCAGGAGGCTGAGGTGGGAGGTATCCCCTGGATTCCTATCAGCCCAGGAATTTGAGGTGGCAGTGAGCCGTGTTAATGTACCTGCATTCCAGCCTGGGCAACGGAGCAAGACCCTGTTTCTCAAAGAAAAATTAAAAAATCCGAGACAGTTTATCAAAAATTATTAATTGTATTAAATCTTGACCCTTGAGCATGCCTTTTTCATATTTTTTGTAATGGGAAGTACATGTAAATCACCTGCTGTCTGGAGAATGCTGAACAGAAAAGCATCAGTGAGCAGACTGTTTAGGTTTGGGTGTTTGGCAGACATTCTTTCAAAAATAAGCGAGTGAACCTACCACTCCGGAGCAAACAACAGACCATATCTGTTGCCAGTGATAAAATTTAAGCTTTCAAGTGAAAATCAGAATTTTAGGAAACTTGTATTCACCACTGTGAGCTTGACAACTTCTAGGTACTTGAGACTCTTCTGATGAGATTGGCAGCGACCTTAACAAACGTGCTGTTGTATGATAAACTGTGTCAATGCTTTTAAAATCTGCATAACTAGGTGAGCTGTTGTTTTCCAAATGACCAGTGCATGAGGTTACAAAACCATACGCTGAGAGATCAATTCAAAGTGTGAGCCAGATGGTGAGTTTTAATGTAGCAGAGTGTGACAGGTTGGTTGGGTGTGGTTTCAGATTCCTCATTGCAACTATTTATATGTTTATTTATTTGAGATGGAGTCTTGCTCTGTCGCCCAGGCTGGAGGGCAGTGGAGTGATACTGGCTCACTGCAACCTCTGCCTCCCGGGTTCAAGTGATTCTCATGCCTCAGCCTCCTGAGTAGCTGGGGTTACAGACGCCCGCCACCATGCCCAGCTAATTTTTGTATTTTTAGTAGAGATGAGGTTTCACTATATTGGCCAGGCCGGGACAACTGACCTTTAATAAAGTACATTTGTTGAATTTTTGTGACAAAGAAGATCCATACTTTTCTCATGGCTGTTAAATTCTGTCTTTTCCAACACATAACTGGGAGGCCTGAATTTTTTTTTTTTTTTTTTTGCTTTTTTTGAGACAGGATCTCATTCTGTCTCCCAGGCTGGAGTGCAGAGACACAATCTTGGCTCCTGCAGCCTCAACCTCCCAGGCTCAAGTGATCTTCCTGCCTCAGCTTCCCATACAGCTGGAAGCACAGGTGCATGCCACCACACTTGGCTAATTTTGTATTTTTTGTAGAGATAGGATCTCTCTATGTTGTCTAGGCTGGTCTCCAACTCCTGGGCTTAAGCGATCCTCTGGCCTGAGCCTCCCAAAGTGTTGAGATTACAGGCATGAGCTACTGCGCTGGCTCTTCTTGTATTTCAGTGAGAGGAAGGACAGAGTGCAGAAGCAGCAGTGAGATCCCAGCTGTCTTCCATGAAGCTGGCCTTGGAGAATTTGCAAATACATAAACAATTCCATGCTTTTCATTGATTTTGTGGGGGGGAGTGTATATATATATTTTTTGTTAAAAATGTCTATGTAAGCATTTAGTGGGTTTTTAAGCGACTTTAAAAAGACGTAGCTTTTAGAGTTCTCAGTTTTAGTTTGTAGTATAGTAAATATTGATAGATAGAACCCACATAAACAAATGCTCTTTGGGATCTTCAGTAATTTTTAAGAATGTAAAGGATCCTGGGACCAACAATTTTGGGAATTGCTGAGCTGGATGATAATAAAGAAATTATTCAGTTTCCTCCTCAGTTTTAAAAAATGCAGAAATCCAAATCCAGCTCACTGTCCAGCTCTCTCAGAACTGGAATTCCTCCTTTCTGCCTCCCTTCTCATCATGCCCCATGTTTAGGGTGGGGACAGACGTAGAAAAGGTGGCCGTGTGTGGGCTTCGTTCCAGGCACCCTGCCTGGCTTCCCTGCATCATTACCACACACGATGATGCCCAGGGGTCTGTGAAACTGCATATCAGAGAATGCTTATTTCTTACTGTTTAACAAAAGCAAGAAAATGAGAGATTATTGACAAGTGTTGAAACAGCATTGTTTTCTGATTTTTAGGTATCAGAAAATTCAGTTGAGCTGAATGTCCCTCTTCCCAACTCCTGCGGTCACCCAAGATTTAGGGTCACCGTTTTCCATAGCTGTGTACCAAAGATCTGTGGTCACGGCTTTCGCTGGTTATATGTGCCGTGCCTACATTGGCCCTAGGTCTGTATTATGTGATGTGCATGATACAAATATCACTTCTGTGTCTAATATCTGGGAACCTGAGGGTTGTGTCGTGCCAGGGCGTGTCCACTGGGCACAGGAGGACAGGCTGTTAGTGCACAGACCCTGGAGCCCAAGGCTACGGCGATGAGTTCAGATCAGGTTATTTGTACAGATCGCACAAGTTGCGTTGAGAAAAGTCAAGGCAATTGCAGTTATGATGCATTTTGCATCCCTTTTTTGATGTGGTAGTTGACTAAAGATGACTCTTCTGGGCTGAGGTTTTCATTTTTGAGTAATACGATAAATCTCACTCCTGCCTCTTTTTTTTTTTTTTCTTTTTTTTTGAGACCGAGTCTTGTTCTTTCACCCAGGCCGGAGTGTAGTGGCACTATCTTGGCTCACTGCAAGTTCCGCCTCCCGGGTTCAGGCCATTCTTCTGCCTCAGCCTCCCGAGTAGCTGGGACTACAGGTGCCTGCCGCCACGCCTGGCTAATTTTTTGTATTTTTAGTAGAGACGGGGTTTCACCATGTTAGCCAGGATGGTCTCGATCTCCTGACCTCGTGATCCGCCCGCCTCGGCCTCCCAAAGTGCTGGGATTACAGGCGTGAGCCACCGCGCCCGGCCTCTCACTCCTGCCTCTTGGTTACATCTTGAATCATATGTTCAGCACTGTCACGCCTCTCCACTGAGTGTCACGGCACAGCTGTGAGGGTCTGTGCGTTCTGTCTCCTAGGCACCTTTTGATGTCCCAGCAGACCCTGAGGAATGTGCCACCGATAGTGTTTGTTCAAGACAAGGGAAATGCAGCTCTAGCTGAGGTAAGGTTTTCAAAAAAACTTTTTAAAATTTAAAAATTTTTATTTTTTTAATTAGAGACAGAGTCTTGCTATATTGTCCAGGCTAGTCTTGAACTCCTGGCCTCAAGGGATCCTTCTGTCTCAGCCTCCCAAAGTGCTGGGATTTATAGGTGTGAGCCACCGGGCCCAGGTAATAATTAACTTTTTATAACATAAACGCTTATATGAATAAAGTTTTAAATTTAAGTTTTAAATCCTGAAAAGATAATGTACAGTTAAAAAAGAGAAGAGGCCAGGTGCAGTGGCTCAAGCCTGTAATCCCAGCACTTTGGGAGGCCGAGGCAGGTGGATCACAAGGTCAGGAGTTAGAGACTAGCCTGGCCAATACGGTGAAACCCTGTCTCTACTAAAAATACAAAAAAATTAGCTAGGTGTGGTGGCGTGCGCCCGTAGTCTCAGCTGCTCGGGAGGCTGAGGCAGAAGAATCAGTTGAACCGGGAAGGCGGAGGTTGCAGTGAGCCGAGATTGTGCCACTGCACTCCAGGCAGCAGAGTGAGAGACTCCGTGTCAAAAAAAAAAAAGAGAAGAAACCACTGAGAAGGGAACAAATGAAAAGTAATGAAAGAAAGGTGCAAATGAAAAGGCTGTCCCTTTCTCCTGTGCCCCTGTTCCCAGCCAGGTCCCCAGAAGTAGTTGCTGTTTCTGGTTTTAATTTTTTTATGCTTATCACTGTAGCTCTAACTAGGGTATGAACTCAACACGGCCAGAGTTGCCCTCCCACGCCTGTCTCCCCCTCCCACCTCTCGAAATGGATCAGTCCACTTTCGTTTCACATTATTGGGGCTTATGAGACTTAGGTCTGTCCTGTAACCTTAAGTGCTTTTATTATCATTTTCCTTGCTTTAGAGATGGGTTAGCTATAAAGATTAAAAACATGTAAATATATACTTCTCTGGGTGGTGGTTACCTGGCAGTTATTAAGATATGTTATACCTTCAAAAAGTCAGTCAAAAATCAGCGAATAGCGTTTGCAGTATTATAGGTAACTGTTGTTCAGTATAGGACCAGACAGCATTTGGATCCACAGAAGAAAAAGATCCAGTTTGACATTTTTGGTTTTCGTTAATCAGTGTGTAGGTAACACTAAAAACATTGTACAAGTAATAAGCTTGACAGATTCGTGATTTCCCTTGCTAGAAAAAGAAACGAAGGAGTGAAGTTATAGTCCCTGCCGTAAGGAATCAGGGACAGTTCAGGTCATGGCAGTGTGCTGTGAGGGCATGAGCAAGGTGTTCCCTGGGGAGGACGTGCCAGTCTCTCTGTCTGAGCTCAGCACTCCAGGCTCCTGTCTCTGGGGAGGGAGGTCCCATCAGGTGGTGTGGGTTCCAGAACAGTCACTGGACAGGGGAGAGTGCATGCTATGCTTGGAGCAGGATGAGGACACCCCCGGAGGCAGGGGATAGGCAGGCAGGGTTCGGGTGGAATGCATTGTCCAGCAGGGCTTGTGGGCCATTGCCATGGTGTGGGTGGCATCCCATGAGCCTGGCTGAGGAGCAGTTTTCTTTTGTAGTTTAGGCTCCCAGCATTGTGACTGTCCGCATCATCTTTTACCTTGTCTTGTTGGGAGGCTTTTGTCCCCCAAGGCACACAAATTCTGTGGCAAAACTGAAGCATTTTGCAAAACTACCTTAGAAACCAGTTAATGGTTAGTTAGTTAATTCAACTAACGCTTAACTGGTTTCTTCATAAATTTGACTAACAAGTCTAAAATGTAGTTTTTAAAAAGCCTCACTTCGTTATCAGAGAAAATGTGTTATGTTAAAGTAACAGTAAGGTATTTGAAAGCACAGGCTACTGAACAGGTCCTAGTATTTGGGAAGAGTCGGTGGAAGGAATTGTGCAAAGTCTGATCAAAAGCTCTGCAGTCAACAATGCTGGTGTTACGTGGAGCCCGGCTGTAAGTATGGTGGTGGGGATGTGGCTAACGGGTTTACCCTCTGTGTTCCTCTGTAGCTTGATCAGTTACTGGCAGTCGCAGACTTTGGACCCCGGGATGAAAGAGACAACTTTGTACAAAATGATTTCAGGTGACGCATGTGGACATATGTTTTGATTCCCTGGGGTACATTCCTGGGTGTGGAATCACCATTTTCCAGAGCAGCTGCCCAGCGCCACATCCCGAGTAGCCTGCATGATCCCCATGGCACTTGCCTCCAGGGCCGGCAATCCACATTCACAGGCCTGTGCTGTGGCCTGGCCACGTTTACACAGTGAGGGCCTCAGGGGCCACCAGAGGTGCCTGCCATAACTCCTGCAGTGAGGAGAGGGCCTCTTGTCCTCTTCGTTCATTCAACACATTGTTTATTGAGTGCCCACTGTGTGCCAAGCCCTGGTCAAGCACTTAGGATGCAGCTGTCTTTGGAACCTGCGTTTCATTAGGGGAGGCCGACAGGAAGCAGTAAACATCACAGATGGGTGTTAGGAGGGGAGTAGAGGGAGGTGGGGCTTGGGAGAGCAGGTCGGGGGCGTGGAAGTTTGGCCTGTGCATGTACACACACATACACATCTTTTCCAAACATGTAGTGCCTGACAGAGCCTGCAGGTCTTGGGGTGTTTGTGGGGGGCCCCATTCCAAGCCCACAGCTGCTAGAGCAGGCCTTGCCTGGGGGCCTTAGACAGCAGCGTCAACATCGCCTGGCACCTGCCAGAGTCGGGTTTAACCAGCCTGCCAGGTGCATCCCTGAGCTGGAAGCAAAGCTCCACGCTGTAGCAGGCCTGGCCTGACCGTGTCAGCAAGGGGCAGTGTGGGGGCGGCAGGGCAGGGAGCTGAGCCCAGGGTGTGGAAACTTTCCAAAGTGGAGCCTTGGAGGATACAGGGGCTGTGACGTGGCCTTGACTAGGTGCTGTTCACCAAGAATAGACTCTTCATGAAGGCGAATGAGTGGCAGGTCTGATAGGCCTCACCTGCGATTCTGCCAGTTGAACTGGCCCGAGGCACTGGCCATGCTTAGAGAAAAAAGTTGCAAACGCTTTTTTTTTTTTTTTTGAGGCAGAGTCTCACTCTGTCGCCCAGGTTAGAGTGCAGCGGCGTGATCTTGGCTCACTGCAATGTCTGCCTCTTGGGTTCAGGCGATCCTCCTGCCTCAGCCTCCTGCGTAGCTGGGATTACAGGCGAGCGCCACCACGCCCAGCTAATTTTTGTATTTTTAGTAGAGACAGGGTTTCACCATGTTGGCCAGGCTGGTCTTGCACTCCTGACCTCGTGATCCGCCCGCCTCAGCCTCGCACAGTGCTGGGATTACAGATGTGAGCCACCGTGCCCGGCGCAAATGCATTTATTGCATACAGGACGGTGCACCTGGACTGTGCTGGCCGAATGCTTCTGACACTGGAGAAGGCGGAAACCAAAGCCCACCTTCCTTCACTCCTGTCTCCAGTTACCCTCAGATAGACGTTTGGGAGGGTTCTCAGGCGAGTAGATGTAGGAAGTGTGATGTGCTGTTGTGTTGTGGCGACGACACTGTGGACTAGGGGCATGGTTTGTGCTTGGTGTGAAGCCTCTTCTTCCTTCCCAGGGACCCTGATGCCCCACAACCCTGCGGCACCACAGAGCCGACCACAAGCTCCAGTCTGTGTGGGATCGATCATGAGGCGCTCAACAAGCAGATTATGGAGTACAAAAGGAGGAAAGATAAAGGGCTCGGGGGCCTGGTGTGGCAGGGGCAGGTGGCTGAGCTGACAACGCAGATGAAAAAGGGAAGGAAGAGGGCCAAGCCCCGCCTGGAGCAGGACAGCTCCCTCAAGAGTTACCTGTCAGGCGAGGAGGTTGAAGATGACCTGGACCTGGTTGGTGCCCCGGAGTACGAATGCTATGCCCCGGACACAGAGGAGTTGGAGGCAGAGAGAGGAGGTGGCAGAACAGAGGATGGCCACAGCTGCGGAGCAAGCAGGGAGTAGATGGAGAGGCTCTGCCCATCCCACATTTGCAGGGAAAAGCATTGGCACGCAACGCAGCATGTGGCTTCATTGAGGCAGTTGATGGAGTTAAACCATCTGCTCTTCTGCTACTTCAACATTTTCTAGCTTTTCCGTGTATCTAAACACAATTTGCTACACAAGTCACTGTTTTTTTTTCCATGCACTGTGTGTAATTTAAAAATTAAATGGCCATCTTATCACAGATTCTCACAAAAAGAAAATGGTAAAAT
This sequence comes from Homo sapiens, assembly GCF_000001405.40. Taxonomy (NCBI): domain Eukaryota; kingdom Metazoa; phylum Chordata; class Mammalia; order Primates; family Hominidae; genus Homo; species Homo sapiens. The sequence continues at coordinate 80,046,407 of NC_000018.10, forward strand.
AGTGTCTCTGAGATGCTGGCATGGCCACCTCCACCTGCAGAGCCCTGCCAGGTGCCAGTGAGTGCTTGGCCCGAGGGGTCAGGCCACAGCAGTGGCCGGGGTAAGAACTGAACCTGCAAACCTGGGGAGAACAGAGGGTCCCCAGAGCCTCCCAACCCCCTGGAGCTGGGCTCCGTCCCTGGGGCTGCTGGGCTGGCACGTGGCGCCGGGGGCTCCATCCCTGGGGCTGCTGGGTCGGCACGTGGCGCCGGGGGCTCCGTCCCTGACTGGCCTCTTCACAGCTTTGTGCAGCAGGCTCCACCTTCTGGTTCAGGCCAAGGTTGGGCAGAAAGTGAGTTGGGTTTGCTGGGGCTTCCTGGGCGACCCCGGCTCTGACCGTGGTTCCATCACGCCTGAAGTAGTAACACTTTTCCCTTGGTGCCCGTGGCCAGCTAGTGTATTTTCTAATCCATCCAAAGGTGAAACAGACTTGGTCTTTGCCTTCTGAAGAGTGTGCGACTCTGAGTCATACTGAATTCTTTGTGTCACCTCCGACGCAAAGATTCGTTTTGCTGTTTATCAGAAGAGAAAACACAGATTCCATACCTTGTCAGCTCCTATTTAGTTCGGCTTCCCTCTTAATGTCCCAGCCCCTGTGAGCTGTCAGGTTCTAAATTCAGAATTCTCTCAATTCTGTCAGGTTCTGCACTACGAGTCAGTGTCATCCCTCCAAGCCCTGGCTCTCTGCCAGTGCAGCAGGGCTGTGAGAATCAAGACGGCACAGGGAAGGCATCTGTCCCAGCATTTGCACATGACAGGTGCCCACGGTGCAGGAGTAGAATCTGTGGAAGCAGCAGTGGCTTTAGTTGCTGTGCCCTGCCACCTCCTCCCCAAAAAGGAGAAGTGTCCAAGGGATAGCAGACCCGTAGCACTGAGCGGCCTGCCGTGCTGACCACTGGATCCAGGCCACGTGCTGCAGACAGCGGCTGTGGGCGAGTGATGAGGCCACTACCCAGAAAGCTGCATGTGCACTGTGTGGGGTAAGGACAGTAGGAGATGCTGCTGCAAGATGCTGACTCCCTTGTTTTTCTTTTCATTTGTGCTCTGGGACTAAGCTGTGTATAAGTCATCAAATGGCAGAAGCAAGATTTTTCTTTTGAGATCTAGGAAATTATTTGTTTATACTCTACACTCTTATTTCCTATATCAGGATGGGGAGGCCACTACCTCAGGCCAGTTAAACTAAGAAGAAAGAATTTAAGGCAATTTGTAAGGATAGACAAAACCCCACATGATGGTATGAGTAGGAGAGAGAAAAAAAAAAGGGAGCCAGAAATTAGGTTACAAAGTGTACACCACACATAAAGGCTGATGCCTCTGTTACACCGTGAGCCAAATGTTTATCTCTAGGGTTTCTGGTAGCCAGTTGCGGGGTGTCCAGTGAAGGGGTGTACATGTCTGTGGTTAATCATATAGGTCAGGATAATGAGGTGATACTGCAGTGACAAATGGCAAATCTCCCTGGCTTACAACAACCAGTTTGCCTCTTATTCTTCTAGGGGACCATCATGGGCTGAGGTCAGGCCAAGGCCTTTTGTATCTGGTGTTACTGGAACATGGCTATGTGAATTCATTTATGTACAAGAGACCTCCCCATCCTGATGTAGGAAATGAATGGTGATGATTTACGAGCGCAACATCCTAAAAAACGTTTTTGTATTTCCCTAGCAAGATAACTTCAGGTTACAAGGCTCTGGTACTTGACCATGATGACTCCATGAGAAAACAGCAGAACGCCAGCTTTGCAGGTACCTCCACAGCACTGCCGGGCTGGGAACAGGGCCAGTGCTTGCACCAGCGCTGGAGGGGGCCACAGCAGAGTAAAGACAGAGTCTGCCATGCAGGAGTGCTTCGCAGGTCAGGCACTGCTCTGAGTGCTTTGTGTTAACCTGCCCCCCGCCCCCTAACTTGGGAAAGGTGTTAAAGAAGGAGAGAACGCCCTCAATGGTGTGTCCTTTGCATACACACCTTTGCATGCATCTGATGTGCCCAGGCTGTGTTTTATTGTTCTAGCAATTTATTGTTACAAAACAGATTGCTGCCATCAATTTGTCTCAGGTCCTTCTAGCACATCTGACAGGGACTAGTGTCTAGAGCCATGAGGACAGAGACCAGAAGGGACAAGAAGGAGTGGGCAGAGGGAATGGAAGGTAGAGTTAGGCCCAGAGAGCCCCAGGCTGCTGCCCAGACCTCCACGCCTGTGCCGGATGTGGTGTTGGCATCCATAGCAGTCTCGCAAAGTTGTTCTCATTTTCCAAATAAGGAATCTGAGGCCCAGGGAGAGGTGAAGTGCTGCAGGAGATCCAACCAGGCGCCGGCTCAGTGCCTCCTAGAAAGAGGAGTGTGGGCACGTTTGCAGGGGATCCAACCAGGCGTCAGCTCAGTGCCTCCTAGAAAGTGGAGTGTGGGCATGTTTGCAGGGGATCCAACCAGGCGTCGGCTCAGTGCCTCCTAGAAAGTGGAGTGTGGGCACGTTTGCAGGGGATCCAACCAGGCGTCTGCTCAGTGCCTCCTAGAAAGTGGAGTGTGGGCACGTTTGTAGGGGATCCCACCAGGCATCAGCTCAGTGCCTCCTAGAAAGAGGAGTGTGGGCACGTTTCAGAGAAAACTGGCTTAGGCCTCCCTGTTTCTGGCGTGGCCTTCCCTGGGAGCGAGTTAGGGACACGGAAGCTCACCCGCTTCTGAATGGGTCCACTCCTGGGGATTTCCGCGGCCTTCCCTGGGAGCGGGTTAGGGACACGGAAGCTCACCCCCTTCTGAATGGGTCCACTCCTGGGGATTTCCGCGGCCTTCCCTGGGAGCGGGTTAGGGACATGGAAGCTCACCCTCTTCTGAATGGGTCCACTCCTGGGGATTTCCACGGCCTTTCCTGGGAGCAGGTTAGGGACATGGAAGCTCACGCCCTTCTGAATGGGTCCACTCCCGGGGATTTCCATGGCCTTCCCTGGATGATCCACTCCTGGGGATTTTCCGCAGCTCTCCAGATGACGTGCACGCACACTAAACACCCAGAAGTTAGGGAGGCACTGATCCAGTGAAGTCCTCAGATCAACCTTGTGAGCTTTTTACAAGTACCTGTCACTGTTAAACTGCTGATGAAATGTGAAACGACTTCACAGGTTTTCAGTCTGATAAGCTCTCCTGTGTCACTGTCCCTTACCTTGTTAGTAAAGGTCAATGGTTCTCAAAGTTCCGGGCACATCCCCTGGGGGCTCATAAAACCAGACTGTCGGCCACTTCAGCCTTCTGGTTCGCTGTTCCTTGGTAATGCAGATGGCCCAGTAAGCAACTCTACAAACATTAGAACATTTTGAGGTAGACAGGGGAACTTAATCACCCCTTGTAGGCCCCCAGAAGACTGGACCCAACATCCAGCACAATGCCTCTCAGCCTTGGCTGTGCATCTGAAACACCTGCTGTTTGAAGACACCTGGGCCTGGAGACGGGCCAGAGCCACCTTGGTGGTCTGAGTATGAGGCCAGCATTAGAACCTCTGCTCTACGGGTGACTGCCCTGGGTTGATTTTTTTCCAGTATTATCTTTAGTACAGAATCTTTTCCTCTCTAAGGGCCTGAGACCCTCTCTTAGGAATAGAAGTACAGTTTTCTTCCCCACTCCTTTTGTCCAGAAGGAAAACCTGGTTTTACATCAGAAACTTGAGGTACTTTGAAAATTTGCCAGCTGCCTTGAAGGAGAGAGGGCTTGAGTGTATTTTGGGGGAAGAATGAGGGGACAACAGGGCAGGGAGAAGGGACAGAGCTAGAGGAAGGACAGGCCTGTGCCACCCAGGCCAGGGTAAGGGGAGCAGAGACCTTTTGGTTCCTGGTTTGTGACACAGGAAGGGAGGGAACTGGGGAGGACAGGTCATGATCAGTGTTTCCTGATTAAAAATTTTTTATTTTTATTTTTAATTATCATGGGCACAGAGTAGGTGTATATATTTGTGGGGTACATGAGATGTTTTGATACAGACATGCAATGTGAAAAAGCACATCATGGAGACTGGGGCACCCATCCCCTCAAGCATTTATCCTTTGTGCCACAAACAATCCGATTATATTGTTTTAGTTATTTTTAAATATGCAATTAAATTGTTATTGACTATAGTCACCCTTCTGTGCTGCTGCTCTACTGTGGCCTCAAAGATCATAAATGCTGTGGGTGCTGGCAAGATACTGAAATAAATTAATTCTGTATTTCTAAAAATAATTTCATACTTTCTTTTTACAGAAGGAATATATATTCTTTGTTGAAAAATGTTAAAACAGATACCAATAGAATAGAGGAAACAAAAGCCCCATGTAGTCTCAGCTACCAGAGACACCACTGTTAAATTTTGGTGTAGCATCAGGTGCGGTGGCACGTGCTGTTAGTACTCAGGAGACTGAGGCAGGAGGATCACTGGAGTCTGGGAGTTTGAGGCTGCAAGCACATTGATTGCACCTGTGAATAGTCACTGCACTCCATCCTGGGCGACAGAGTGAGGCCCTGTCTCAAAAAAAAGATGGTAACATCAGAATGTTAACCGAGCATGAGGTCCCCATGCCCACATGGGCAGCACACCTGGGAAGCCAGCCCTGATGTCAGTTAATCCTCAGGCCTCTTTGAGGTGTGCCATTTGCCCTAGGGATGTCCTGTATGGCAAAGGGCCTGTTCCAGAGGCACTTGTTATGTTTACCTGTCACCCTCAATCCCATGCCCTCGAGTAGCTCTTGGGCTTCCTTGAGCCTTCGTGGCCCTAATTTTGAGGAGTGCAGCCGTTATTTTGTGGAGTGTTCCTCAGTTTGGGCTTGTCTGGTGTTTCCTCATGATCACATTTAGTACTTGCTTTTTTGCAGGGACATCACAGCAGTGATGCTGTGCTGTCAGTGTTGGGTTGTATGTTCCTGGTGATGTCCACAATGATGAGCTGAAGAAAGGGGTGTCTGTTGGGCTTCTCCCTGTGAACTTACTCTTAAGTATTTACTTTTTGAAACAAATGAAAACAGAGACACAAGACACCAAAACCTCTGGGATACGATAAAAGCAGTGCTAAAACGGAAGCTTATACCATTAAATGCCTACTTCAAACATACAAAAGATCACAAATTAACAACCTAACATTGCACCTCAAGGAACTAGAAAAATAAGAACAAATCAAAGTCAAAGCTAGCAGAAGAAATAAGAAATATGAGGGCAGAACTAAATGAAGTTGAGACCAAAAGAAAAATACAAAGGATCAATGAAATGAAAAGTTGGTTTTTTGAAAAAGTAAACAAAATTGATAGGCTGATAGCTAGATTAACCAAGAAACAGAAGATGCAAATAAACACAGTCAGAAATAAAAATGGAGGCAGTACAACTAACACCACAGAAATGCAAAAGATCCTCAGAGACTACTGTGAATACCTCTACATTCACAAACTAGAAAACCTAGAGGAAATGGATAATGCCTGGAAACATACAGACTCCTAAGGTTGAACCAGGAAGAAACAGAAATCCTGAACAGACCAATAGTGAGTGGTGAGCTTGAATCAGTAATAAAAAGAATCTCAACAACAGAAAAGCCCAGGGCCAGACAGATTCATGCCAAGTTCTACTGGACATGCAAAGAGGAATCGGTACCAATCCTACTGAAACTGTTCCAAAAAATCAAGGAGGAGGAAATCCTCCCTAACTCAGCCTGCAAAGCCAGTATCACCCTGATACCAAAGCTAGGCACACAGCCAAAACAACAACTACAGGCCAATGTCCCTGATGAACATAGGTGCAAAAATCCTGAGTGAAATACTAGCAAACCAAATCCAACAGCACATCAAAAAGATAACACACAATCAAGTGAGTTTTCTTTTTCAGGGGTGTAAGGATGGTTTAACATACACAAATGAATAAATGTGATTCACCACATACACAATTAAAAACAAAAACCATGGCCAGGCACAGTGTGGCTCATGCCTGTAATCCCAGCACTCTGGGAGGCTGAGGTGGGTGGATCACCTGTGGTCAGGAGTATGAGACCAGCCTGGCCAACATGGGGAAACTCTGTCTCTACTAAAAATACAAAAATTAGCCAGGCATGGTGGTGCATGCCTGTAATCCCAGCTACTTGGGAGGCTGAGGCAGCAGAATCGCTTGAACTCGGGAGGCGGAGGTTGCAGTGAGCCGAGATCATGCTACCACACTCCAGCCTGGGTGACAGAGCAAGACTGTCAAACAACAAACAAACAAAAACCATATGATCATCTGAAATGATGCAGAATTGCCCTTCATAATAATAACCCTCAACAAACTAGACACAGAAGAAACATACCTCAAAATAATAAAAGCCATATACAACAAACCCATAGCCAACATCATACTGAATGGGGAAAAGTTGAAAGCATTCTTCCTAGAACTGGAACAAGACAGGGATGCCCATTTTGACCACTTATTGAACATAGTTTTGGAAGTTCTAGTTAGAGCATCCAGGCAAGAAAAAGAAATAAAAGGCATCTAGCCAGGCACAGTGGCTCATGCCTGTCATCCCAGCAGATTGGGAGGCTGAGGTGGGTGGATTGCTTGAGCCCAGGAGTTTGAGACCAACCTGGGCAACATGATGAAACCCTGTCTGTACAAAAAAATATAAAAATTACTCGGGCATGGTGGCATGTGCCTGTAGTCCCAACTACTCGGGTGGCTGAGGTGGGAAGGTCACTTGAGCCCAGGAGGTTGAGGCTGCAGTGAGCCATGAGTGTGCTACTGCACTCCAGCCTGAATGACAAAGCAAGACCTTGTCTCAAAAAACAAAACAAAACAAAAAAAAAACCCCACAAAATCCAAATGGGAAAAGAGAAAGTTAAATTATCTGTTTGCTGATGATACGATCTTATATCTAGAAAATCCTGAAGACTCTTCCAAAGGACTCCTAGATTTGATAAATTATTTCAGCAAAGTTTCAGGATAGAAAATCAATGAACAAAAATAAGTAGTAGTTCTATACACCGATAATGATCAAGCTGAGAACCAAATCAAGAACTCAATTCCATTTACAATAACTACAAACAAACAAAATCCTAGGAGTACATTTGACCAAGGAAGTGAAAGACCTTTACAAGGAGAACTTCAAAACACTGGTGAAAGAAATCATAGATGACACAAACAAATGGAAAAATGTCTCATGCCCATGGCTTGGAAAAATCAGTATCATTAAAATGACCATACTGCCTAAAGCAATCTACAGATACAGTGCAATTCCTATCAAATTACCAATGTCATTTTTCACAGAATTAGAAAAAAAAATCCTAAAATTCATATGGAACCATAAAAGAGCCCAAATAGCCAAAACATCCTAAGCAAAAAGAACAAAGCAGGAGGCATCACGTTACCTGACTTCAAATTATACTACAAGGCTATAGTAACCAAAACAGCATGGTACTGGTATAAAAATGGAAACACAGATCAATGGAACAGAATAAAGAACCCAGATAAAGCCACATACCTACAACCAACTGATCTTTGATAAAGTTGACAAAAATATATACTGGGGAAAGGACACTCTATTCAATAAATGATGCTGGAAAAATTGGATAGTCATGTGTAGAAGAATGAAACTGGACCCTATCTTTCACCATGTAAAAAAATTAACTCAAGATGTATTAAAGACAAACGTAAGGCCTCAAACTATAAAAATCGTAGAAGAAAACCTAGGAAAAATCCTTCTGGTCATTGGTCTAGGCAAAAATTTATGACTAAGACCTCAAAAGCAAATGCAGCAAAACCAAAAATGGACAAATGGTCTCTAAAAAGCTTTTGCACAGCAAAAGAAATACTCAGTGGAGTAAACATACAGCCTGTGGAATGGGAGAATATATTTGCAAACTATGCATCTGACAAAGGACTAATCAGAATTTACAGGGAACTCAGCAAGGTAAAAAACAAATAACCTCATTAAATAGTGGGCAAATGACATGAACAGAAGTTTTTCAACATACAAGCAGCCAACAAAATATGAAAATAAGGCTCAACCTCACTAATTAATAGAGAAATGCAAATTAATACCACAATGATATGCCATCTTATACCAGTCAGAATGGCTACTATTAAAAAGTCAGGAAGCAACCGATGTTGGTGAGGATGTGGAGAAAAGGGAATGCTTATAATCTGTTGATGGGAATGTAAAATTAGTACAACCTCTATGGAAAACAGTATGGAGAGTTCTCAAAGAACTAAAAATAGAATTACTATTCAAGCCAGCGATCCCACTACTACCCAAAGGAAAAGAAATCACTATATTAAAAGGACAGTTGCACTCGTGTTTATTGCGGCACTATCACAATAGCAAAGTCATGGGGTCAAGTTAGGTGTCCCTCAACTGATGATTGGATAAATAAAATGTGATTTATATAGAAATACTAAAAAATTTAGGATATATGTATACACACACACATATACCATGGAATACTATAAGAATGAAATGGTTTTTGCAGCAACATGGATGTAACTGGAGGCAGAAACAGAAAGCCATGTTCTCACTTACCAGTGTGAACTAAACAATGTGTACATATGGACATAGAGAATGGAATAATAGACATTGGAGACTCCAAAAGGTGGTTGGGTAGGAAGGGCATGAGAGATGAGAAGTTACCTATTGGGTACGATGTACACCATTTGGGTGATGGTTACACCAAAAGTTCAGACTTCATCACTGAGACATATCCAGGTAACAAAAATGCACTTGTACCCCTACATCTATTTTTCTAAGTATTTCTGTGGAGGTAGTTACAGACTATGTACATGTCATGTCCCTTATCAAACTTTCATTTTATTCAGCTGTTTAATCAGCCTGATGCCAAGGTTTCCTATTTGTTATATTCTGTTACTATGTTAATTAATTAATTTTTTAGAGGGGGGTCTTGCTATGTTACTTAGGCTGGTCTCAAACTCTTGGGCTCAAGCAATCCTCCTGCCTTAGCCTCCCAAGTAGCTGGGACTGCAGGTGCACACTGCCATGCCCAACTAGTTAATTTATCTTCATGCTTAAATCGTCATCAGTTTGGCAGAGGAGAAACTGTATTAGTTTCCTGTAGGTGCTAATTGCCACAAGCTCGGTGGCTGAAAACAGAAGTTTGCTGCCTCATACTTCTGAAGGCCAGACGTCCAAGATCAAGATGTCAGCAGGGCTGCATTCTCATCTAAGGCTCTAGAGGAAACTCTTCTTGTTCCTCCCAGCTTCTGGTAGCCTCAGGCATTTCTTGGTTTGTGAGTGTTGTTGTTTTTGGAAATATAAGCAAATGTGTGAACGTGTTTGTATTTCCTTCTTGTAATGCAGCACGTGTGTATTGTTCTGAATGCTGCTCTTTGCACTTTGCATTATATCCTGAGTCTCAATATCAGCAGAGAGTGTCCTTCGAGTTACCATATGGAATCATTTCCTTAGCCCAGTACACCTTTGCTCACACCCTTTTTCTTTGTACCATTAAATTGTCAAGTATATTGCATTTCTATACATTATAGGCTCAATGATACATTATAAACATTGTTTTGTACAATTGCATTTTAAATCAGTTATGTAATGAGAGAAGAAAATATGAATTTATACTGTATTTTATAATTACATGATTACCTTTACTGGTGCTCTTTATGTGGTCTCAGATTTTCATCTCTAGGGCGGACCCCCAGCCCTCTTTTAGCCTGAAGAGCTTCCTGTAGTATTTTTTGTAAGGCAGGTCTGCTAGCAGTGAATCTTTCAGTTTTTGTTTATTTAGGAAAGTCTTTATTTCACTTCTGTTTTTGAAAGATAGCTTTGCTGAATGTAGGATTCTTGAGTGACAGTTGTTTTTTTTTTTTGAGCACTTTGACTATGTTATCCCACTGCCTTCTGGCCTCCATTATTTCTGCTGAGAAGTCCGCTGTTAATCTTGTTGAGGGTTCCTGCCTTATTTTTCTCTTGCTGTTTTCAAGACTTTCTCCTTGTCTTTGCCTTTTGGCATTTTTATTATGATGTGTCTTTGGAGTTTTTCATGGTGTGTAGATTTGTGTAGATTATTGAGTTTTTGTTGTTAATTTTGGGAAATTTTAGGCCATCGTTTCTTTGAATATTTCTCTTCTCCTTTCTCTTTCCTCTCCTTTCCGCCATATGTATGCTGGTGCATTTAATCATGTCCCACATTTCTCTGAGGCATCATTCATTTTTCTATTCTTATTGCATAATCTCCATTGATCGATTTTCTTTTTTATTTTATGTATTTATTTAAAGACAGGGTCTCTGTCACCCAGTCTGGAGTACAGTGACATGGTCATAGCTTACCACAACCTCAATCTCATGGGCTCAAGTGACCTTCCTGCCTCAGTATCCAAAGTAGCTGAGACTACAGGCATGCACCACCATGCCTGACTAACTTTTTAAATTTTTGCCGAGACAGGGTTTTGCTATTAATGTGGTTTGGTTCTGTGTCCCCACCCAAATCTCACCTTGAATTGTGATAATCCCCACATGACAAGGGACAGGACAAGGTGGAGATAATTAAGTCATGGGGGTGGTTTCTCCCATACTGTTCTTGTGATAGTGAGTTCTCACGAGATCTGATGGTTTTATAAGGGGCTTCCTTCTTTGCTCGGTTCTCATTCTCTCTCCTGCCGCCCTGCGAAGAGGTGCCTTCTGCCTTGATTGTAAGTTTCCTGAGGCCTACCCTGCCATGTGGAACTGTGAGTCAACTAAACCTCTTTTCTTTATAAGTTACCCAGTCTTGGGTATTTCTTTATAGCAGTGTGAGAATGGACTATTACAGCTGTGTTGCCCAGACTGGTCTTGAACTCCTGGCCTGAAGTGATCCTCCCACCTTGCCTCCCAAAATGTTGGGATTACAGGCATGAGCCACCATGCCTGGCCTGATCTATTTCCAAATTTGCTAATTCTTTCCTTGGCCAGGTGAAATGTATTGTTGAACTGTTCAAGTGAAGTTTTGCTTAGGCTATTAAAATTTCCATCTCCACACTTTCCATTTGGTCCTGTTTTATAATTTCTGTGTCATTATTGGTATTCTGTATTTGATTCAGTGTTATAATCATATCTTCTTTTATCCTGATTTAGTTCTTTCAACAAATTGTAATGGCTACTTTGAAGGCTTTTTCTAGTAAGTCTGACATCTGGTCACTCTCATGGAGAGTTTCTGCTGTCTGCTTTATTTCTGGTTTATAGGTCATGCTTTCCTGTTTCTTTGTATGTGCTGTGATCTTTTTGGAAACTGGACATTTTAGATCAGGGGTCCCCAGCCCCTGGGTTGTGGACTGGTACCCATCTGTGGCCTGTTAGGAACGGGGCAGCACAGCAGGAGGTGATTGACAGGTGAGCCAGCATTACTGCCTGAGCTCCGTCTCCTGTCTGATCAGTGGCAGCATTAGGCATTAGGTTCTCATAGGAGCACGAACCCTATTGTAAACTGTGCGTGGGAGGGACCTAGGTTGCATGCTTCTTATGAGACTCTAATGCCCGATGATCTGAGGTGGAACAGTTTCATTCCAAAAGCATCCCCCAACCCCTTCCCGGTCTGTGGGAAAAAATTGTCTTCCATGAAACCAGTCCCTGGTGCCCAAAAGGTTGGGTACTGCTGTTTCAGATGATGTACGTAGCATCTCTGGGCACGGACCCTTCTCTCTAGGCTTGTTATTGTAATTTACTTGTTTATTTAGTGACTGGCTGGCTTATTTTACTGGAGTCTACCTATGCCCAACCCCAAACTCCCAGTGTTAAGTATCTAATGTTGTTCCTCAGGGAACTCAGCCTTGGCCATGTCCACAGTCACCCTGGGATTTAGTAGGAACGCTCCTTTGATCAGGGCGTGGCTCACTTTGACTCTCTTTTCCTGGCCATACCCAGCTGTCTAATCCACTAATCGCTCTATTGTTTTAACAACACTCTGGAGCATAAATCACTCTACATCCTAAAGAATCAAATTTAGGATCCTTTGAAGGGTAGTTCCTGAGGCCTGTGTTTGAGATTTGTTCTGACTTCAGCAGGCTCCTCGGAGCTGTCTCTTTTACACGTTCTCTTGGGCAAACTAGCATGTCTACAGCCAAGCCTGCATCTGCGCTTTCCCTTCAGCCGTTCACTGTTTTTGAGAGCACTCTTAGGCTTGCACCTCCCCACACTTTGTTTCAGTGAAATCAGCTCCTTTGGGAAGAGATTCGGAGTTATCTGTTTTATAGCCTGCTCCCTCCAGGCACAACCCCTGGAGCTTGGTGGGTGGTGATGAGGGAACCCTGGCAAGCTTCCTTTTGGGTGACACCCATCATCACCCACCTAGGAGTTGAGATTCGGGGTGGGGGGCGGGCAGTAGCCTGAGGTCTTCTTGGCTTGCCTCTCCTGTGGTGAAACCACCACCAGGACCCCAGTATTTTCAGCGCCAGGTGCCCAAGAGCCCTCGTCCCACAGAGACCAGTGTGGAAGGAGGCCCTGCCTTTCCTGGGAGGGAACGCCATCGTGGCCGGGGAGTGGGTGTTGTGTGGGTGAGGAGGAAATGCAAGTGTCTGCACACATCCCTGTGTTTCTAAAACAGTATTCGTGACCGCCTCTCCGCAGGTGCATTGGTGGGGCCCCAGAGACGGGGACAGGAAGACCGGGCATCCTTCCTTGCAGGGAGTCTTGAGGTGGGGTGGGTCACGAGCCTCTCCAGTGTTCTCAGTGCCAGATCCCAGAGTGTGGGGGTTGCAGCTCACTGAGCCCAGCCCCCTGGCTCTGCAGAGCGGACCCCCAGCCCTCGGCCCTGTGCATGGACCCCTGTGGTGTGTGACCCACATTTTATAGGAAATCATCTTCACCTTTTCCAGTGCACTTGAATTTGCCAAAACCACAGCTTTATCCACACCCAAAGCATGACACCACCAAAACAAGAAAGAAAGCCACCTTGCCCCCTGGAATCCCCCCAGGGCCTGCACCCCACCCTCCCGAGGCACTCGGGGCCTTTCCTGGGAGGCTCAGGGCTGCCCTTGGGGGCTCAGCTTCTTCCCAGCTTCCCCAGGCGCACAGTGCTGAGGGCTGGACCATGGATGATTCGGGTTTTCTGGGATTTTAGAAATTCTTAGATGTGGCCTAAGGGGAAAAGGAGAAACGAACCCACCATGAGAATGTCTGGTTTCTCTTTCAGCCAGCGGTTCAAGTGGTATTTGCAATGTTTTTTATTCACTTTGCAGTGTTTCTAAGAATATGCTTCTAATGTGCAGCTTCTGACAAACAGCCAGAGATGAACGTTCATGGGTGTCTGGTCTGCATGAAGGGTGTCCTGCAGGAAGAGGGGGCGGAGGGGCCCTGTTTCTGCAGGCGGCTTGGGGCCCCCTGGCTGCAGGCAGGAGAGAGGGTGGTGACTTGAGATGTGTTTCAGAGTTAAGTATTATAATTTATCTTTATTATTTGCGTTTTGTGGTGCTTACTCAGCATTGGGCAGCATAGATACAGCCATTACTCTAAGTGTCAGCAAACACAGTGTCTTATTTTTAAGTGAATGTGTTATAGGAAAGGGGTCCTGATCCAGACCCTAAGAGAGGGTTCTTGGATCTCGTGCAAGAAAGAATTCAGGGCGAGTCCATAGGGTAAAGTGAAAGTGAGTTTATTAGGAAAGTAAAGGAATAAAGAATGGCTACTCCATAGACAGAACAGCCCCAAGGGCTGCTGGTTGCCTGTTTTTATGGTTATTTCTTGATTATTTGCTAAACGGAGTGGATTATTCATGCCTTCCCTTTGTAGACCGTACAGGGTAACTTCCTATATGGAAACGCCTATTTAAGATGTAAATGCTCTGGTTCAAATGCCTCTGACATTTCCCCCTCCCTTTTACAAGAGAACCCTTAATCCTAAGGGTTGCAGAGGGACAGAGATCCATCTTCTGTAACTTCTTCAGGCTGAATAGAGGTGATGATATTCCTGCCTAACTGTTAGGTCTCTCGCATTCAGGTTAGACAGGAGCTCCCGTGTGGCGAGAGCCGTTCATAACTCCAAGTTCTGGCAAATTTAAGAATTTAAGAAATTTAAGGAAACATTCTGTAAGCTTATCCTGCAATCCTACACAGAGCACAACAGTGATATATTCCACAACAGTAAGGCAAAATAAGTAAAATTACCCCAAGTAAACTAAATCAGAAGGCTTTCCATGAACTAGGCAACTGCTGGAACCAAGCTGACAGGAGGTCGCTAGCTGATTCCAATGTGCCTAGAATTAGAATATTGAGTCAGATTTTTACATTTCCCATCCCTCTTGTTTCTTCTGAGCAGCAGCCAGAGTTCACTGGTTGGTTCACAGGAGTAAGCAGGGTTAGTCTAAGTTGCAGGAAAAAATTCTTAAAAATAACTGATGAGACTAGAATTTAAAAATAGGTGTACCATAGTTTTTGAAACATAATTTCTGTCTCTCCAGTACCCCATTTTCACTAAGGACAAATCATTGTAAGACTGATTTGCTTTATTATACTTGGCCTGATTATTTGTATAAAGTGCAGCAAGAATAATTATTTTTCACATAGACTTTTAAAATTGGCTTTGATGAAACTGTGTTCCATAGAAGGAATCTCAGATAAGACTTTTTTCTTTTATTATTATTATTTTTTATTATTATACTTTAAGTTCTAGGATACATATGCACAGTGTGCAGGTTTGTTACATAGGTATACATGTGCCATGTTGGTGTGCTGCACCCATTAACTCGTCATTTACATCAGGTATTTCTCCTAATGTTATCCCTCCCCCTGCCCCACACCCCATGACAGGCCCGCGTGTGTGATGTTCCCCTTCCTGTGTCCGAGTGTTCTCATTGTTCAGTTCCCACCTATGAGTGAGAACATGCGGTGGTTGGTTTTTCTGTCCTTATGATAGTTTGCTCAGAATGATGGTTTCCAGCTTCATCCATGTCCCTGCAAAGGACATGAACTCATCCTTTTTTATGGCTGCATAGTATTCCATGGTGTTATATGTGCCACATTTTCTTAATCCAGTCTATCATTGGTGGACATTTGGGTTGGTTTCAAGTTTTTGCTATTGTGAATAGTGCCACAACAAACATACGTGTGCATGTGTCTTTATCGTAGCATGATTTATAATCCTTTGGGTATATACCCAGTAATGGGATCGCTGGGTCAAATGGTATTTCTAGCTCTAGATCCTTGAGGAATTGCCACACTGACTTCCACAATGGTTGAACTAGTTCACAGTCCCACCAACAGCGTAAAAGTGTTCCTGTTTCTCCACATCCTGTCCAGCGTCTGTTGTTTCCTGACTTTTCAATGATTGCCATTCTAACTAGTGTGAGATGGTATCTCATTGTGGTTTTGATTTGCATTTCTCTGATGACCAGTGATGATGAGCATTTTTTCATGTGTCTGTCGGCTGCATAAATGGATAAGACTTTTTTTTAAAAGCCGAGCCTAGCCATGGCTTTGTGCCCTAAAATACCTATGAGTTAGGTAAATTCCTCTCCTCTTGAGGTCACAAGATAACTTGGGGCTCCTGAGCCTGTCATAAAGTGACATTTTTCACTTACCACAGGTCAGGCCCCCTGTCCAGGGACTATATAGACAAGGTATGTTTTCCCGAGGGGCTTTTATTGACTCTACAAGTCAAGTTGGATTCCTTAAAGGAAAACACACTATTCCAGTCAAAGCCTTGGCAAAATAGCCAGTTTCTCCAGTTGTGTCCTGTTACAAATGAAAACAGATTCTTATTGCACTTATGCAAACAACTGTATTGCCATAAATTAAGAATACTCACAAATAGTTTCCAAATTCTGGAGAAATGAAGTACGGAGAAACAAATATACTCAAAATTTTGTTCACAGGAGTGTGCTTTACTCAATTGTTTTTGTTTGTTTGTTTTTGTTTTTTTTTTGAGATAGCGTCTCACTCTGTCGCCCAGGCTGGAGTGCAGTGGTGCGATCTCTGCTCACTGCAAGCTCTGCCTCCCAGGTTCACACCATTCTCCTGCCTCAGCCTCCCGAGTAGCTGGGACTACAGGCACCCGCCACCACACCTGGCCAATTTTTTGTATTTTTTGTTTTTTTTTTAGTAGAGACGGGGTTTCACTGTGTTAGCCAGGATGGTCTCGATCTCCTGACCCCATGATTGGCCCGCCTCAGCCTCCCAAAGTGCTGGGATTACAGGCGTGAGCCACCGTGCCTGGCCTACTCAATTGTTAGAAGCTGCAAATAGCTTAAGTTTCCTTGACTCTGAAAAAGAAAACAAAGGATCAGCAACATTTTAAGCGAAGTTAAAAAGATTACTTCAGTTTAGTCCACGCAGTTAACTCCAGTTCTGCTTGCTATTCATGAATATTTTGGCTTTCCATGAGTCCTGAAAGTTTTTTCCTCTATTCTAATGTCACAACTTCCAAAGCTGTCGGAAACCTGCATTTAAGTGCACCTGTCAAAGTCCTATGGTTGATTATAAAACCACCTTTTAAAGAGGACCAAAACAAGACAATTGTCTGTGGATGACAAAAGTCTTAGGCCAGCCACTATTAAAGTCAAAATTGATAATGAAATTTGGTTATTTCTGTGGCATATAACAATGTTATGTAACAATTTTCACTATTAATAACATACACTAAGTCATATCAGAATTATAGAACTTTCTTATAATTTTGGAACACATACCAATAACATATTTATTCAAATACAGCCCAAAGTTAGCCAAACATTATTTCATATTTGACAATGCTTCCTGTATGATTTTTATACCAAATAAGCCAAATCTCACCTTTACATTAGTGTACTATTAATGCTAAACCCTAATCTTAATAAAACCTTATAGACAAATGTATTTAATCTTAATCAGTTTGACCATAAGGTAAGATTCTTTTTTTGAGACAGAGTTTTGCTCTTGTTGCCCAGACTGGAGTGCAGTGGCACAATCTTGGCTCACTGCAACCTCTGCCTCCTGGGTTCAAGCAATTCTCCTGCCTCAGTCTCCTGAATAGCTGGGATTGCAGGTGCCCACCACCATGCCCAGCTAATTTTTGTATTTTTAGTAGAGACAGGGTTTCACCATGTTGGCCAGGCTGTTCTTGAACTCCTGACCTCAGGTGATCCACCTGCCTGGGCCTCCCAAAGTGCTGGGCTTACAGGCATGAGCCACCATGCCCGGCCCCTAAGGTAAGATTCTTATACCTTTTATAACCCTTTACAATTTTTTTTTGTTAAAGAGTGGATTATAAGCAGGATTTTGCTTTAAGAAAAACCTGTTATGTTTTTATTCCTATGTTTAATTTACAGGAAAACTGAATAATACCCCTTTAACTTTAGCCAATGTCCATACACAGAATTTCTTTTACAATTAATTTTTTACAAACCTTCCACAACTTGTTCAAACCTTTAGCTTGATCCTAACTTAAAACAATACTTTAACCCTTTAATCTAGGCAGAAACATCCACATTCCCATGACTTCTTATAATCTTTACCAAAAGTATATTCTACTTTCCTTTTCGCCTTGGGTGTGGAACTATTTCTTGCGTAGTCTCAAATACAGTGTTAGCTTTTAGCACCTTTTGCTTTTGGTGAAAATCTTGGTAAGTCAGGGATTTTTCATTATGTGCCAGGTGTGGGGCCTAGCCTGGGACCCACCAGACAGAAGTGCAGATGAGGGCAGACCCTCCCGCATGGCTAGGGTGTGGCTCTCCACATGTCCCCAGGCCTTAGCTAGAATCTAATGTCCCCAAGCTAGGTAAATTGGACAATTTTCAAAAGTCAAATAAGCAGTTTATGACCTTAAAGCATTGAGTAAACTTCATATCCTACCTGCATAATTTAGACCAAATGTCTTTATTTTACCAATAATCTTTAAAACTTTTTATTTCCCAAAGATTACTTCAGTCACATGAGCTAAATAAAAGTTATTACACTATTTACTTTTCTGACAAAATATTTGATTTAAGCTGTTATTGTAATTAAACCAATTAATCAAAACTCTTTTATATTACACACACAACACATATAAATAGAAGACGAAGGACTCATCCCCTAAGACAGGAATTGGGCCCTAAACACGGGCCGCCATTGTGAAAAAAGAAAGCACAACCACATGGTTACAAGTTCAAGCTCCCAGGGACCTACAAGACAAGAGGGAAACCTCATCCAGTTTCGTTTTTTTTTCAGGGACCTGTAGCAACGTTTATAACTGACCAGTTTGCTGGGGCATCTTGAACAGTGGGCTTATAGGAGTCCCGCTCTCCGTGGTGGTTCCCACATCCACTCAGGGGTGTCTGGGTTCTCAGGGACACCTGCTTCTTGCTGGGCACCGTGGCCTGGACTTACCACCTGGCCTCCAGGGTTCAGGCCGTGGACATCTGCCCTGAAGTAGCCTGTGGGGACTGTCACGCCACAGTTAATGTCCTGGGTCCTTGGCATCAAGTCTGTAAAGCTGTCTTTGCTTTCTCAACAGCACTGTGTGGGAGTTGGCTGGGCCTCGGCGACTGTTGCCTGTCTCTGTCGTCACTAGGATGTTAGCGGGAAATGGTGGCGTTCTCTCCACGCAGTTGCTGCTTTGCCTGTGGATCATGTTTTTCTTCTCCCTATTGATCAGCACACATCACAGATTTGATTTGAGACGGAGTCTTGCTCTGTCACCCAGGCTAGAGTGCAGTGGCGCGATCTCGGCTCACTGCAACCTCTGCCTCCCGGGTTCAAGTGATTCTCCTGCCTCACCTCCCGAGTAGCTGGGATTACAGGCACCCGCCACCGCACCCGGCTAACTTTTGTATTTTCACTAGAGACAGAGTTTCACCATCTTGGCCCGGCTGGTCTCGAACCCCTGACCTCGTGATTCACCTGCCTCAGCCTCCCAAAGTGCTGGGATTACAGGCGTGAGCCACTGGGCCCAGGCTATTTTTTAATTAAGTTAATAGTAAGTTATAAACAACACATTATAAATAATATAAATTACAAATAATACATTAATAAATTAATAATACAATTTTTTTAATTTTAATTTTTAACATGTTAGGCATTGAGGTAAGTACAGTGGATAAACACCCATCACGCACAGAAAAAAGGAATGAGGAAGGCACGTTTGCCACACATCTGCTCCCTGCTCTGGGAGCCCTCCCTGTTCCTTGTGGTTTAATCTTCTAGAACTCTGATGGCGGCATTACTGTGAGTTTTGCTTCTCCAGAAGGCTTCTTCTTAAAGCTTTCTGAGCACTGGTACTCACAAAACTCTCCCCTGGTGAAATGAAAACACACACAGGCGGGAAGTGAGCCAGTTCTCAACTTGAGTGGCTTCTCCCCAATGCATGCTTTTTAAAACTTCCAGCGTTTTCTAATCAGATCTGGGCAATATTGTGGCATCACCTCCTGCATCCGCCTTTACCCTCCTCATCCTGTTCTTTGTCCTAAAAAAGGCTGTGGGACCAGCCGGTCTCAGAGCCCAGGTGGAGCCTCAGCTCCCCTGCGACCTGTGCTTTTCCGAGGGTGCCGCCTGGCAGGGCCTGCGTCAGGGTCACCCTGGCAGGACCAGAGGTCAAAGGTCACCCTGGCCAGACCAGAGCCTCGGAGGTCCCTGGGCTGCAGTGAGGGAGATCAGAGGTCGTGGGCTGGGGCCAGCCAAGAAGAGTTGGGGGCAGCAGGGAGCACAGTCTGGCCCTTGACATTCCCACCTGCTTGTCTGCTCCACAGGACAGTGGTCAGGAGGGCCCGGGAGTGAGTGTGCAGGGTCCTGGGTGGGCTCCACATGCATCTCATGGGGCAGCAGGACCCCGATGAGGGCACCCACAGGGTGGGAGGGTGGAGAGCTCTGCTAACCAAGATGGGGAGGCCCGGGTCAGGGCCAGCTCTGCCTCCGAGGCTATATCCAGCAGCCTTCGGCCTTGCCATGTGAGCTCGTGGAAGCCCATGCAGTGTGTGCCCCTCTGGTTGTATCTGGTGAGGCCTTGTACAGGGATGAGCTCGGACCTGAGTTTCAGTCAGCAGAAAAATAAGTTTCTGGAGGACTTGATTCTTTTCAGGGCATTCAGTTCTGTGTTTCCCCTGTACCCAAGATGAGATTTCTAATACAGTGATGTGTTTAAAATTAACCATATCTCCAGGGCAGCATCCAGCTGTGAGCCTTGGTGAAGAAGGTCCTGGAGACGGGAGTGAATGGGGTGGGGCCATCCTTGGACACACAGGAGGTTCCTGGGCCCTGGGGATGTGTCCGTGGGTGCTGAGGAGATGAGGGGTGCATGCTGTCTGGGTTCTTTTCTCTCCGCTCCATCTCTTGCAAGGTGAGGAGGGGTCTGCTGTTGATTCCTGTCCTGCCTGTGGTGCTGAAGCTCCCCTCAAGCTGGGCTTTCTCAGCAGGGAGAGTTTCTTCATTGCTTGTAGAAGTTTATGCTTCCCTGCTTTAGTCTGGGCAAATTGCTCCCCAAAGGACATGAGAGCTGAGGCTGTGTTTTTAGAGATAGGGAGCAGCTACAGGGACTTAGCTTCTTAATGAATTAATTCACAAATCTCAGCAGCTCCTGGCGATAAGATATGCAGAGCTGATGGCAGGGAGGACACGAGGTGGCTCAAAGGGAACTAAGCTTTGCGTGTGAATTTAGGGTGAGGCTAAGAGCCCTCCAGGCAGGCAGAGGAGGGTGCTGGAGGGAGGAGAGGCCGGTATAGGACCTTCGCCTTGAAGAAAGCACCCAGGTAAGGCTGGGCAGTGTTGGGAGAGAGCTTTAGTTGATCTTTTTGTTTTTGGATGTTTTCTGATGGTCCTCTATGGCTTTGGAAAATGGAGAGAAGACAGAGAGGCGTAGGCACTGAAGGCTGCAGCTGTGATTGAGGATCACGACGCCTGTTGGGGCTGCTCACCTGCCTAGGCCTGGGTGAGGAGGTGCTGGGGCCTGGCTGCACACACGTTCCTGCCCCAGAACTCAGTTGGGGGCTCGGAGCAGGAGAAGCTGCACACGGTGAGTGTGTGGGGCGCAGAAGCCCGTCTGCAGAGGTTCCACACCATGCAGAAAGTGGCCAGTGAAAGACAAGGAGGTGTTCCCGGGAGTGGAAGGGCTGGGGCCTGGAGAAAGGGGAGATGGGAGGAGTTGGGGGCTACAGAGGACACCACCCCTGGAGCTGGCAAGCATGGCAGGAAGGGGAGAGTTGAGCCGAGAAGGGCGGCCAGGGCAAGACGATGACCTGGAGTGGGGGCCCCAGAGGTCCTGCTCAGGGGCCTGCAGACCAGTATGCCTGGAAGATTCTGCAGGCCGATTATGAGGCCCACCAAGGTAGGCAGCCCCCTTCCAGGGCCGTCCTTCAAGCTTGGTAACTGTGTGGGAACAAACAAGACCTGTTGGGTGTCCAGTTCTGCTCTTGCTGCAATTCTGAAAGTCGACCATTTAAAGACTGTTATATAAACATAATCTTTTAATGAGAAATACTTCCCTTGTATTGTTTTTTTGAACTCTTGACTTAGTGTAGTATAGGATCTGGAAATAAGAAAACTGGATATCTCGGAAGAGAAATATAACAGCTTGTCTGTTTTCTTCTATTGCACAACTTAAATATGCTACAGTTAAGTGGGTCAAAATCTACCTGGAGGTGAAAGCTGGGTGGATGGGGGTCCATTCCTCTGTGAACTGGGGATGGCAACGCAGTCTCCAAAGGGTAAGAGCAAACGGACAGGCCTGGAGGGCGCAGCTCAGATGCACCCGTTGGCAAATGGACAGGCCTGGAGGGCGCAGCTCAGATGCACCCGTTGGCAAATGGACAGGCCTGGAGGACCCAGCTCAGATGCGCCCGTTGGCAAACGGACAGGCCTGGAGGGTGCAGCTCAGATGTACCTGTTGGGCTTTGGCTGTTTTTGTTGCACACAAAGGTCTGGGAGGAGCACAGAACCCTCCCTGAGGATGAGATTATGGAGGTTGTAGCGTTGAGGAGGTTCAGGTGCTGCCTTATATACTTTTATGTAGTGTGAATTTTTCAAGAAAGGTATTGTTTTTGTAATGTAAGAAAAGATTCCATATTGAGGAGAGTAAGTAGATCTGACAGGTGTGCAGCCTTAGGCATTAGTTATTAAATACATATTCATTTAATTAAAACTCAAAAATTTAAATGTTTTCCTCCTCATTAGAATATGCCATTCCAAAATATCACCATATTATTCTATCTCCCAAGAACTCTGTCCTCAGTATGGCTCCCGGTAGAATGAGGGTGAGACGTTGAAATGTGGACGTATCATCACTATAAAAGTTACATGTGGCAAATGTAGTTTCTAATCCCTGCTTTTCTTTCATTTTCTTAGTTATTAGCATCATTCTCCCTGATGCTTCTCGATCACAGAAGTGGCCACTGTCTTACTGGATTAGGCTCTAATCCCCATGCCCTTGGCCAAGTCAGATTTACCCTTCGAGTTCACTGTTGCCTGTTGGGATGGCCCTGCCCTGGATCTGTGGAATGAGCAGCCGCTCCTGTTTGCACCAACTGAAATCCTCTCTTCTGCTTGAAATTTTTGGTAGCCTTGCTGGCAGCTCAGAATGAGGCTCAGTTAGGACGGGGAGCTCATGAACCCCAGGGTGCAAGTACTGGATGTGGTCCTAACTAGCAAGGGCTCCAGAAAGGGACACAGTGAAAGAAAAGGAAAAGGAGTTATTTTTCTGCTATTGGAGAGGTGACAAATAACATGTTTGAAAGCAGCGTTGTTGTGACATGCCCTTCTGCATTGCTGGCGGGTGGGGTGTCCTCCCTAGGGGAGTGGCCCGTGGTGTCTGCTGGAATCCCAAACACATTCGCCCTTTGACCCAGCCATACCCTTGTGGGGACTTACCCTGCACCCTATTCTCTGCGGGAACACAATGGGAATGAGGAAAAGTCACGGTTGTAACCAGAGCAGTATTGTGAAGATGAACCTTTTAAACAAAATTCTAAAATATTAAAATCAATATGAATACTCTGTAACTTCAGAGAATCAGGTCTGGAATAATAATATTAATAAGAGCGAATATCTAGTAAGGGCTGAATTCCCTGGGTGCCCAATATGGACTTAGTTGTGTCCCACTCAGCTAGATAGGCCCAGTACAGGAAATTTCTTTCTTTCAGAGCCTTTTAAACATCAGAATGGCATGTTTTTCTTAAATGGGCAGATCCTTCTATTCTCAAATTGCAAAGCAAAATGTAGATGGAATGAAAAATCTGTAAGGGGGGCAAACAGCATTCTGGTCATACCTCTTTTATTTTCATTTTTATTTTTATAACTATTGTTTTTATTAGAGACAGGGTCTCTCTGTGTTGCCCAGGCTGATCTTCAATTCCTGGCCTTAAGCAATCCACCCGCCTCAGCCTCTCAAAGTGCTGGGATTACAGGCGTGAGTCCCCGCACCCAGACTGTCTCTTTTATTTTGAATGCTAGGTTAGGGTGGCATTTGTAAATACCATGGTAAATTCCTTTCTCTTTTTCTCTTTCAAGGTGGATGAAGACCTGATCATTGAAGTTCACCAGTTATTTTTCTCAAGAATGTGAATAACAATGGGATTTGCACTCATTATATTTTTAGAATGGCTTCGCATAATTTTCAGTGAGTACTTTGGACTGTTCGTATATCGACTCTTTGCCTTAACAGCTTGGTTTGACTTAAGCCTACACTGGGTTTTTCTTTGATTTTGCTTGGGAATGGTTTGATAAAGGAAAATGGATGATTGTATAAAATAAAACTCAACATGGAATAAATAGTAACTAGAAGTGAGCAAAATACTTCTATAGAAATAAACATCTTAAGATGACTTTTTAAAAAATTATCAAGAGTATCATAAAATATAGCAGTACATTAGATAATTTGGGATAGTTTTTCTATGAACCCATGATTACGTAAAATTCTTGAAACCTCTAAAGAAATGTCCTATTTTTAGGTTGGGCGTGGTGGCTCACGTCTGAAATCCCAGCACTGTGGGAGGCAGAGGCGGGCAGATCACGAGGTCAGGAGTTCGAGACCAGCCTGACCAACATGGTGAAACCCCGTCTCTACTAAAAATACAAAAATTAGCCAGGTGTGGTGGTGGGTGCCTGTAATCCCAGCTACTCAGGAGGCTGAGGCAGGAGAATTGTTTGAACCCAGGAGGCGGAGGTTGCAGTGAGCCAAGATCATGCCACTGCACTCCAGCCTGGGTAACAGAGTGAGACTCTGTCTCAAAAAAATAAAAATAAATAAAAATAAACAAATTAATTAATTTTAAAAAAGAAATGACCTATTTGGAAACCAAATTTTCTTTTTGGAAGGCCCCCATTTTGTGTTCAGTGAAAAATTAGTTGGCAAGACATGGACTTCTAATCAAGTTATTTTTGTAGTTGTGCTCAGAATATCTGTGGAATATTAGCTGACGCAGAGTAGATTTTTCACGTTAGATATTGGAATAAAGAGAGTTGCTCCTTATCACAAATGTATCATGTTTCTCTATCGGCATCACATTGTGCTAAACCCACTATTGTGTTAAATATATAAACTTTGTTGTCTTTTTTTTATAACTCAAATACTTCAAAAGGACAGCTCTAGAGAAGGTAAAATTTCACAAGACTAAACCTTGGGATACCCAAGGTATTACAATACAAAGCCTTACATTTACATGGAAAAGCAAGAAGTCTGGACTGAAAGCTCTGAATATATCACCAACAACAGCACCACTGTAGGTGGATCCAGGGTTTGCAGCTTTGATCTTGAGGTGAGGGGGCAGCCAGTCATGGACGAAGCCTGCATTTGCCTTCATCGCTGCCATGCCAGCCTCAGGTGGTCACTCCCAGGAGGGTGCATGGTGCTACCTGGACCACTGTGCACACTTGCTGGTCACCCCCCGGGAGGGCTCACTGTGCACACCTGCTGGTCACCCCCCGGGAGGGTTCCCTGTGCACACCTGCTGGTCGCCCCTGGGAGGGTTCCCTGTGCACACCTGCTGGTCACCCCCCGGGAGGGTTCGCTGTGCACACCTGTTGGTCGCCCCTGGGAGGGTTCCCTGTGCACACCTGCTGGTCGCCCCTGGGAGGGTTCCCTGTGCACACCTGCTGGTCACCCCTGGGAGGGTTCCCTGTGCACACCTGCTGGTCGGCCCCCGGGAGGGTTCCCTGTGCACACCTGCTGGTCGCCCCTGGGAGGGTTCCCTGTGCACACCTGCTGGTCACCCCCCGGGAGGGTTCCCTGTGCACACCTGCTGGTCACCCCCCGGGAGGGTTCCCTGTGCACACCTGCTGGTCGCCCCTGGGAGGGTTCCCTGTGCACACCTGCTGGTCACCCCTGGGAGGGTTCCCTGTGCACACCTGCTGGTCGGCCCCCGGGAGGGTTCCCTGTGCACACCTGCTGGTCGCCCCTGGGAGGGTTCCCTGTGCACACCTGCTGGTCACCCCCCGGGAGGGTTCCCTGTGCACACCTGCTGGTCACCCCCCGGGAGGGTTCCCTGTGCACACCTGCTGGTCGCCCCTGGGAGGGTTCCCTGTGCACACCTGCTGGTCACCCCTGGGAGGGTTCCCTGTGCACACCTGCTGGTCGGCCCCCGGGAGGGTTCCCTGTGCACACCTGCTGGTCGCCCCTGGGAGGGTTCCCTGTGCACACCTGCTGGTCACCCCCCGGGAGGGTTCCCTGTGCACACCTGCTGGTCACCCCCCGGGAGGGTTCCCTGTGCACACCTGCTGGTCGCCCCTGGGAGGGTTCCCTGTGCACACCTGCTGGTCACCCCTGGGAGGGTTCCCTGTGCACACCTGCTGGTCACCCCCCGGGAGGGTTCCCTGTGCACACCTGCTGGTCACCTCCCGGGAGGGTTCCCTGTGCACACCTGTTGGTCGCCCCCGGGAGGGTTCCCTGTGCACACCTGCTGGTCGCCCCCGGGAGGGTTCCCTGTGCACACCTGCTGGTCGGCCCCCGGGAGGGTTCCCTGTGCACACCTGCTGGTCGGCCCCCGGGAGGGTTCCCTGTGCACACCTGCTGGTCACCCCCCGGGAGGGTTCCCTGTGCACACCTGCTGGTCGCCCCTGGGAGGGTTCCCTGTGCACACCTGCTGGTCACCCCTGGGAGGGTTCCCTGTGCACACCTGCTGGTCGGCCCCCGGGAGGGTTCCCTGTGCACACCTGCTGGTCACCCCCCGGGAGGGTTCCCTGTGCACACCTGCTGGTCACCCCCCGGGAGGGTTCCCTGTGCACACCTGCTGGTCACCCCCCGGGAGGGTTCCCTGTGCACACCTGCTGGTCGCCCCTGGGAGGGTTCCCTGTGCACACCTGCTGGTCACCCCTGGGAGGGTTCCCTGTGCACACCTGCTGGTCACCCCCCGGGAGGGTTCCCTGTGCACACCTGCTGGTCACCTCCCGGGAGGGTTCCCTGTGCACACCTGTTGGTCGCCCCCGGGAGGGTTCCCTGTGCACACCTGCTGGTCGCCCCCGGGAGGGTTCCCTGTGCACACCTGCTGGTCGGCCCCCGGGAGGGTTCCCTGTGCACACCTGCTGGTCACCCCCCGGGAGGGTTCCCTGTGCACACCTGCTGGTCACCCCCCGGGAGGGTTCCCTGTGCACACCTGCTGGTCGGCCCCCGGGAGGGTTCCCTGTGCACACCTGCTGGTCACCTCCCAGGAGGGTTCGCTGTGCACACCTGTTGG
Organism: Homo sapiens; assembly: GCF_000001405.40. Taxonomy (NCBI): domain Eukaryota; kingdom Metazoa; phylum Chordata; class Mammalia; order Primates; family Hominidae; genus Homo; species Homo sapiens. Next base: position 80,072,959 of record NC_000018.10, read on the forward strand.
TCGCCCCCGGGAGGGTTCGCTGTGCACACCTGTTGGTCGCCCCTGGGAGGGTTCCCTGTGCACACCTGCTGGTCGCCCCTGGGAGGGTTCCCTGTGCACACCTGCTGGTCGCCCCTGGGAGGGTTCCCTGTGCACACCTGCTGGTCGCCCCTGGGAGGGTTCCCTGTGCACACCTGCTGGTCGCCCCTGGGAGGGTTCCCTGTGCACACCTGCTGGTCGCCCCCCCGCCCCCCACCCCCCACCAGAGCTCGTTGTGCACACCTTGCTGGTCACCCCCCGGGAGGGTTCCCTGTGCACACCTGCTGGTCGCCCCTGGGAGGGTTCCCTGTGCACACCTGCTGGTCGCCCCGGGAGGGTTCCCTGTGCACACCTGCTGGTCGCCCCCGGGAGGGTTCGCTGTGCACACCTGCTGGTCGCCTCCCGGGAGGGTTCCCTGTGCACACCTGCTGGTCACCCCCCGGGAGGGTTCCCTGTGCACACCTGCTGGTCGCCCCTGGGAGGGTTCCCTGTGCAGACCTGCTGGTCGCCCCCGGGAGGGTTCGCTGTGCACATCTGCTGGTCGCCTCCCGGGAGGGTTCCCTGTGCACACCTGCTGGTCACCCCCCGGGAGGGTTCCCTGTGCTGCCTGGGCTGCTGTGCTGCCTACACCACTGTGCAAGCCTGCAGGCCGGCGCCCAGCAGCAAGACCCTGCTCACCTACCCTGAGTGCTGTTCTGCTTGCCAACAGATTTGAGGGATGTTCTGCAGACTCTGGGCTGTTGAGAAGTTTGTGATCCAATGACAGATGTCCCATTTATGGATCCAGTTGGACATTTTTGTGGACTGGCTTTAAGGTTTCAGAACACATTAAATACTGCCTCCCCAAAGTTGAAACTAACTTTCAGGGCTGGGAGTAGCCTTACATCCTAGCCACCCTTCTTCGTACAGAAAGCAATCCCAAGTGGCCCTGAAGCAGGCTAGTGCCGAGTGTAAGGAGAGCCCGGGGCCTGTGTGCCTCACCTTTGGCATGAGTGAGGCTCTGTGCACGTAAGAAAGACCCTGTGGACCTGTCCGGGAGGACCTGGGTGCCAGCAGGGATGGCCAGGGTGCTGTGGGATCACTGTTGCTGCCAGCTAGTCTCTCAGAGTAAAATGGGAAAAACCCCATGACAGGGATTGGAGCTGGTACTTTTGTTGTTGTTCAAGACAGGGTCTGGCTCTGTCACCCGGATTGAAGTGCAGTGGTGCAATCATGGCTCACTGCAGCTTTGACCTCCTGGGCTCAATTAGTCCTCTCACCTCAGCCTCCCAAGTAGCTGGGACTACAGGTGCGCACCACCATGCCCTGCTAACTTTTTTTTTTTTTTTAAGAAATGGGGTCTTGCTGTGTTGCCCAGGCTGGTCTCCAACTCCTGGCCTCAAGTGATCCTCCCACCTCGGCCTCCCACAGCGCTGGGACTACAGGAGTGAGCTGTGGCGCCCAGCCTGGAGCTGCTGCTGATGGGAACACACTGCTCCTGTCTCCTTTAAGATGGGCTGAAGGGGAAATGGTAGCTCATGTAATTTTCTCGGCATTGGAGGCTGATGTCTGTTGTCACAGAAGTGTGGGGGATTTTGTACATAGGTGTTCTTTATTTTGAAGTGGTCCCAAATGTGGAGCGTTGCCTAGGGGTTCCCAAGTGAGCATTACGTGAGGGCTGTGCTCTGATATTTCTCAGTGAAAACTTGTTCATTAAGATCATTACTGGAATGAAGTAAGTACGTGTGGAAGTTTTGTGTCTGACTGTTTGGGGAGAGTATCACTAAAATTAGGCGTTTTGTGATGTAGACTCTGTGTAAACAAGGACATTGTCATGAGTATCTCCCAGTAACACACTGCAGCCTACCGTGGCTTTTGGTTAGCATTCCTGAGTGGAAACATCTTTGAACTACACAGATGCTGCTCCACTTACGATGGCAATGGCCTCTACGCTGACAGGACCCCCTTGTGAGAGGGGCATTACTGAATGCAGATGGCTTTCACGCTCTAGTACAGTTGACCCGTTGTGAGTCAGGCCATTGTGAGTCGGGCCTGTGTGCTGTGCTGTGTCCTCAGTTCTGGGTCCACTCTGCTGTGTGTGATTCCAGAGTCCCAGAGCACAGGGTCCCAGAGCACAGAGTCCCAGAGCAGTGAGTCCCAGAGCACAGGGTCCCAGAGCACAGAGTCCCAGAGCAGTGAGTCCCAGAGCACAGGGTCCCAGAGCACAGAGTCCCAGAGCAGTGAGTCCCAGAGCACAGGGTCCCAGAGCACAGAGTCCCAGAGCAGTGAGTCCCAGAGCACAGGGTCCCAGAGCACAGAGTCCCAGAGCATAGGGTCCCAGAGCACAGGGTCCCAGAGCACAGAGTCCCAGAGCACAGGGTCCCAGAGCACAGAGTCCCAGAGCACAGGGTCCCAGAGCACAGGGTCCCAGAGCACAGAATCCCAGAGCACAGGGTCCCAGAGCACAGGGTCCCAGAGCACAGAATCCCAGAGCACAGGGTCCCAGAGCACAGAATCCCAGAGCACAGAATCCCAGAGCACAGGGTCCCAGAGCACAGAATCCCAGAGCACAGGGTCCCAGAGCACAGAATCCCAGAGCACAGGGTCCCAGAGCACAGAATCCCAGAGCACAGGGTCCCAGAGCACAGGGTCCCAGAGCACAGAATCCCAGAGCACAGGGTCCCAGAGCACAGGGTCCCAGAGCACAGGGTCCCAGAGCACAGGGTCCCAGAGCACAGAATCCCAGAGCACAGGGTCCCAGAGCACAGAATCCCAGAGCACAGGGTCCCAGAGCACAGGGTCCCAGAGCACAGAATCCCAGAGCACAGGGTCCCAGAGCACAGAATCCCAGAGCACAGGGTCCCAGAGCACAGAATCCCAGAGCACAGGGTCCCAGAGCACAGAATCCCAGAGCACAGGGTCCCAGAGCACAGAATCCCAGAGCACAGGGTCCCAGAGCACAGGGTCCCAGAGCACAGAATCCCAGAGCACAGGGTCCCAGAGCACAGGGTCCCAGAGCACAGGGTCCCAGAGCACTGCACTCCTCCTCTGCTTTGTCGAGCAGCGGCTGCCTCCCTCCTTTTCTGATGGAATGCTCTAGAGCAGGGGTTCCTAACCAAGGACTGCTACCCGTCCATGGCCTGTTAGGAACTGGGCTGCACAGCAGAAGGTGAGCAGTGGGAGAGTGAGCAAAGCTTCCTCTGTATTTACAGCCACTCCCCTTCGCTGGTGATACTGCCTGAGCTCTGCCTCCTGTCATATCTGTGGTGCAGTAGGTTCTCAGAGGAGCACGAACCCTATCGTGAACTGTGCCTGCGAGGATCTAGGTTGCACACTCCTTATGAGAATCTAATGCCTGATGATCTGTCACTGTCTCCCATCACCCCAAGATGGGACCATCTAGTTTCAGGAAAACAAATTCACGGGTCCCACTGATTCTATGTAATGGTGAGTTGTATAATTATTTTATTATATATTATAATGTAATAACAAAGACATAAAGTGTACAATAAATGAATGCACTTGAATCACCCCAAAACCGTCCCCCTGCCCCTGCTGTCGGTGAAAAAATTGTCCTCCACAAAACCCGTCTCTGGTGCCAAAGAGGCTGGGACCCGCTGCTCAGGAGGTTCCTCCCTGTCTTCCTCAGTCCGGCAGCCCGGCCTTCATGTGACTGTGACTGCTCTTTACGTGTGGAAGCTCGGTAATAAGAATGTCAACAGAAAAGACTCCAAGGTTAAGTTGATCATACTTGGGCTTCTGTCTCGGTCTGTTTATGCTTTTATAATAAAATATCTGAGACTGGATAACTTACAAACAACATCAATTTATTTCTCACAGTTCTGGAGGCTGGAAGACCAAGATCAGGGCCCTGCAGCTCTGAGGTCTGGGGAGGGCTGCTCTCTGCCTCCAGGATGGCCCCTTGTTGCTGTGTCCTCACGTGGTGGAAGGTGGAAGGGAAAAAGGGCCTGCCTAGTTCCCGCCAGCCCTTTCATAAAGTCACAAATCCCATTCCTGAAGGCTCTGCCCTTGTGACTCAGTCACCCCTAAGGGCCCCACCTCTTAATACTATCACATTGCTAATCACATTTCAACACATGAATCTGGGGAGACATTTGGACCATAGCGGCATTTGTTGCTTATAGAAGTGTGTTCTGAAAAAACGAAAAATGATTTTGACACAAACCAATACTTTTGAAATATTCTAATGTTTATTTGGAATATGCCTCTTAAAGAAAACTGAAGGGCCTGGTGTGGTGGCTCATGCCTGTAATCCGAGCACTTTGGGAGGCTGAGGCAGAGGATTGCTTGAGGTCAGGAGTTGGCCACCAGCCGAGGCAACATAGCAAAACCCAATCTCCAAAAAAAAAAAAAAAAAAAAAAATTAGCTGGGCCTGGTGGCAGGGACCTATAGTCCCAGCTATTTGGGAGGCTGAGGCAGGAGAATTGCTTGAGTCCCAGAGTTCGAGGCAACAGTGAGCTGTGATTGTGCCACTGTATTCCGGCCTGGGCGACAACAACCCTGTCTCTAAAAAACAAACAAAAAGCCTGAAATGTTTAGCTTTTCGTTGATTTTCATGGTTTTTTCTGGCGACCTCAGACCTTCTCCTTTGTCATGAGGGGAGATTTTCCTGATTTTCCTGGTGTGGTGTTCCCGGGGCTTTGTGCTTCCTTTGAGTGGCCTGGGTGTCCCTGGTTCTTGGTTACTAGGGATCAAGGATTCTTTCACTGGCTCACTTGTGAGCTGTTCCCTGGGGGGCATGGACAGGCACACACGGCTCTGGAGGTACCTGGTGGGCAGCCTGGCCTCCGGCGGCCGGTGCCACCTTCCTTTGCTTCCTGTACCCCCTGGATTTCGCCAGACCTGCCTGGCAGCCGATGTCGGGAAGTTGGGCACAGAGCTGAGTTCTGAGGCCTGGGACACTGCCTGGTGAAGGTCACCAAGTCCGACGGGCTCCAGGGCCTCCAGGGCTTCAGCATCTCCATGCAGGACACCATCACCTACCGGCCGCCGACCCCAGCATGAAGAATTCAGCCAAGGGCGAGCTCCCGGATGCCAAGAGCCCGTGGTGGGAGATGGACGACCACCGTGGCTGCAGCTCCCACCCCTTCCACGCGGTGTGGCAGACGATGGTGCAGCCTGGGCTCAGAGCAGCTCACATCACGTACACGGCACCCTCGGCTGTTGGGGAAAGACCGTTAAAGATGAGGAGACAAGGCCTTCTTCCAGGGCGCTGGGCCGGCGTCCTCAGGCCTGGGGGCCCCTCTCGCTGGTCCTGTGTGAGGAGCTGAAAGGTCATCTAAGGGCCCTGGCCTCCTCCAGACACCAAGGGAACCAAGAGAACCACACAGAATCCTCAACTGTGCAGACCATTGACCTTCGAGAAATTCCAGTCATCTTTTTCCCGGTGGATCCTGCCTGTAGAGGGCTGGGAAAGGCTCTAGAAAAGGGATGTCTCGTGATCCAACTGTGGCTTCGGTTCCATATCTTGATCACCTCAGGGCGGGAACCCAGGGGTCCTTGTGGGCCCACGGGAGGGGCACTCCGCTACTCAGACCTAGAGTCTGGATGCTTGTAGGACCTGGGCAATGTTTAAGTTTTTACTTAAAACAAAAGAATCGTGTTTCCCGTCTGTACTTAGGCACTAACTGCTCTTTGGCACCACCGAGTACTTGCAATTATGTTCTACGTTGGGGGTCTGCCACAGAACAGTAAAAACAGGATGTAGAACACCAGAAAATAAAAACAATGGAGTCGTCCAACAGTGGAGTTACTAGGACAGGACAAAGAAATTGAGTACAGGGGCCCTTGCTGGCTGTGAAAGAGTTGGTGAAGTGGAGAAGGAAGGAAGGAGAAGGAAGGAAGGCACCCACACTGCACCCCACCAGGGGGTCTTCCAAGGCTGGCCTCACCGATTTCCTCTGTACCTTGAGAGTGAAGGCAGCTAATGCCCAAGGGCACACTCAGCTCTTTCAACAGCGAGAGCAAGGCTCTGGGGTTTTTAAGTGGACACTGGGATGCACGGTTATCATTTACTTAGCTGGAGAGAGGAAGAAAGCCCATGATTTTGGTCTGATGTGGTCGGCTGGCCCAGCAGGTATCAGAGCTGACACAGAAATAGGGATTCATTCTCAGCCATGGGCTGCTCTTTGTACCACACCCTTCGGAGTGTTCCCCAGCCCCTCAGGCAGCTATCAAGGGACAGCGGATCCCAGAATGGGTAGAGTAGCCCTGACCCAAAACCACACATGGACAAAACAGAGTCGGTTTATACTTATTGGTGAGCACTAGCAGTGTACCAGGGCAAGGCCAGACAACACTTTTGCTTCTAATTTTATAATTTAGCATTAAAGAACAGTAAAACCAAAGAGAAGGATAGGAGAAAATCACTGAGGAAGTGAAAAGAAGTGAGAGTCCACATAAGAGAAACCTCACATTGCATCACACAAACGAGGCTGCGCATAAAATATGTGAGGGTGGACAGAGGTACAGGGAAACCGTTTCTATCTTAAAAGTTAAGTGCATGTTTGAAAAATGGCAAGCATTCTGCTTTTTTAGGAAAAGAAGTAAAATTTATTAAAAATATGACAATTATGATAAGGGACAAGTTCTGAATTAGGTATTATACAGTTTTGCCTTGTTTTCCATGCAAAATATATACTTTGAATTTTTGTGAATTACTAGCTTCACAAGTTCCCGGCCCTCATTTCACGTTCATCTTCGTTGGCAGTGCATCCTGTGGACGATGAACACAAATGCAGCTGTGGCCGTGCCTGGCCTGTGTGTGTTGAACGCGTTCCTGCCGTGCGGGAGCCACCTACCCAGCGGAGCCTCAGAGTCTGAGTTCTCAATGTGAGCCTCATTTTATTTTATTTTAAAATGCAGTTGTAAACTTTCCCCTTAAACAATTCAGAAAGCAGCAGTCTTATGTGGTCTTTTAGAAAACAAACTCAAATGGAAGAGTGTCCTTGTATATTAATGAACAAAATTTACTTCTGAATGTGAGTTTGTTTTTGGTGCTTGGAACCAGCACTTCATGGAAGAGAACAGCAAAAAGTGAGCAGCAGAGAGATGGTGGTCCAAGGAGTTAAAAGTTATTTTAATCACAGCGGGCAACTTGGGAAGAGTTTCATGGTGTCAGAAGTCTATATGACAGGAAGGGAAGAGAGTACCTCAAAGGAGGAAGGAAGGAGAGAAGATGTGGTAGGTGAAGTTGTAATGTGATTTAATGATGGCTGAGAACTTGTACAAAACCCAGAAAATGAAGATAAATTAGATATGAAGGAAGAAAAAGGTCAAAGATGAGATTGTAAAACTGTGATACAGACTGGCTGAAATTGGAGTTTGGGTCTTAACTGCCCCTCCAAATCCCTCCTCCAGTTTGTGTGAGTGTTTGTCAGGAGCCCGGTTTTTGCTCTGCCTTGCCTGGCCACACCGGGCCCTGTTTTGGTGCTGAAGTCTGGTGTTGGAAGGCTGCGGCACTCATAGGGTAAGACCCCTGTCTCCCAATTTCCTTCGTCTCTCTGAGCTGCAATTTCCTCATCTGTAGAATGAGACAATGACAGATCTTGGATCAGTTGAGCAATTTGTTTCTCAGATTGTTCAATTGAAGAATTTGTTCCTAGATATTTGTACTAAAACATACTAAAACTAAAGTGAGAACATCATATTAGTTAACAGGAAATCGTTCTGACATACGCAGTAAAAGGGAATCGGAAGCATCATTTCCAAATTGCACCACACATTCAGCCAAAATTGGAGTCCGCCGTCTTGCGATGAACGCCTCCCATGGTCTCGCACTTCGCTTTGTGTTTGTTCCCACAGGAGTCAACATTTTGGGTGTGTATGCCAAGAGGTGACACGAAACAGAAGTTGGGATCACTGTGGTTAACCTGAGCATGTTGGAGACCAAGGAGAGGCTGATGTTAATGTTGGATTTTTGTGAAAATGATTCCTTTCAAAGAAAGACCTGTGACAGTTGGTAATTGCAGCTAATGTGTTTCCACAAACAGCCATTTTGTGTTGGCAATCACACCGTCCACCATCAGGGTTGCTGACAGGAGCAGTGTTCAGGAGTCTCAGACAGTGGATTGTGCTGCTTCAGGCGCCTGGTGGCTGGAGGGTTTGCAGGCTGCCAGGGGCCTCAGCTGAAGACCTGGACCCACAGGACCCACAGAGGCAAATTGTTCAGTTGACTGTACAGTGTGAGAATGAAACATTAATTCCCCTTCTCTACCTCATATGAGAAATGTGAATTGTCTTTTTTAAATTTGGGAATCTGGGTTATAGTATGTGTGAGTCAATTTTTTCAACAATGACTTTTTTTTTGGCTCAAAATGTTTTATTTTGTTTTGTTTTGTTTTGTTTTGTTTTGTGGTAGAGGTGACGTCTTGCTTGCTATGTTGCCCAGGCTGGTCTCAAACTGCTGGACTCGAGAAATCCCCCTTCCTTGGCCTCCCAAAATGCTGAGCCTACAGGTGTATTCACCTTAAAAAAAATTTAAAGACCACTAGGAGGTCAGCAATCTCAAATGTTTCACTAGTTCTTCATCAAGGTGGGAATGAATCTGATTAAAACAACTTAGAAGACTTTATTCTGGAGAACCAGAGAAAACAGGAGGGAATCACCAGAAACACGAAGGAAATCTGAGTGTAGCTGGGATGAGGCATAGCACAGGCGGCTCTGCCCCTGGACACCAGGTTGTGTGGGACTGGAGGGCGCTGGCTGTTTTCTGTGGGCCCTCCTTGTCACTTTGCTTCTCTGTGGAGCAAAATGGAGGCAGATGCAGTTGATTCTCGTGATTTGCCACAGTTAGTTCTATAAAGTCACCTGAACACTGAATTCGTGGATACAGAGCCCTTGCTTCTGGAGAAATACAGGGCTAGGTTCCTGCGAGCTTCTGGTCACATTTTCATCAACCAATCAATACATAACCTTGCTTATGCATGTTCCTGTTTAAAGACACCTTTTTGAATAGACATTGGTGATCCCATTAACACTGAGTCCATGGCCAACAGCACTGGAACTCACACCTGAGTAAAGCTATCTCACATTTCTCTGTGAGGCACATCACAGCCTCTTGCTCTTAGGACGCTAGACAGTACATCAGTACTGGGCTTGGGGTCATTTTAAACAGCAAAATCACTAACAAAAATCACAGAAATGTGAAGAATATGGCGCTATGTGGGCCGTGAAAAGAGCACTTGTTGGTGGCATGAGCTGAAATGAAATGGTGGGGCGTCACCTGTGTGACCTCAGCCAGGCCCATGGCCTGTGGCTGACTCTGGGGTGGCACCGTGCTGGCAGGTGGGGCACACTCAAAGATGAGCTGTTATTATCAAAGGGTGTGAAATTTCCAGACAACCACTGACTTGATGAATCCTCTTGGGCACCAGAGCGTGTGCTGCATCTGAGATGCTGGCTGGGGAGCCCAGGCAGTCGACGGGAGAGGAGCGCTCACTGTCTTACTGGAAACAAGCTGTTTGGAGAACAACCTGTTTTTACTCTCCTTTTGCAAGCAAAACACTCCCACTGAGGTAAGGCTGCACGGGCAACACTGACTGAGCTCTGCCTTTCTAAATCTGTTTGTTCTCTTGACCTCGAGCTTGTCCCAGGCTGTTTCTGCTCTACATGTTGCAGTTCACTCTTAGCTGCTATTCACGATGTAGGTGTGAATTACCACCTTGGTGTCTCTAGGCTGTGAATGTCCCGCCTGCAGTTAGCTTCTCCCATCTAAGCCATCAGTGTTGCTTTCTGAAACACCAGACAGTTTTGGAACCGTTCTCCTTCCCCTCTTCTCTGACTGTACTTCCCCTTTGAAAGGGATAAGTACAGCAATAATTATGTCTTTCCCTCTATGTCTAATTTGTTCACATAGGGTCTCTTCATTTTACTACCTTTCTAAAAAGGATCAGATCTTTATACTGGCTTTGAAAGTACTAAATCAAGCCAGGCGCGGTGGCTCACGCCTGTAATCCCAGCACTTTGGGAGGCCATGGCAGGTGGATCACAAGGTCAGGAGATCGGGACCACCCTGGCTAACATGGTGAAACCCCATCTCTACTAAAAAATACAAAAAAACAAAGTAGCTGGGCGTGGTGGTGGGCGCCTGTAGTCCCAGCTACTCAGGAGGCTGAGGCAGGAGAATGGCGTGAACCCGGGGGGTGGAGCTTGCAGTGAGGCGAGATCGTGCCACTGCACTCCAGCCTGGGCGACAAAGCAAAGCAAAACTCTGTCTCAAAAAAAAAAAAAAAAAAAAAAAGAAAGTACGTCATCAAACAAAATATGAATTGACATGTTAGAAGGTGTTTTTAAAAAATTACAGAACTTCTCTGAGTTTCTAAGGGACACTTATTGCAAATCTCCAAGAGAAGCCCCATGAAGATCCCCTGAGGGATGAGGGGCCCTTTGGGGTTGTCCAGATAACTCCCCATGGAGTGGAAACAGAAAATGGTGATGGGAACATAAATGAGGTGAAGGATCCAGAAAGGAGAGCTCAAAGCTAGAAACATTCTTTTCCTTTTCTTTCTTTCTTTTTTTTTTTTTTTGAGATGGAATCTCACTCTGTCGCCTAGGCTGGAGTGCAGTGGCGCGATCTCAGCTCACTGCAAGCTCTGCCTCCCAGGTTCACGCCGTTCTCCTGCCTCAGCCTCCTGAGTAGCTGGGACTACATGTGCCCACCACCACGCCCAGCTAAATTTTTGTATTTTTAGTAGAGACGGGGTTTCACCGTGTTAGCCAGGATGGTCTTGATCTCCTGACCTTGTGATCTACCTGCCTCAGCCTCCCAAAGTGCTGAGATAACAGGCGTGAGCCACCATGCCCGATCACATTCTTTTTCTTAAAAGAGACAGGGTCTTGCTCTGTCATCCAGGCTGGAGTGCAGTGGCATGATCATGGCTCACTGCAGCCTCAAACTCCTGGGATCAAGCCATCCTCCTACCTCGGACTCCTGAGTAGCTGGGATTATAACTGCGTGCCACCATGCCCAGCTAGAAACTCTCTTGAGAGTAATAAGAGCAGGGAAAGGGGCCTAAAATGGAATTAGAAAAGTGCCCTAGAGAGACTGGAACCGTGGAAGTGCTGATGGGGAAATGACTCAATGTCCTTTACCTGAAAATCCCTAGGCAGGGATTTCCTGCGTGCAGAGTCCTAAGGATGCCTGCTAGGTCAGTGGAACTTTCATAAACTATTCTGATTTAGTGTGAAAGGCAAGCGGGCTAGGCCCCAAGCTGGAATGCCATTTCTCTGTCTTCTAGACCCAAATTTTATCCTTCTGGTTGTTGAAGAACAACACAAATTGATATCACAGCCTTTCCAGGCATTTTACTGGGAAGTTAGGACACTGACTGGAAAAGAGCAGGCCCTAAGAATTGGAACGGGAATCACTGGGTGGATTGTGATGCAGATGAGAAACTGGAACCTCAAATTCCACATCATCTTCCTTTTGCTGTTGAAAGCCAGTGCTCTTTTCCCACCTGAGTGGATCAGCCTCCCCTTGTGGAAGACTTTGTAATGTTCTCATTGAGGCAATTAGCTTGCAAGAGCAGGTCATTCTCAAAGCAAACCCAAAACCTCTTGCTGCCTCCAGACCCATCACCACAGTCAGATCCCTGCACACCAAGGGGGATGAATGCGAAATCTGACTGGGGGAAAGAGGCTTATACAACATTTTTTCCTGGCCAGGTGCATTGGCTCATGCCTATAATCCTAGCACTTTGGAAGGCTGAGGGGGAAGATTGCTTGGGCCCAGAAATTAAAGACAAGCCAGAGGAACAAAGGGAGATCCCATCTCTACATGTAACTTAAAAATTAGTCAGGTGTGGTGGTGCACACCTGTGCTTCCAGCTACTCAGGAGGCTGAGGCAGGAGGATTGCCAGAGCCCAGGAGGTCGAGGCTGCAGTGAGCCATGATCATGCCACTGCACTCCAGCCTGGGTGACAGAGCAAGACCCTATCTCAAAAAACAAAAACAAAAAAAATGATTCTTCCTAGTTATCAGTAGAAACATGAGTAAAGTGTGTAAAAATGAATTTTATTGGTATTGGAGAAGGAGGAAAACTGCTAGATTGGGCTGAATTTATTGATACACGTGTTCTTGGCAGATATTCTGGACTCCATGTGTTAGTGTGAGTAGTTGGGAAGACTGTTTGCTTAGTTAGTTGATGGGCCTGGAGATGTGGTTTGGATCTGTGTTTCTGCCCAACTCTCTTGTTGAATTTTAATCCCAAATGTTGGAGGTGGGGCCTGGTGGGAGGTGATTGGATCATGGGGGTGGATTTCTCATGAACGGGTTAGCACCATCCCCTCGGCACTGTACTCATGATGGTGAGTACTCACGAGATCTTGTTGTTTAAAAGTGTATAGCACCTCCCCCTTGCTCTCTCTCTTGTTCCTGCTCTGTAAGACGTTCCTGCTCCCCCTTCACCTTCCGCCATGATTGTAAGTTTTCTGAGGCCTCCCCAGAAGCCAAGCAAATGCCAGCATTGTGCTTCCTGTACAGCCTGCAGAACCATGAGCCAATTAAACTTATTTTCTTTATAAATTATCCAGTCTCAGGTATTTCTTTAGAGCAATGTGAGAAAGGACTAATACACCTGGCACTGGCATCCTTTGTTCTTGGCAGCACTGCTTCTAAAGAGCAGTGAGCACTTAGGACCCCTCCTGGGAGTAGAAGTTCCCATCCATCCATTGCTTAGGAAAAGCAACGGGTCAGGCCCTCACTCACTCTCTAGAACAGACTACAAACATGCAAATTAGAATTCTTTTAGAAAAACATAGCTGGAGTAGTTTGTGGCCACATTAAATGAAGTTGAGATCCATCACTTGATTTAATGTACAGGAAAGAATTTAAAGGCTTAAGGAGATAGAAATGATGTTGATTTATCAAGTGAGTCCTGCTCAAGCATCTTCTCACTAGGTTCTGCTAAGGGAGTATTGAGCACCATCTTTATGAAAGCATGGAGAAACATACTGATATGGTTTGGCTGTGTGTCCCCACCCAAATTTCATGTTGCATTGTAATCCCCAGTGTTAGGGGAGGGACCTGGTGGGAGGTGACTGGATCATGAGGGCAGATGTCCCCCTTGCCGTTCTCATGATAGTGAGTGAGTTCTCATGAGAGCTGGTTGTTTAAAAATGTGTAGGGTTTCCTTCTTTGCTCTTCCTCCTGTTGTCATGTGATGATGTGCTTGCTTCCCCTTCGCCTTTTGCCATGATTGTAACTTTCCTGAGGCCCCCAACCCCAGCCATGCCTCCTGTACAACCTGTGGAACTGTGAGCCAATTAAACCTTTTTTCTTTATAAACCACCCAGTTTCAGGTAGTTCTTTATAGCAATATGAGAACAGACTAACTCAAATATTAATGAAGGGAGCACTGGTATCCTTGCAGAACTCATATAAACCACTTCTGCTTCATAAGGGACTACTGCTGCACATGCCCAATTTGACACCTCCCCTGCCCCAGCCTGCAGTGGTTCTCTGGTGAGCATCCCTGATCCAGCATTCCAGAGCTAAGCCTAGCTAGTGCTTCCTGATTGAGTACGAAGAGCTCTGGAGAAAGGTGACTCATTTCATGTGTAACTACAAGGCAGCAAAGCTTCTCTGCACACACGAAATGAAGAAAAAAATAACATTTCTTTGAGATGCAAGTGAACTACCAGCAAATCTAAGGAATGTGTGTGTGTAGCCGCAGACAGCAGCATACCTGTCTTTACGTATGCTAACCCTTTGCCTTGAAGGCATTTATTCTAGTCTGATGGTCTAAAACCCTATTTCTTTTTCAAGATTCAGGTCTGGTCTCATCTTCTTTAGGAAAAGTTTTCCTATTTTTTTTCCCCTCCCCATCCTGCTTCTCCTAGAAGATCCAGTATAAACATCTATTGCTTGTTGTCAGCATGAATTCTCTTGTCTGTCCTTCTCACTGACTGCCTTCTCTATAACAAGGAGCAGTGATGCTCAATAATTGTGAGTTGAATGCGTAACAAGATGTGACAAAATCTCTATTACAAAAAGGTGAAAAAGTCAGCATAAAAGGCATTGTTTTTGTTTCACTTTACTATTTGGATGAGATGTTCAGATATAAACTATCTGAAAGATTACATAATTTATTAGGAGCTAATAAACAAGGATTACTGCAAAGGGGATAAAAAGAAAATAAAGGAAAGAGAAAGTTTCTATTTAATTCCATTTTAAATCTTCTAATCTGCTTTCCTACTCTGACCTAATTTATAGTAATGTAGCCTCAGCGTAAAGACAATCATATCAAAATTTGAATTTGCTCTGTAGAGTAGAAAAATTTTATGAGCAGTGTAAAAGTAATGTAGCTTCTTTTCTATTACCATATTTAATTTCTATAATAAACTTGCCAGCGTTGGTAGAAACAGTGGACTGATCAAAGTCTCACTTTCCCAATCTCTCATATGAGCAGTATTTCCCTCCATCAAAAAATTAGCAAGTGGGGAAGCAACAGCATAATTTTAGTTTAAATATAATTTTTTCCTTATTGACAGTCATTCGACATGGACTTCAATGCACATGGAGAAACTGTAGATGCAAGGAAATGCTTGTTTGTGCTTGACACTGTACTGAATTCTGAGTGCAAAGCACATTAGAAATATTAGAAATAAAGGCAGCATGTAGATTCAAAGGCCCAAATGAATCATTATATATATATTTTTTACCAGTGGCCAACTGATCTAAAGAATAGATATTCATTATTTATTAAAAATTTAATGATCAATCTGTACTTGAGAATAATTTATGTTCTGTTGTTGGATGGAGTATTCTTTATGTGTGTGTTAGGTCTAATTAGTTTATAGTGTTTAAATTCTATTTTTTAATTGATTGTCTAGATATTCCACTCATTATTGAAAATGAGGTATTGAAATTTGTAATTATTATTGTAGAACTGTTTCTCCCTTCAATTCTGTCAATGTTTGCTTCATATGTTTTGGAGCTCCATTGTTTGGTGCATATATGCTTATATTTGTAATTGTTATATTTTATTGATGACTTGGCCCTTTTATTAATATATAACGTCCTATTTTCTCTCATAACTATTTTTTACTTAAATCTATTTGCTACGATATTTGTATAGCCATTCCAGCTCTTTTGGTTGCTCTTTGTGTGGAATTTTTTCCATCATTTCACTTTTAACTTTTGTCTTGGGTCTAAAGTGAGTCTCTTGTAGGCAGCATATACTTGGATCATGTTTTTAAATTTATATTGCTGGCCTCTGCCCTTTAATTGGTGAATTTAATCCATTTACATTTAACGTGATTACTGATAATGAAGAATTTACTTCTGCCATTTTGCTATTTGTTTTCTATATTTCCTTAATTGTATTCCTTAATTCCTCCAATATTGCCTCCTTTTGTGCTTGAACAATTTTGAATACCCCCTTTTTTCTTTTCCATATAGTTATTTTCTTTGTGGTTATTATTAGGATTAGAGTTAAATCCTAAATTTATACCAATCTAGTTTAAATTGATACAAACATAGCTTCAACAGCATACATTAATTCTACTCCTATCCAGCTTCATCCCCCACTTTACATTGTTGCTGCCATTAATTACATATTTATATGTGTGTGACCATTAGCATAGATGGATTTATAATAATTGTTTTATGCATTTGTCCTTTGAATCACATAGGAAACAAAAATTGGAGTTCCAATCCAACAATACAATAATACTAGCTTTTATATTTACTTACGTATTTACTTTTACTAGAGATCTTTATTTCTTTGTGTAACATTGAATTGCCATCTAGATTTCTTTTGTTTCACCTTGTGTTCCCTTTAACATTTTTTGTAGCTAAAGTATACTAGTGATGAATTCCGTTAGCTTTTGTTTGTCTGGTAATATCTTGAGTTCTTCATTTTTGAAGAATAGTTTTGCCAGATATAAAATTGCTACTTGACAGTTTTTTCTTTCAGTAATGTAAAACATATCCCACTGCTTCTGGTCTCCATAGCTTCTGGTGATAAGTTGGCTGTTAATCTTATTAAAGATCACTTGTGTGTTACAAGTTGCTTTTCTCTGGCTGCATTCAAGATTTTCTCCTTATCTTTGGCTTTTGGTATTTTGATTATAATGTGTCTCATTGTGAATCTCTTTGAGTTTATCCTGTTTGGAGTTCATTGAGATTCTTGGATATGTAGATTCATGTCTTTCATCAAATTTGAGAAGTTTTTGGCCTTTTTTTTTTCTTTTTCTTTTTCTTTTTCTTTTTCTTTTTTGAGATGGAGTCTTGCTCTGTCACCCAGGGTGGAGTGCGGTGGTGTGATCTCAGCTCACTGCAAGCTCTGCCTCCTGGGTTCACACCATTCTCCTTTCTCAGCCTCCTGAGTAGCTAGGACTACAGGCGACCGCCACCATGCCTGGCTAATTTTTTGTATTTTTAGTAGAGATGGGGTTTCACCATGTTAGCCAGGATGGTCTCGATCTCCTGACCTTGTGATCTGCCCGCCTCAGCCTCCCAAAGTGCTGAGATTACAGGCATGAGCCACCGTGCCTGGCCCCAATTTTTTTCTTTTCTTTGTAGAGACAGGGTATTGCTCTGTTGTCCATGCTGGAGTGCAGTGGCACAATCATAGCTCACTGTAACCTCAAACTCCTGAGCTCAAGTGATCCACCCACCTCAGCTTCCTGAATAGCTAGGACTATAGCTGCATGCCACCATGCACAGCTAATTTACTTTTTAATTTTTTGTGGAGATAGGGCCTCACTCTGTTGCTCTGGGTAGTCTCAAACTCCAGGCCTCAAATGATCCTCCTACCTTGGCCTCCTAAAGTGCTGGAATTATAGGCATGAGCCACTGCACCTGGCCTCATTTTTCTTTATTCTGTTTTCTTTTTGCTCCTCTGACTGGATAATTTCAATTGCCCTATATTCAAGTTTGCTGATCCTTTCATCTGCTTAATCAAATCTGCTGCTGTGCCTCTCTGTTGAATTTTTCATTTCCGTGATTGTACTTTTTGGCTTCAGAACTTCTATTTGGTTGTTTGTGCTTGACACACAACTATTTATTAATATTTATTATCTATTTATTAATATTCCCTACAGTTCATACATCATTCTCCTGACTGCCCTTAGTTCTCTGTCCATGGTTTCCTTCAGCATCTTGAGCACAGCTAAGACAGTTAGTTTAAAATCTTTGTTTATTAAGTCCAGTGTCTTGTCTTCCTTGTGTATATTTACTGTTGATTATTGCCCCTGTGAATGGGCCATACTTTTTTGTTTCTTTGTATACTTTGTATATTTTTGTTGAGAACTGGAAGTTTTGAATATTGTAATGTGCTAATTTAAAAAATCAGATTCTCCCTCTTTCCCAGGAATTGGTGATGCTTCTTGTCGAAGGGTAAAGTTGTCTGTGTACAGACTATTTTAAGAATGGGACATATGGTAAGCCATAAAATAATTTTAAATAAATTTTAAAAGACTAAAATCATGCAAAGTATTTCCTCCAATAGTAGAATGAATCTGGAAATGAATAACACAGGGAATCCAGAAAATTCACAAATACATGAAAATTAAACAACACTGCTAAACAACTGATGGGTCAAAGAAAAAAATCACTCAGAAAATTAGAAAATACTTTGAGATAAATGAAAACAAAACCAGGCTGGGCACAGTGGTTCATGCCTGTAATCCCAGAACTTTGGGAAGCTGAGACGGGCAGATTGCTTGAGTCCAGGAGTTCAAGACCAACCTGGGCAATGTGGCAAAACCCTGTCTCCACAAAAAATACACAAATTTTCCAGATGTGATGGCGCACATCTGTAGTCCCAGCTACTTGGCAGGAGGAGTGGGAGGCTAAGGTGGGAGGATTGCTTGAGCCCAATGAGGTCAAGGCTGTAGTGAGCCATGATCATGCCACTGCACTCCAGCCTGGGTGACAAAGCAAGATACTGGTCTCAAACAAAAACCACAGCATACCAAAACGTATGGGATGCAGTAAAAGTAGTGCTCAGGAGGGAATTTATTTTTGTAAATGGTACAGTACAAAAAATAGAGATTTCATATCAACAACTTAACTTTATACCTTGGGAACTAGAGAGAGAACAAACTAAACCTAAAGCTAACAGAAGGAAGAAAAAAAATAAACATTAGAGCAGAAATAAATGAAATAGAGAACAGAAAAACAATAGAATATACAAAAGTAAAAGTTGATTTTTTGAGAAGATCCACAAAATTGTCAAGCCTTTATCTAGACTACCTAAGAAAAAAGAAAGAAGGCATACATAAAATCAGAAATTAAAGAGAGGACATTACTACCAACCTATCAGAAATAAAAAGGATTAGAAAAGGCTACTATGAACAATTATATGCCAACACATTAGATAACCTGGATGAAATTTACAAATTCCTAGAAACTCACAGATTAAGAATACTGACTCAAGAAGAAATGGAAAAATCTCAATCAACCAATAGCAAGTATAGATTGAATCAGTTATTAAAAACCTTCCCCTAAAGAAAAGCCCAAGACTAGCTAGCTTCGCTGATGAATTCTAACAAACATTTAAATAAAACTTAACACAAATTCTACCAAACTCTTCCAAAATATAGAAGAGGAAGGAACACTTCCTAACACATTCTGTGAGGCCACCATCACTTGAGACCAAAGTCAGACAAATATAGCACAAAAAATAAAATTACAGACCAAATCAATTAATGTAATATATCCTGTTAATAAAATGGAGGGAGAAAACCACACATGATTATCTCAATATATGCAGAGAATGCACTTGGCAAAATTTAACACTTTTTCATGATTAAAAAAACACTCAGCAAACTAGAAATAGAAGCCAACTTCCTTAACGTCATAAAGGACATTTGTGAAAAACCCACAACTAAAATCATCAACAATGGTGAAAGACTGAAAACTTTACCCTAAGAATCAGAAAGAAGGCAAGGATACTCAGTTTCATTACTTCTGTTTAACATTGTGCTGGAAGTCCTATCCGGAGCAATTAGTCAAGAAAAAGAAATAAAACCCATCCAAATTGGGAAGAAAGACGTAAAAGTATCTCGGTTTGCAGAGGGTTCTACATATAGAAAATTCCAAAGAACCCACAAAAAACCAGTAGCTAATAAAAAATTTAGCAAAGTTATAAGGTACAAGATTAATGTACACAAAGCAGTTGTGTTTCTATACATCAGCAATGAACAATCAAAAAGAAAATTAAGAAACAATTCTATTTATAATAGTACCCAAGAAAAAAGGATGCCTAAGAATAAATTTAACCAAGGAGGGGAAAGACTTGTATCCTGAAAACAACAAAATATTGCTGAAATAATATAAAGACCTAAATAAATGGAAAGATATCCCAAATTGAAAGAATATATATATATATACATATACATATATACGTATATATATATATATATAGAGAGAGAGAGAGAGAGAGAGAGAGAGAGAGAGAGAGAAAGAGACAGAGTCTCACTCTGTTACCCAGGCTGGAGTGCAGTGGCGCGATCTCGGCTCACTGCAACCTCCACCTCCTGGGTTCAAGCAATTCTCCTGCCTCAGCCTCCTGAATAGCTGGGATTACAGGCGTGTGCCACCATGCCCTGCTACTTTTTGTATTTTTAGTAGAGATGGGGTTTCACCATGTTGGTCAGACTCGTCTTGAGCTCCTGACCTCATGATCCACCCACCTCAACCTCCCAAAGTTCTGGGATTACAGGTGTGAGCCATGGTGCATGGCCAAAAGACAATATTTTTCAGAGCAATACTCTCCAAGTGATCTGCATATTCAATACAATCCATATTAAAATTCCAATGATCTCTTTTGCAGAAATGGAAAGGCTGATACTCAAATTCATATAGAATTATAAGGGGCTCCAAATGGTCAAAACAATATTGAAAAAGAAAAACAGATTTGGAAGATCCATACTTCTCAATTTCAAAACCACTGCAAACATCAGTAATGAAAACAGTGTGGTACTGGCTTGTGGACATATGGACCAATGAATAGAATTGAGAGTTCAGAAATAAACCATACATTTATGGCCAATCGACAAGATTGCCAAGACCATTCAATGTGAGAAAGAACCGTCTGTTCAACAAATGATGCTGGAACAACTGGATAGCCACATGGAAAAGAATAAACTTGGTTCCTACATCACTCAGTATACAGGAACTAACTCAAAATGGATCCATCACTTAACTATAAGAGCTAAAACCAAAAAACTCTTAGAAGAAAACATAGTGGTAAACTCTATGACTTTGGATTTGGAAATGGATTCTTAGATTTGACACTAAAACATGAGCAACAAAGAAAAGATAAATAAATTGGCCTTCATTAAATTAAAAACTTTTTTACATCAAGAACATTATCAAGGGCCAGGCATGGTGGCTCATGCCTATAATCCCAGCACTTTGGGAGGCCAAGGTGGGCAGATCACTTGAGTCCAGGAGTTCGAGACCTCCTGGGCTCGAGGAGTTCATGATAGTGAGGGAGTTCTCACAAGATCTGATGATTTAAAAGTGTCAGTTTCCACTGAGCTCTCTCTACTGAGCCTGGGCAACATGGAGACACCCAGTCTCTACAAAAAATACAAAACATCAGCCAAGCGTGTTGGCACATGCACATAGTTCCAGCTACCTGGAAGGCTGAGGTGGGAGGATCACCTTATCCCAGGTGGTCAAGGCTGCAGTGAGTTGTGATTGTCCCACAGCACTCCAGCCTGGGTGACAGAGTGAGACCCTGTCAAAAAAAAAAAAAAAAGACATGCCATACAGAATTGGAGAAAATATTTGCAAATCACATCATGATAAGTATTTAGAATCCAAAATATATAAAAAGAACTCTTACAACTCAACAACAAAAAGATAAACAACCCAATTTAAAAATGGGCAAAGGATCTGAATAGGTATTTCTCTAAAGAAGGTATATAAATGACCAATACATACATGAAAAGATGTTCCGCATTCCTGGTCATTAAGGAATGCAAATTGAAACCACAGTAGGATACCAGTTCATACTAAGACAGCAGTAACAATAATAAAAAATAGCAAGGATTCACCAGGATGTGGAATTAGGAACTTTCATACATTGCTGGTGGAAATTCAAAAATGGTGTAGACCCTGTGGAAAACGGTTTGGTATTTCCTCAAAAAATTAAACACAAAACTACCATATAATCCAGCAATTACACACACACACACACACACACACACACACACAGACACACAGACACACATGAAATAACATATTTCCTTACAGAAACTTAAATAGGATTATTCATAAGAGTAAAAATATATGATACAGTTTGGGTATTTGTTCCCACCCAAATCCCTTGTTGAACTGTAATCCTCAATACTAGAGGTGGGGACTGGTGGGAAGTGTTTGGGTCACAGAAGCACATGCTTCATGGCTTGGTGCTGTTTTCACAATAGTGAGTGAGTTCTCATGAGATCTGGTCATTTAAAAGCGTACAGGACCTCCCCCACTTGCTTCTGCTTTTGCCATGTGACATGCCTGCTCCCCCTTTGCCTTCTGCCACGATTGTAAGCTTCCTGAGGCCTCCCTAGAAGCTGAGCAAATACCAGCACCATGCTTCATGTACAGCCTGCAGGATCATGAGCCAATTAAACCTCTTCTCTTTATAAATTACCCAGTCTCAGGTATTTCCTTATAGCAATGCAAGCATGGCCTAATGCAACATAGAAATACGTTCATTAATAAATGACTGGATAAATAAAATGTGGCTTACACATACAATGGGATATTATTCAGCCTTAGAAAAGACTTAAGTACTGATATATGTTATAACTGGATGAACCTCAAAGACATTTTGCTAAGTGTAAGCTGCCAGACACAAAAGGTCATATATTGTATAATCCCTTTTACATGAAATGTCCAGAATAGGCAAGTACTGACAGAAAGATTTGTGGTTTTCAGGGACTGGGGGAAGGGGAATGGGGAGTGATTACTTCATGGGTATGAAGCGTTCTTCTGCAACAATGAAAAGGTTTTGAAACTAGAAGAGGGGGTGGTTGCACACTCCTTTGAATGCGCTGAATGCCACTGAATTGTACACTTTAAAATGATAATTTGTATGTTCTGTTTCACCTCAAAAGATTATAGCACAGCCTCTGTCTTCATCTAATCATTTTTACTCAGAATTATAATTTGATATTTATTAGCCATAACTAAATATTGCCATGATGCATTGCTATTTGTTCCCTCCTTTTCCCTTTGTCTACCTATATAATCAATCTTGTAAGGTCCAGTAACAAAGTGAATTATTGGGACTCTTGCTATTTTCCTATCACTAATGGACAATTACAACTTGTCTTTGATGTTTCTATTCTTGTTCTAGCAATAGCGTTTATGGCAGCATTTAGCGGACACAGAAGCACATCTGAAAGTGGAGAGAGACGCGTTTCCCCATTGCTGGCCGAGTCCCACCACTTTGCTCAGCTATGAACACCTGACATCTCGTTTCATTTTCATGCAAAATCTGGAGATAATTATTATCCACAATTCTAAGGCCTTAGGCCCCTCCGCATGAGCCTGCCATTACCACTTCATTCCCTTGCACCTGAAAGACTCCAGAGCCCCTTGAAAGAACAGGTCCTCCAAGAGGAGCATCGCCAGCCAGCCCCTGAATCTCCTGAGGAAACTCTCATGCACATATCTTGACCTGAGCACAGACCGGACGCCAGCGGAGGGCAGGAGCAAGCAGGACACACTGTGGCTGAGGAGGGGACCCTGGGCTTGTGGGCCTCGGAGAGGCAGAGCAGGGGAGGCAGATGAGACTGCACACAGCTTTTTGTTTGACATATCCTAAGCCCCCTGCACACGCCACTCAAGGTCTTCTCTGTGCCCCATCTGGTGCAGGAGGCCTGTCTGTCTGTGAAATTGCTTTTAGCAATAGCTGTGGATCACCACTGAGAGGGTGAATATACAAATGAACAATGGGCAGACCGTCTATGATGGCAAAACTTGGACCTCCAACCTTGAGGCCAAAGCACATCATGTGCGGCCTCTGGCGGGACTCAGGTCTGGGAAGCGACTGCAGCTTCCCTATTTTCTAGCTCTGCTTCCAACTAAGAAAGTCAGATATTCTCCCCAAACCAACCCCATAGGATGCCCGCTGCCAGGTGGCCCACCCCCAGCTTCCCCCTGACAACAGCCTCCACCCAGGGCATACCCAACCAGAGCCTTCCCATCTTCTAATGGGAAGCTTCCCCTCCCCACCCCACCTTCAAGGCTCTGCCACGCGCAGGGACAGTGTAGCCTTCTTGGCTACAGCTTCGAGTGAGCAGCCTCTGCCATCCTCGCTGATGTCCCCGGTTACCGTGAAGGCTCCTCCAGGACACTGTCTGCACTGCCTGTCGTCCAGACCCCACCTCTGCCCAGGCACCCTGGCCTTAATGCTGCAGCCCACAGGGCACCCAGCTGGTGACTGAGGCCTGTTCTGAGCCCCTCGCTGGCACATTCCTGGACTTCTCAGTTTGGTGCCAGGGCCTCATTCCTGCTTCCCATTTGCTCTGTTACAGGGGAATTAGTCCCTTCCTTTACTCTTTTGTGCTGTGCTTTCTAAACGTGGTGTTTGTCATAATAAGAAGCATGAGGGGCACATGGATCAGCCTCACAGACAGGTGAGTCTGTAGCTCTTACCAGACCCTTGTTCACATCCATGAACTTGGCTGTGGATCACCAGGGAAACTGGGTGAGGTTCTGCCATCCAGGGGTTTTGTCCTGAGAACTTGGCTTTTAGAACATTCTCTCTGGTTTTTTGCTTGGGGGTGGGGGTCTGGTGCAGGGTGCTGGGTCTGTGTTTGGAGGAGGCCAGCCCGTAGGCTGGGGGCCTGAGACACTGTGCACTGGCGTGATGCGTCTGCCGCCCATCACCAGCTTGCAGGGGCATCCACGGCTGAATCCTCTGCTCTTCCAGGAAAGACTTATGCTTCTCATGGTCCTAGTTCTCATGCTGATCTTTCTACTTGGCAAAATTCACCAAGGGTGACTTGGGTTTTTGGTGGCAACTCTGGGAACATTTGGCTTGAAAAATTGTTCATTTAAGAGATTCTTTAGAGAAGAAAATGAGTAAGATTCCCTAGGCCTAAATGCAGAGGCCTCCAAATGAATTTCTGAATAAAAAAGTATTTCGCTAAGAGACTGTTTGGCCAATGCTAATGACTGACTTGACAAACCGCCCCTCACCCGCCTGCCCTCCATGTCCCCCTGTGTCTAGCCCTCCTCCTCCCCCTCGTCCTTTCCTGTTTCTCTCCTTCCACACCTCCATCAACTGCTTCCTCCTGTCCCCTGTATCCAGATGCCCTACCTTTTCCCAACAATTCTCCCACCACGCTGTAACCTAAACTTCCCCCATATTCCTTGAAGCTGGAAACAAAGGGCTGACAGCAATCATTGAAGGCCTTGGATCCAAAGTCCTTCTCATGCACTTCACTAGCCCTTATCACTCTTGTCCTGCCAGTAAAGAAACCAAATGGGCCAGGCACGGTGGCTCACACCTGTAGCCGGGCGTGGTGGTGGGTGCCTGTAGTCCCAACTACTTGGGAGGCTGAGCAGGAGAATAGTGTGAACCCAGGAGGCGGAGCTTGCAGTGAGTGGAGATCGCGCCACTGCACTCCAGGCTGGGCGACAGAGCGAGACTCCATCTCAAGAAAAAAAACAAAAAAAAAAAACAAAGGAAAAAACCTCCAAGCAGTTGTGCAGATTACTCCTGCAAAACAGACCATGGGAAGCTTTGCAGTTAGGGATGCTAAGGGAAGGGGCCGTTGAAGAGCCTTCTTCAGGTTCCAGAGGCCTGTGCATGTTTATGCTCCCAAAGCAAACTGAGTCCTTAGTCAATTCACAAAAAAAGTGTAGCAATTTTAGAAAAATTTGGCCCTTATTGCAGTATCCAATTAAACCTAGAAATCCTCTCAATTGTCATTCTGTGAGAGATCTGGAATAAACCTGGGTAGTCTATCAGAAGAGAATGCTTTTTCCTCCTTAGATAGGGCATGTCCTAAATAATAAACTATGTTTTTGCAAAATGGTAATGTGTCTTCTGAAACATTATGTCCCTTTTCTACCAAGGCTGAGAGAAAGTCAGTGGAATCTTTTTCGCAGGCTTCTTTGCTCTCTGAGAAAAGTAGATCATCTATATATAATATCAGAACCAAATCCATAGAAATTCAGATCTTTTATGTTTTGTTTCGTTTTGTTGTTGTTGTTGTTATTTTTGAGACAGGGTCTCACTCTGTCACCCTGAGTATTTCAGGCTGGAATGCAGTGGTGCAGTCATAGCTCACTGCAGCCTCAACCTCCTGGACTCAAGTGATCCTCCCACCTGAGCCTCCCAAAGTGCTGGGATTACAAGCATGAGCCACTACACGTGGCCATCTTTTAAGTCTTGATTGAGGACCTGCAAAAAATAGGAGGGAGCTTCCTTGAGACTCTAAGGCATAACTGTCCAGGTATACTCTTGTCCTACCCAGGTGAAGATGAAGGGTACTGGATGTCTCTATGCGGGGCACACTGAAAAAGATGAAGAATCTCTATCATGATGGCAAGTGGTTTCAGGAGGAGTTGATAGCAGGAAGGGGTTTGGGTTAGGAGCCACTGGGAAGCAAGAGATAACAATTTTGTTGATGGCCTTGAGACCTTGAAAAATTGACATCCTCATCCATTTGGTTTCTTTTTTTTTTTTTTGAGATGGAGTCTCGCTCTGTTGCCCAGGGTGGAGTGCAGTGGCACAATCTCAGCTCACTGCAAGCTCCGCCTCCCGGGTTCGTGCCATTCTCCTGCCTCAGCCTCCCGAGTAGCTGGGACTATAGGCGCCCACCACCATGCCTGGCTAATTTTTTTGTATTTTTAGTAGAGACGGGGTTTCACCATGTTAGCCAGGATGGTCTCGATCTCCTGACCTCCTGATCTGCCTGCCTCAGCCTCCCAAAGTGCTGGGATTACAGGCGTAAGCCACTTTGCCCGGCCAGTGCTTGGGGTTTTTACTTAACTTCCTGGGAACCGTCAAAGACCCTGGACTCACTATGGCTTTACCCTTGATCTGGGTGCAGAGGCTTATTCTCCTTGTTTTAGGACAATAGCTGATGCTGAAAACTTTTTGAGGCTTCTAATGAACCAGTTTGTATTAGTCCATTTTATTTTTTTTATTTTTTTGTTTTTTTGAGATGGAGTCTTGCTCTGTCGCCCAGGCTGAAGTGCAGTGGCATGATCTCGGCTCACTGCAAGATCCGCCTCCCAGGTTCATGCCATTCTCCTGCCTCAGCCTCCTGAGTAGCTGGTACTACAGGTGCCTGCCACTGCACCTGGCTAATTTTTTGTATTTTTAGTAGAGATGGGGTTTCACCGTGGTCTCGATCTCCTGACCTCATGATCTGCCTGCCTTGGCCTCCCAAAGTGCTGGGATTACAGGCGTGAGTCACTGCACCCAGCGTATTAGTCCATTTTCACACTGCTATAAAGATACTACCTGAGACTAGTGATTTATAAAGAGGTTTAATTGACTCACAGTTCCACCTGGCTGGGGAGGTCTCAGGAAGCTTACAATCATGGCAGAAGGTGAAGGAGAAGCAAGGCACCTCCAATATGGTGGCAGGAGAGAGAGAGAGAACTCACTGGAAACTGCCACTTTTAAACCATCAGATAGTGAGAACTCCCTCACTATCAGAAGAATGACATGGGAAACCACCCCCGTGATCCAATCACTTCCCACCAGGTTCCTCCCGTGACACACGAGGATTACAATTCGAGATGAGATTTGGGTGGGGACACAGAGCTAAACCATATCACAGTTCTTGTCTCCCCATTTGACCTCCTTGTTCCTGCTTCCATGCAGACATTGCTGCTGTCTGAGAATGCATACTTCCCAGGCAGCCAATTAGCATTTTAGGAGATTCTGTTCCTCTCCACTTACTGTTCACGCTGCAATGCCCTGAATCCTCCTGCTGTCATGCCCCTGCCAAGGAAAGGGAGCCTCAAGGGAGTGCTACCTCAGCCAGGGAGCCTTCTGTAACTTTTTAGGTTCACTGGAGACCTCGATGGAGAACCCTGACCTAATACTATTTGTGAATGGATTGTAGCTCAAAAGTGAAGCTGGGGGTGGTCAGGTAGGATGTGCTATCACCACCTTCTATTCTTTGTTAAGGATATCATCCTCTCCCGATGTAAAATCAACCCTGATGGCCAAGCTCACTGTGTTTACTAGAGATTGTCAGACAGTCAGAGTCCAGAGTGGCTGCACACAGAGGCAGCAGGTGGGCTTTGGGAGCAGCACACAACTGTGGGAAGCTTTGGAAACAGAGGAGGTTTCTCACTTCTACTGGGACCCCCATCCAAAATGGATAAGTTCAGAAGCTTTTAGCTGGACTCCTACTTCCTAAAGAGGTGAGGCCTTTCCCTTCTATTAAGGTTGAGGCCTAGGCAAGAAGAGACACCATGGAAACTAAAGGAAATACTTGGTCCTCATGCCAAACAGTTTTAACAAAGGCTGTGATCCTAATCTAACCCCTAAAGAATAAACCCCTGGAGGGATTCAAAGAGGCCACTATAAGATATCCACTATTATGGAAGAAGCCCGGTTGTACCGTTACTCAGATAATCTCTGGCACTTCTAAGAAGGCCTGTTGGTGGTACTAGATGATTTCAGATGAATATTGGCTAAATTTCTCAATGAAACTACTGCTCATGGTACAGACAAATTGGTTACTATCTTAAATCAATATTGGTGGGAGAACTTTAAAAAGATAGTTGAGATTATTTTAGGCACGTGTTATGACCTGTCGACAATATAATCGTGGAAAAATCCGTAAAGATGGAACATGGCCAGGGATTAAAATCTCAAGAGCCCCGTGAGCATCTTCAGATGGTGATATGGTTTGGCTCTGTGTCCCCACCCAAATCTCATTTTGAATTGTACTTCCATAATTCCCACGGGTTGCGGGAAGAACCCAGTGGGAGAGAATTGAATCATGGGGGCGGTTTCCCCATGCTGTTCTCATGGTAGTGAATAAGTCTCATGAGATCTGATGGTTTGATAAGGGGAAACCGTTTCACTTGGCTCTCCTCTCTTTTGCTGCCAGCACATGAGACGTGCCTTTCACCTTCTGCCATGATTGTGAGGCCTCCCCAGTCACGTGGAACTCTAAGTCCAATAAACCTCTTTCTTTTGTAAATTGCCCAGTCTCATGTATGTCTTTATCAGCGGTGTGAAAACAGACTAATACAGGTGGATTTTACCTGGCTTCTGCCCGCCGTGAGAGTTGAGGATGTTTGTTATTGCATGTCTGTTTTCAGGGTGGGTTAAAATATTTCCTTACCAAAAAGCCACAGCCCTTACAGTTCCTAAAAAGCTGCTTGCTTTCATGTTTCCAACCTGGAGCATCTCAGCTTTCACATCAAGTGACCAAGGCACACACTCTATGGAGCCATTATAAGAGGATCCTATAAAGTGTTACCTCCTACCCCCAAACCACACTGCCTTCACTACCCATATATTCTGAATAGATTGAGAGAGCCAATGGCATCCTTAAATTAAAGGTAGGAAAAATTTCAGAAACCCTGGAGCTCCTTTGGCCAAAGGTAATCCCACTCCCCTTCAGGCCGTATGGTTCCCTCCTTCAGGGTGACATCAATTACCCTCTGAACTGGTGCTATAGACTGAATGTCTCACCAAAACTTGTATGTTGAAATCCTAACCACCAATGTGATTTATTAAGAGTGGGGTCTTTGGGAGGTGAGTAAGTTATGATGGTGAAGCCCTCACAGATGGGGTTAGTGCCCTTATAAACAGAGGTCCAGGGGAGACCCATAACTTCTTCCACCATTTGAGGTGATGGTGAGAAGATGGCCTTCGATGATGACCTAGGACCTCACCAGACACTGAATCCGATCACTGCCTTGATCTTGGACTTCCCAGCCTCCTGAACTGTGAGAAATAGATGTCTGTTGTTTATAAGCCACCCAGTCTGGTATTTTGTTATAGCAGCCTGAATGGACTAAGACAACTTGTAATGCATTTAGGGATTTCATCTCTGATACTAGCCTCTGCCCTGCTGCACCCAGACGAGCAAAATACTGGTGATGTTCAATATTCAACAGCCCCCTTCTTACAACATCTTCCTAAATAGCTTCTTCATGATCTTCAACCTGGAGATTTTGTCTGTTAGAAGAGATGTCTGAGAAAATTGCTCTTAAATTGTGTTGGAAGGGACTTACCATCTACGTTAACAACAACCACAGCAGTGAAACTCCAGTAACATTTCACAACTTGCTAAAGAAGCAATCCAGAATCCCACACAATTGGAAGCCTCTTCCAAGAGCAGACCTCACGCTTTAGAGATTCCCCACAAGGAACCCATCTTAGGAAGTAGGAAGCTGACTCAAGACCTTTAGAACAAGCTCAAACAGTGGAAAGTTTCTGCTTAAGACATTCAAGACTCTGATTCCTGTTTTAGTTTTCATCTTTTGCCTATGATCATTCTTCTAATTTTCTATAGGCCTCTTGTTGCTGTCCACTCATAATGACCCCTTTTTTCTCTTTTTTTCCCTTTTTATAATAGATCAGAAAATAGTCTAACACCATTCTCAGATTATCCCAGACAGTAGTCAGTGCCCTCAATCTTACTGACTACAGGACATGCCATCAATCACCACATTCCAATGATGAAAACCTCTAGGCAATTCTAGTTTTATTAAATGAGACATAGTGGATCACAGCTGATAGCGTTTCCACTTGCACCTACATGAACAATAAAACCTAAAACTAAATTTACATTCAACAACCTTCACAGAGTGATAGACCAATATTTGCCACCTTAAAGATATCAACAGAGACCCAGTTAGCATAACCCAGCTAATGTAAAACCTTGGTTCCAACCTAGTGTCATAGACAAATCCCTTTTTTCCTGGATCTCCATGCACCCCTATTGGATACTACTTTCTTTGGGTCCAGAGCTGATTGCTCTCATGAACTTTATTTTTTATTTTTATTTATTTATTTATTTATTGAGACAGAGTCTTGCTCTGTCTTCCAGGCTGGTGTGCAGTGGTGCAATCTTGGCTAACTGCAACCTCTGCCTCCTGGGTTCAAATGATTCTCCAGCCTCAGCCCCCTCAGTAGCTGGGATTACAGGCACCAACCACCACACCCGGCTAATTTTTTTATTTTAATTTTAATTTTTTTAAAATTTTTGTATTTTTAGTAAGATAGGATTTTGCCATGTTGGCAAGGCTAGTCTTGAACTCCTGACCTC
Organism: Homo sapiens; assembly: GCF_000001405.40. NCBI lineage: Eukaryota > Metazoa > Chordata > Mammalia > Primates > Hominidae > Homo > Homo sapiens. Next base: position 80,103,197 of record NC_000018.10, read on the forward strand.
AGGTGATCTGCCCACCTTGGCTTCCCAAAGGGCTGGGATTACAGGCATGAACCACCTTGCCCAGCCTCTCACGCACTTTAGGAATAGGATTCTGAGACTTGTCTGTACATAGAGACTCTAATTTTAGAAATCACCAAGGCTGGAAATCCGGCTGATCATTCAGGCACTATTCCTGGAGAAATTACTGACTCATTGTTTATACGAACAACCAGAGCTGTATTCCCAGAGGTGGGAATCATACAAGTAGAGGAGACTTTGAGAAAATTACTACTCACTCTGGCAGAAGTGTGAACACCACCTCCCGTGCCCTGGATGGAACACAGGCCAGTCTCGACTCACTGGTATACTTGGTGATGAACAAGCCCATTGCTCTAGATTTCTTGTTGGTGTCGTGGCATCTGTGCTGCTGCTAGTACTTCTCACTGCACTTGGATGAACAGAACAGGCAAAGTGGAAGAGACTATACAATGCCATAAGGAAAAAACTATTTATCTCTTTAAGGCTGATCCTCACGGCTTATGGGATTTGTTCTCTTGTCCTGGGATGGGAAACTGGTGTTCCCAGTTCAGAAGCATCTTATGAGAACTATTAGTCTTGTTTTGTCACAGTGGTCATGATGCTGTTGGTTGCATCCTCTGCAGAGTCTGCAATGCTTCTGTGCAGCTGCTCTGTCATCAGATGATCTCCATGATGCTACAACAACACAAATAAAAGAATTCTCATGAAATGATTGCCTATGGAGGCAACCAGACAACCCCCAAGCTGTGAAGATCTGGATCTCTAGCCTCCCCTGAGCTGTCCAAACTCTCCAATGAGAGAATGACCAAAAGGGGAAGGGAGACCAAACTGAATGTGCCAACAGACAATGGTCTGACCGTGTAAGACGATCTCTGACCTATGCCTCTGCAGCAATCAGACCAGAATGGCCAGGACTTAGTCAATGACTGCCAGTTTTCCATGCTTTTATTGTTTCCACTTCCAATTCAGGACCAACTAGAGAAAGCCAAGCATATTTCCAAAGCCAGTAAATCCACAAAAACAAGCGCCCACCTCTGGGGCCTGCCTCCAGCTCTCCATGCCAACAACTGCAGGTTCCCTCCCCTCCGAAGTTTCTCTCAAGGCTGGCCACTTCTTTTCATCTTCACTGCCATCACCCTCATTTAAGTTCCCAGCTGTCATCGTTTTTCACCAGGACTGCTCCCACAACCTCCTCTTAAGCCTCATCTTCCCTTCCTCAATCAACATTCCTTTCTCCGCAGGACAAGCCCTGCTGTACGTTTCAAATGCAGATGTGATCTTATCAACCCGGTCACTGAAACCACTTCCTTGGCTTCTCCTTGGTCTTAATAAGACCCAAATGGCTTCCTAGCCTGGCCCTGGCCTCCCCTGTGATCCTCGTCTTCCTGTGGCCTGCACTTTGACTGCTCTGGTCTGGCTGTGCCAGGCTCCCTCAGGCGCAGGCCTTCTTTGGGGCCTCTCACAGACCTCTCTTCTCCGCCTCTCACAGCTCTGCTTTGCCAGTGTTTACTTATCCTCTGATCCCAGACCCTGCTTCTTGGAGACTGCTGGTCTACATCAGGTTTCTGGGTCACAGGCATATATGGAGATTTCCTTTCTCAGGAGCATTGACCAAGGTTTATAATTATATTTTCATCATGTAGTTATTTCGCGGATGCCTTTCTCCTCCATTAGCTTAAGCTCCAGGAGAGCAGGGATGGAGTCTGCTCAGCACTGTATTATTGGTGCCTGCTGGACCTACACAGAGCGTATGCAGAATAAAGGGGAGAAATAACCTGGTGCAGTGGTTTACGCCTCTCATTCCAGCACTTTGTGAAACTGAGGCGGGAGGATTTCTTGAGTCCAGGAGTTTGAGACCAGTCTGGATAACATAGTGAGAGATCCTTTCTCTAACAAAACCGAAGAACTTAGCCAGTCATGGTGGTCCACACCTGTAGTCCCAGCTACTTGAGAGGCAGAGGTGGGGGGATCCCTTGAGCCCAGGAGGTCGAGGCTGCAATGAACTATGATCCTATCACTGCAGCCTGCCTCTAAGAGTATGACCCTGTCTCTAAGAGAAAAAAAGAAACCTCAAAAAACAAAGTAGAGAAAGAGTACATGTAAGTTGTTCTCCAAGCTCTCCTCTCCTGTGGCTCACTGGTTTTAGATGAACTCTGCAGTTTCTTGGATTGTACACTTGCATGTGCACAGTCGTCTGTGCGTAGACCAGTCGGGCTGCTGACTACAGTTGTTCACACTTGTCTTTACACAGAGTGAGCAGAGCGGGAAGTGGGAGCTGAAATCCAGCTCGCTCTGTTCACATAGGTCTGTGCCCTGCTGTGAGGCTGGGTCTGCACAGAGGCAGAGGAAGTGATACTGAAAAACATATCAAGGCACCTTCATCTTGACCATCCAGGTCCCGGAGGACAGCAACACACCCAGAGGGCCCCTGCTTTTCTAATTCACACAACAGTGCCTGTGGCTGCCACAGTCAACTCTGGGGCTCCCTTTGTTCTGAACAACTATCTTACAAATGCCGATGCTGGTTATAGGGGGACCTAGATGAGAGAGTGGGAAGCTTCCACATGGGCCATCTTCACTTTCAAACCTAGCTGAACAACCGGGGTCGAGGAATCTACTCATACTGCCACCAAGTCTGTGGTCTTCTTGTTATTCAGGAGCGGGTGTGCAGAATAAACCTGCATGAGCTGTGACTCGCCTGGTAGATAAGTCCTGAGGCCCAACCTGTGTCTTCGGTTTGATGACTTCAGTGTGGTGCACTTTCCTGAGTCTATGAAAATAATCTTGACAAGTCCCCAGGTCACATTGCTCATTCCTTCTGTGGTGGGAGGGACAGTCCTTTTTATCTCAATGCTGTGGATGGTGGTTTTAAACTGTATTCATCAGATATCCATGCTGAAGTGTTTAAGGATGGTGTACTGATGTTTTCTAAAAAAAAAAACAGTCGAGATGAATATTTGAATACATATGCGATAAAGCAAGTAAGCAAATGTTAACTGGAAGAGCTAGGTGATGGTTGTTTTCTGAACAATTATTTCAGCTTTTCAGTACATTCAACATTTTCATAGCAAAATGCAGGGGGAAAATCATTCAACATTTAAATTTTATTATATTTATTAGATTTGTATTTATGAAAATGTTGATATTGTATTTATTAAAGTAATGTAGGCATCAGGGATACAATGATGAATGAGACACGGTCCTTACTGGTGCCCCATAGAGAGACAAGCAGTGAGCAGATAACAGTAAACAACGTGGTGAGGGCAGCAGGAGACACACACAATGTTTTGGGAATGTCAAGAAGTACCTACCATATTTTGACTGTGTGTGTGTGTGTGTGTGTGTGTGTGTGTGTGTTCAGGGAGATCTTTCTGGGAGAGAGGCCGGTAGAGTTCAGCCTTGAATGGCAATGGAATGAAAATTAGCTCAGGGGTTGGGACAGGAGTCCCATGAACAAACACCGTGTGGTGTTTACAGGCTGGGGACTGACTGGTCAGCTTTGGAGAATTTGTGTGTCGTGCTCACCAGCTGGGCTTGATTCCTGGGGGATTTTGAGTGATTGCAGCAAGAAGGGAAGGACAGTCAGGTTCACTCTCTAAAAGGGCTGACTGGGGAAAGTACCTGAGGCACCAAGCTGGAGGTAAGGTGGTGGGAGCCTGTGCAGGTGTTACAGGCAGGAGATGACCTGAATGCAGGTAGTGATAGTGCGGCTGCAGATGAGGGAAGAGATCTGACGAATATTTGGGATATAAAATTGGAAAACTGGAGATGGGGAACACACTGCTTGCTGTAGGAGAGGCTGTTGAGGAGAGAATGATGGGCTCAGATTTGAACGTTTTGAATCTGAGTTGCCTGTGGGACTCTGAAGTGGAGCTGCCCCCTTTGGCAGCCAGAAAAATAAAACTGAAACGTAGGAAAGAGATGGAGATACTGGTTTGGAATTGACATAACAAGGTTTGAATCTGTGGTCGAAATTAACAAGGGAGAAAATGCAGAAAAAAATGAAAGGCGTGGGAGTTCCAATACCCAGCACGGTGCCTGGCACACAGGAAGCGAGTGGCGCATATGTGCTGCACCGTGAAGGAAAAAGTCAGCAGGATCCCAGAGAACACCGCGTTCAAGGATGGGCCGGGAAGAGATGCAGGCGAAGATGAGGAAACAGTTCGTGAATATGGAGATGAAAGAGCCCGTCTGGGGAGTAGTGGGTGTGGGGGGGGGCGGCTTTGTGGGGGGAGGTCTGTAGATTAGGAAACAGTTCCCGAGTTTGGAGATTAAAGAGCCCGTTTGAGGAGTAGTGGTGGTGGGGCGGCTTTGTTGCGGGAGGTCTGTAGGAAAGGGGGATTGGTCTGTAGTAACAAATGGAAGATAGATACAGAAAGACGAGGCCTAAAATCTGTTTTGGGCTCAGCAATTAGGAGGGCGCTGGTGACCAAGGCGTTTCTGCAGAGTGGTGAGGGTGGGGGCGAGAGGCGTGCAGGGGGCTGAGGAGACAGACACAGGGACTGCTGTTTTGAGAAATGTGATAAAATGAGAGGTCACTAGAGGATCAATGGGAGACTGCAGGCTTTAACTACACTTTTCATCCCACCCATAATTTTGCAAGGAAGATATATAGGGACATCACACCCATTTACCACTGTAACTCAAAGTAAAATCTTAACTTGTCAGCAAACATAAAGGGCAAACTCTACTTCAATTATGACTTGTATTCATGTAGGAAAAAAGCAAATTTTGGTCAGGTCATATCGGCCCACCATTTAACACAGTTTTAAAACGAATATGGACATTAATTTAGTGCCTATTATGTGTTTAGTCACTGGGCTAAACTGAGCAGAAGGCTCCCATTGAGAGGGAAAAGCTGAAATTATGGACGAGCGGATGGTGACAAGGAGGCTCTGGAGAGGGCGGTGGGCGGAAGGCCCAGCCTGGGCACGGCCTCTGCCCCGCGGTGGCTGGAGTGGGCCTCAGGGCTGGAGGCTGGCGGCGGGTTGCAGGGGCTCGGCGCTCTGGAAGGAGACGTGGCCTTGTGCTGAAAGGGGCACGTGTCCTGCAGACGGCTTCGCCAAGAAGGAACTGCCTGGAACAGCCACTGAGGGCGCGGCTGAGTTAGGGTCAGGGGAAGGAACACTGGAGGGGAGTTAGGGTCAGAGTCAGGGTTAGTGCTAGGTGAGGTTCAGGTGCAGGGTCAGAATTAGGGTTAAGGTTAGGGGCACTGGGGGAGGCGCCTGCGCTGCCCTCGTGGTTACTCCCACGTGCTCTGGGGCACGAGGGCGTCCGCCAGAGGCCTGGGGACTCCACGGAACGAAGACCTAGAGCCATTTTGAAAGCCCTACGCCATGTTTCCACTAATTTTGTGGAATAAATTATTATTGCTACACAATTGATAAACACCTGTGCAAAAATGAACTTTTAGGTTAAGAGTTTATACAAATGTATGCAATTAACCCTCTCCCCACACAACTTGTAGTAGATCTAAAAATCAGAATTCTCAAGAGAAGGTGTGATCACTTTCCCACAGGAATGATGAAGTCAGGAGACCCCAGCTAGTCGGTTCACCAGGATATGCCAATCATGGCACACTTGTCCCAGTTCTGGGAGCCAAAGTTTTGTCTTCCAATGGCAAGGCAGCATTATCACAGTTGGGCTCCCATTGGCTCTGAGATGTGGGCGGGGTCACCACTCCTGGAGCTGCCACTAGCTCCACCCCATTCCATGCAAATGAAGTCAAAGCTGTGGTGAGTCCACGTGATTAGTCACATGGTTGATGACACACTCTCCCCACCCCTTTAGTGACGTCATTGCCCACTCAAACTCTCACGAGAGTTTGCACAGATGTGGAAAGGAGCTGGCAGGGCAGTTCCCTGGGACAGAAGGGAGTCAGGGGGTCCAACAGGGGCCCCCCACTGCCACCCCAGAGCCTCCAGTCCATCTTTAGCCAGGGGCCCCGGGGGGCCTGTGGGAAGTGCCAGGGGCCCCCAAGCACACTCTGCTCTCATTGGCTGGCTGCGCCTACATGCAAATGAGGGCCAACGTCACTTCCTGAGGCCAATCGAGCGCCATTTTCTCTTTCTGGCTGCGCGGGAGGAGGGGACCAGTCGCGCTGGGGGTGGGCGCGCGCTGAGGCGGGGGTCCCGCCGCGCGGGGCGGAGGCGCGGGCGGGCGCAGGCGGCCCCACGGGACGCGGCTGCGCTCGGCGGAAGACGCGGCAGCCCTGCGAGAGGCAGCAGCGGAGACGCGGTGCTCCTCGGGCGCCAAGCGGTAGGTACGGCCCGGCCCGGCGCGGGCCCGCGCGGCGACGCCCCCTGCCCCGGTCCTGGCCCCCGCCCCAGTCTGGTCCCCTCCGAGCCCCGCCCCCGCCGGTACCCAGCCCACACCCACGCCCGCCGCCTGCCCTCGCGCCGCCCGTGGCCGCCTCGGGAATCCCGGGACGTTCTCAGGGCGCGGGTTCGCGGCCCGAACGGCGCCCGTCGACCCCCGACGCGCCCGCGGCCCGCCCCGCCCGCCGCCGGTCACGTGGGAGCGGGGGCCGCCCCGGGAGGGCGGAGAAGGGGATGGGGACCTGAGGGGAGAGTAGGAATAGGGGAAAGACGAGGACGGGGACCGAGGGAGAGAGGGGGGCTGGTGAAGGGAGCGAGGAGTAGAGGGAGAGGGAACGGGGATGGAGAAGAAGAGAGGGGGCAAGGAGCTGTGGCGACCCCTGTAAGGACTCCAGAAACGCCCCGCCCGCTGGCCCGCCCGCCGCATCCCCGAGACCGGGTTCTCCTGGAAGCTTCTCTCTGGAGGAGCCTTGAGTGACGGCAGATGTAGGTCAGGAGCTGACGGTGACACCTAAATCTGCCCAGGTTTTTTTTTCCCTAGAAAGGTTTGAAGAACAGCTGATAACGGGGCCCTGTTTCTTCATCGTTGAGCTTTTGATGCGAATATCAATAATTGATATACAGATGTTGACTTTAACATTACTTTTCATCTGCCGTTGCTGGTTGCATTGAAATAGATTCCGTTTACAAAATTTCTACTACAGTTGACTTTGGAATGTTAATTTTAACTGCCCTTTTAAATACTGTACAGATGCAGAATGAGAAATAATTAGATATTTTAAGTAGTTTATTTGAACAGAAGACTTGCCTGCGTGCTTAAAACTTACTCTATTTGCACGGGTAATCACTGCCTCTTGGGATCTTGAGGAATATACTGGCTGTGGAGGAGTGGGGTGGGGGAGGAGAAACTGGTAAGCAGGTAACTGACAATGCAGATTGGCAAGTGGGGCAGCAGTTTGTAGAGTACTGTGGGCATCTGCCACGCAGAGCCTTTATCAAAAGAGGGGGTTTGGAGTCTGGGTACCATTTTTGGGGGTGAGGAGCATTAGTGGGAGAGAGGACCACATGTAAAAAGAGTTGTGTAAAGTACATGTTCAGCTGTATTTGGAAGTCGGTAATGTATGTGTAACTTATTTAAAGATGTTCTTGGAGAGTTGGCCATGTATGAGTGTGTATTAATATTTCGGTTAAATTTCGGTTGGAGTTAGGACTTCACTGCGAAGACAGCATTGAGCCCGTCGTCCTTAAACATGAAGTGACAGATGTGTGTTAAGAAAGGAAGTACAAGAGTGAAGATGAGACAAGAGGTTGTCCTACCGGCCCTCTAGTTGAGGGGAGGAACAGTGAGGGTTAGGACATGTCTGAAAGGAGTTGATCACTGTTTATGGGGGAAGATGACAGCTATGCTAAGATTTTTAGCTGAAGAGATTCTGGGATTTGGGAGACACGTTTTTAATTTGAACCCAAGTTTGCAATATGCTGTTGGTTAATTTATGATTGCCCTCATAAGTTCACCAATAGCATATTGCAAACTTGGTTTCTGCCCTGCCCTTCATCCTCTGGCTATCCTAGACCTGTTAGGGCAATGTGTTACATAGGTGGAAACCGGTATCTCCCAGTGATTTGAACCCAGATCTGCTGAATATATGATCCAAGTATTCTGTGTTTTTAAAGTTGCTTTTTAAAAAGTCCTGTATTCCAATAGTTGGGACATTTCATTTAGTTTTTTGGAGTTAATTAATAGCAAACTCAGTGCTTATGTGCTGTTTTGCATGTATTAACTCATTTATCCTCATAACTACTCTGTGAATTAGGTCATACTCGCCCTGTTTTACAGAAGAGCCAGCTGAGGCCTGGAGAGAGTAAGTGATTTCCTGAAGATTACACAGCTCATAAATGGTGGAGCTGATGTAAACCCGGGCACACAACTCCAGAATCCTTTTTGGTGACCATCGTTTTGTGCGATTTCACAGGAACTAAAAAAAAGTTCTGTGGCTTAAAAAGTATTGTTTATTACTGTATTACCTGAATGACATTTTTTTTTTTTTTTTTTGAGACGGAGTTTTGCCCTGTCGCCCAGGCTGGAGTGCAGTGGTGTGATCTCGGCTCACTGCAACCTCTGTCTCCCGGGTTCAAGCGATTCTCCTGCCTCAGCGTCCCGAGTAGGACCCAGCCAATTTTTTGGTAATTTTTAGTAGAGACAGGGTTTCACCATATTGGTCAGGCTGGTCTCCAACTCCTGACCTCAGGTGATCTGCCCGCCTTAGCCTTCCAAAGTGCTGGGATTACAGGTGTGAGCCGTTGCACCCGGCCAACATTTTCTTTTAGAATGTATTTTTTTTTCTATAATAGAATATCCTTACGAGATCATTATACTAAAAAATCCCCAGAGAAGTCCTTTATGTACCCTTTTGGGAAATAATATTTTCTTGTGCATATCAGTGGAATTTTATGGTAGTTCCATGCCTACCCTAAACATTAGGAATTGAGATTTATTTTGAATTGAAATTGATAGGTTGGTGCATGATGTGGAAATAGTTGGCCGCCCCGGTTAGCCTGCTGTTTTCTAATGGTGAAAATACAGATTTTACTGAGCTCTAAGATTCTATGGAGAACAGTATCTATAGAGGATCTATAAATATGAAAACATTGAACTATTTCATAGTTAATTCATCCACTGGGCATTTTACATGGAATATTTTATCTTAGGATTGATAAATTATGCTATAAGAATGGATCTAAGAATGAATAAATTGTGGTAGCTTAGAATGGATAAATTATGGGTAAAAGTCAGCTTCCCATCCCCAAAGTGGTTGGCAACAGTTATGAAACCTGTAATTTACTTGCATTTTATTTTTTATCCTTTGTTGGTTTCCCTAAAGCAGTTAGGAAACTGCTAAACAAAAAAAAAAAGGAGGGGGGAACTTTTCCCCCTCCTTTTTTTAAATGAAAAGGTATTTGTGTGCTTGTGTTTTGTTTTGTTTAGAAGGGCCACAATAACGATGAAGGAATGGAAGCACTTTCATTTGAGAATAAAAAGTTCCTATTTTTCAAATTCAAGGGAAAAAAATAAAAAAGTGACAACTCCTTGGCCCTAGTCCCAAGCCTTGAACAAGTAACCACAGACCCCTGCCCAATCTCTGAGAGCCTCATTTTAGTAACCCCTTTCTGAGGTTCATGTATGTACAACCATGCTTACATGAATCAGCCAATCCCCAATCACTCTGCTTTTAAAAGTCCACCAGTCTTTGTATCCCAGGCTTCTCAAAACTCTGTGATAAGATCAGCTCTGGCTGTGTGAGTTGAGATTTTCTTGGAAGCAGTAAATTTAGCTTCCCTGTTTCAGATACATATGGATGATGGTCCCTACTTTAGACAACACTGTTTGTCAGCCAGCTTTTGGAGAAGAACCCCAGAGGATAGAGAGGATAGTGGAACTTTAAGGAGGAAATGAAATCAAGTCTGATAGAGTCCCTGGAAAGCAGCTAACAAAATTTTCGTTGAGTTTTGCTCTGACCAAAGAAGCTGGACTGGGCCAGAAAGTGACCTTGAGCTTAGTGTTTAGAAATGCATAATGAGGTTATGGCAGCTCTTGTGTGAGAGTGTAAGCTTTTGAAGGCTAGAACCCAAATCAGTGCATTTTATTAAAGAAAATTTTTAAACTTAAAATTTTATAAAGAAAATTTTTAAATTTTTATCCTCCCAGTTCTACAATGCTAATGATCCTTAAATCTCTCCTTTTGCTGAGACCAGGATACATTTTTCACATAGATAACTTTGAAAAGAAATTTATCCGCTTCAAAACAGCTTCTCAAAAACTTGGTGTTTGCTTGTTACCCACCAAAAATTTCTCCCTATTATATGTTAACCCTTTCTGCCTCCCACTCCTCTCCCAGTTTGATTCCAGTCCACCTTTTTGGTTTTACTTTTGCCAAATAAATTCAGACTTTTCCTTCTTTACCTCAATAATTTTTTGATGCTAATTTATTCACCTTGTATGTCTTGGGCACCAGCTTTCCATAGCCATGTCCTCTTTAGAACCTCCTAGCACTTTCTGCATATCTTACGGTTCTTATCCTGTTTTATTTTATATCTTTTGTTCATTTAATGAACATTTGCTACGTACTGTGCTCTGTGATGGGACCCTCTCAAGCAAATATAACATGATTTCTGCCCTGGAGTAGTTCAGCCCAATAGGAGAAATGGATATATAAGTAGATAATTGCAACATGGTGAGTCGAGTGCAGTGGAGTGGTATGTGGTTATGGTACTAAGTCCTAGGAGGGATCACTAAGCCTGTCCTTGGGTGGTGGATACAAGAGAGGAATGTAGAAGTAGAATTGCTTACTCAGAAATTGTCCTTAAAAATCATGAGAGAGCTGGGCATGGTGGTTCATGCCTGTAATCCCCGTACTTTGAGAGGCTGACGGGGAGGATTGCTTGAGCTCAGGAGTTCAAGACCAGCCTGGGTAACATAGGGAGACCCTGTCTCTACCAAAAAATAAAAAAAAGTTAGCCAGGTGTGGTGGCATACATCGGTAGTCCAAGCTACTCATGAGGTTGAGGCAGGAGGATTGCTTGAGGTTGGGAGGTTGAGGCTGCAGTGAGCTGTAATCAAGCCACTATACTCCAGCCTGGGTGAAGGAGCAAGACCCTGTCTCAAAAAAAAAAAAAGAAAAAAAAGATCTTGAGAGGTATTGCCAAATTACCCTGTAAAAGCATAAAAATTAAAATTTTTCTACTTTTACTACCACCAGATGTTAGTAATCTTAATAGTTACTGTTTTGATAATAAAAATTTGACATTTTAAATGGCATTTCTTTATTATTAAAGTTGAATAACCAAATATTTGCCACTTGAGTTTGACTGATATATATTTTAGCTTTTATAGCCTACACATTTAAATTTTGGAATAGTTGGCAGATTTTTAGGAAAGTTACAAGTATAGTACAAATAACTTTTTTCCCTGAATCACTTGAGAATAAGTTGCCAAAAAAGTTGCCACATTACCCTAAATACTACAAACAAGAACATTCTCCTACATATCCATAACAAAACCATCAAAATCAGGAAATCACTACATTCGAGCGGGTTATAGTCTATATAACTATATAGATTATCACTGTATACCAAACCACCCCAAACTTACTGGAGTAAGACATTTTATTTAAGAAGCGCATCAGTTCTCTGGGTCAGTTCTATTCAGACAGGGAAGGGAGATGGTTTGTTTCTGGTCCACAGTGTCTGGGCCTCATCTGGGAAGACTCAAAGGCAGGGGGTGACTTGACAGCTAGGGCTGGAATCCTCAAGAGGCATCTTCACTCCCATGCTGGTAGTTGATGTGGAACACCTCTACCTGGTGTCTCTGTGGGCTAGTTGGCACTTTCTACACATGTGGTATCTAGATTCTGGGCATGATCATCCTGAGAGAGGTATGTGGCATTTTTATGATCTAGTCTTGGAATTCTCATGGCATTATTTCCTCCATACTTGATTGGTCAAGGCAGCCACAAAGTTCTGCCCAAAGGTCAGGAGGGGGCATTAGATGCTGCCACTTTTGGGAGGAGTGTTAGGGCCGTATTGTAAGAGCATGTGGGTTGGAAGGTATTGTGTGTTTGGAAAATTCACTTTGCCACAGGTTGTATCTGTTACTTGATATATGCCCACATTGTCTCGTATCTGGCCTATGGGAGCCCTTTCAAGCTGGTTACTTCTGTGTTCTGTTGACATGCCTCATTGAGCAACTGCTTTATATTCCGGCACAGGATGTTCTAGGCTCATCTTGTCTTTACCATGCTCCAGCCATTTTTCCTAGGGTTCTTTTTAAAGGAAAGCGGTATTTAGGAATTCAGGTTTGAGCCCTAGTTGTGCCCACTGCTACTGGGGTGTATAACTGCATCCAGGCACTCTCAGTGGGCAGAGCTATGGAATGTATGTGTGTATGTGGACACACACTCTCAAACTATCTCTATTCTTCTATCTGTGTGTTGAAAACAATGAGTTCACTTCAGTAACCCCTAGTCTGGTCAAGTACTACAGGGTTTATTTTAATTTTGTGCCTTTTTAGATATTGTTTTAAACAGCTTGAGATATAATTTATGTACCATACAATTCACCAGTTTGAAGTGTACAGTGAATGGCTGTGGGCTCATTCACATTGCGTATACATCACCACAGTTGAGTTCAGAACGAAGAAGCCCTGCTTCCATCACTTCCCAGTTCTCCCAGCCCTGGCAGCCACTGTTGTGCTTTTTTTTTCTGGGGACGGAGTTTTGCTCTTACTGGTCAGGGTGGAGTGCAGTGGCGCGACCTCGGCTCACTGCAACCTCTGTCTCCCAGGGTCAAGCAATTCTCTTGCCTCAGCCTCCCGAGTAGCCGAGATTACAGGTGCCCAGCTAATTTTTTGTATTTTTAGTAGAGATGGGGCTTCACCATATTGGCCAGGCTGGTCTTGAACTCCTGACCTCAGGTGATCCACCCACCTTGGCCTCCCAAAGTGCTGGGATTACAGGTGTGAGCCACTGCACTCGGCCCACTGTTGTGCTTTCTATGGATTTGCCTGTTCTGGACACTTCACATAAATAGAATCATACAATATGTGGTCCTTGTGTCTGGCTTCTTTTACTTAGCATATTTCCAAAGTTTGTCCATATTGTAGCATGTATGTATTTCATTTCTTTTATGGCCAAATAATCTATTGTATGGATATGTCATATTTTATTTATCCAGTCATCAGTTTATTTATCAAATGCCCCAATGCAGGGGCATTTGGTTTGTTTACACATTTTGGTGACTGAATAGTGTTGTCATGAACATCCTTATATAAGTTTTTGGGTGGATGTATGCTTTTCTCTTGAGTGGAATTGCTGGTTCATATGTTACCTATATTTTTAATCTTTTGTGGGACAGCCAGACTGTTTTCAGGCACACATGAAGACTGGCTGCACTGGTATACATTACTATTAGGAATGTATGAGAGTTCCAATTTCTCCACGTCCTTGCCAACACGTTTCCTTTTTTTTTTCTTTATAGATATCCTGGTGGGCACAGTATCTCTTTGTGGTTTTAATTTGCATTTCTCCAAATGGCTAATGATGTTGAGCATTTTTTTTTGTTTTGTTTTAAGATAGGGTCTCACTCTGTTGCTCAGGCTGGAATATAGTGGCGTGATCAGACTCACTGCAGCCTTGACCTCCTGGGCTCGGGTGATCCCCTCACCTCAGCCTCCTGGATAGCTGGGACTACAGGTGCGCACCAGGATGCCTGGCTAATTTTTGTATTTTTTGTAGAGGCAGGGTTTCACCATGTTGCCCTGGCTGGTCTTCAACTCCTGAGCTCAAACAGTCTGCCTGATCTGTGTACCTCAGCCTCCTGAGCTGCTGGAATTACAGGCGTGAGCCACTGTTCCCTGCCTGAGCATCTTTTCATGTACCTTAGTGGACATTTTTCTTTGGAGAAGTGTCTATGATCCTTTGCCCATTTGTAAACTGGGTTATCTGTGTTTTAATTATTGAGATACAAGAGTTATCTGTATTCTGCATATAAGTTCCTTATTAGAAAGGAATAATGGTTTGCAAATATTTTCTCCCGTTTTGTGGGTTTTTTGCTTTTTTGATGGTGTCCTTTGAAGCATAAAAATTTTTAATTTTGGTGAAGTCCATACCTATTTTTTCTTTCATTACTGGTGCTTTTTGGTGTCCTATCTAGGAATTCCTTGCCGAATCTAAGGTCATCAATGTTTATGCTTACGTTTTCTTATAAGAGTTTTATAGTTTTAGGTCTTACATACAGGTGTGTGATCCACTTTTGAGTTAATTTTTGTATATGGTGTAAGGAAGAGGTCAACCTCATTCATTTGCATATGAATGTTCACTCGTTCTACAACAATTTGTTGAAAATTATACTCTATTCCTAGTGTTTTACCAACCCTGTCAAAAAATGTATTTTTGTGTATTATATACATGTACTTATTACAGTTTTGTTTTCTTTCCTTTTAAGGAAAATTTCAAAAATGTTTCAAATTCCTGTGGAAAATCTTGACAACATCAGAAAGGTGCGAAAAAAGGTGAAAGGTATTCTTGTGGATATTGGGCTTGACAGCTGCAAGGAGTTACTGAAGGTAAGAGGACGTAAGTAGCCAACTGGAATCTGGAGGTGAGATTTGAACTCGGGTTTTTGAAGAGTGGGTAAGATTCCTCAAAATGGAAATTGCTGTTATACTTCAGATGGCTGTGTGAAAGCCTCATTAGTACTTATTTATGTCTTTATGACATAAAGTGAGCTATTTAAGCTGTTCAGGTTTTTAAGCTACTTTAAGGAGGGGATTTTTCTAGTCATTAGTTACTAAAAAATTGTTTTTGATGTTTGAGGGAAATGTGATTTGTTATTTTAGCAAAAGAAAACTAACTTAATTTCCCAGTATTGTTAGAGCAATCAACAAATGGGCATGCATAAATGAAATGATAGGGTTTTTTTTAATCCTGATTTGTGTAGTTGTATATGTGATCTCAGAAAAGTTTTCCTAAAATTTTGTCTGTCCTTATAACATTGAGAATACATAGTTGGCATATATAGTTTTAAACAATGTTAAATAAAAGTTGTTGTATATCCTGGCCGGGCATGGTGGCTCACGCCTGTAATCTCAGCACTTTGGGAGGCTGAGGTGGATGGATCATTTGAGGTCAGGAGTTCGAGACCAGCCTGGCCAACAACATGGTGAAACCCTGTCTCTACTGAAAATACATAAATTAGCTGGGTGTGGTGGCGGGCGCCTGTAGTTGCAGCTACTCAGGAGGCTGAGACACAAGAATTGCTTGAACCTGGGTGGCAGAAGTTGCAGTGAGCCGAGATAGCACCACTGCACTCCAGCCTGGGTGACAGAGTGAGTGAGACTCTGTCTCAAAAAAAAAAAAAGTTCTTATATATCCTTGTAGTCATTGGTAATGACATTTTTGTCTCGTCTAATCATTTATAGCCTTGCTTTCCCCTTCATTAATAAATGTAGTCTAGGATCAGGTATGTATTTGGTTGTCATGTCTCTTTAGTCTCCTTTTGAGGTCAATTCAATCTTTTAAGGTGGAATTCTGTTAGGAAATTTGTTTTATTTTTAAGTAACATGTCAGTAACAACAAAAGTTTTTCATCCTAGAGTCCTTTGTTTTTGACTTGACTGGAACTGAACATTGCTCGTGAACTTTTGCTTCCTTAGCCTGAGAATGTGTTTACTCTTCTGAAGTTCTTCACGGCTGTTTACTTTTTTTTCCCAAGACTTTACTGATGCAGAGATACGGTACTTCACAAGGGAAAATTAAGAGATTTGAATGGCTTAAACTGTTAATTAGATTAACTGTTGAATTAGTAAAACTATTTTGGGGAGAAAATTTTATTTGTAATTGGGCCTATAATGAAATTTTTGAAAATTCAAGTAATACAGAAGTTTTTTATAGGAAAATGAGAAAACAGACACAGAAACAAGACAGTAAGACTCACGCGTAAACCATTACCCTGAAATATCCAGAATTAACGTTGTTATATATCTATAGATTTTTAAAAACGGGATATATTCACATTTTTTTTCTTAAAAGGATATAATCAAATTGTATAAGCTACTGCACCAGCTGTTGTTTCTTTTTCACTGAACCGCATAGTGAGAACCTTTTTCCATGTGAAGTGCGTTTATTCTTAATCCACCACAGCAATTAGAGTTCTTTGTTTTCAAGCAGCAGAAACCAATCTGACCAATTTACACAAAAGGAGATTTATTGGAAGCCTCTTGGGGGGCTTAGGCAGGAGAATGGCATGTACCCAGGAGGCGGAGCTTGCAGTGAGCTGAGATGGCGCCACTGCATTCCAGCCTGGGTGACAGAGTGACAGACTCCGTCTCAAAAAAAAAAAAAAAAAAAATCCAAGCTGACTGGAGAACCAACCCTGTAGAGAGAAAGAACCAAGGAAACTACCTGTCCATCGTCCTCACTGCTGCCTTGCTCTGTATTTCAGATTTCAGAGTGGTATGTCGCTCTGCCTTCTTGTAAGATTTACACAGCACATGTGACTTCAATCTTAGCAAGAGTTAACACCTCCAATAGGAGGCTGTTCTTGTCAGTAGCCTGGCTGAGAAAAGTAAGCCCTAGGAAAGGTAGACTCTTCCACGAATCTAATATTTTCTAAACTATATCTAAACCCTGCTGCACATAGAAACTCTTTAGGAGTTGTTTTTTATAAAAATTAACATCTGATCAGAAATTAACATTGGATCTGGGATGGGCGAGGGACCCTTGTCAAGTTACCTGCCAAACATACCTTGGTGCTGCCAGTGCAGGACAGGAATGGTTGCCACCTTGCTGCACACTGAGATGCCACAGCAAGTGCATTCAACCACCTCCCCCCCAACCCCCAATCTGTGCCAGCCCCCAACTTGGGACTACAGTGGAATGTGGACCTCTTGACAACTTGGTACAGTCCCAGGTGGAAGATGTGAGTGAGAGAGTGGTTATAGGGGTGGGGACTGGGAGGAAGGCTGAGGCCAAGTGGGCTTTGGGGTGAGGGCAAGGCAGAGAGCAGTATCAGACCTGGCCCTGGAAAGGGTAAAGGAGGCAGACCATGTGTGAGCTGAGGCTCCGAGCCCTTGGCATATGCTCCATGTCCCATCAGAGTTCACTTTTATAATATAAAACACAAATTCAAAGATAGATTGTTAAGAATTCACGATGGTTACCACTGAGCATTAAATCCCTTGAGCACAGGCTTTGTGCAGCTGTGCTAGTTGCATGCCCATGGAGCTGGCCCTGACTGGTATATTCTTTTCTTTTTTTTTTTTTTTGAGACAGGGTCTCGCTCTTTTACCCAGGCTGGAGTGCAGTGGTACAATCATGGCTCCCTGCAGCCTTGATTTCCTGGGCTCAGATGATCCTCCTAACTCAGCTTTCTGAGTAGCTGGCACTATAGGTGCATACCACCACACCTGGGTAATTTTTTTTTGTATTTTTTTATTGAGTCGAGGTTTCACCATGTTGCTCAGGCTGGTCTTGAACTCCTGGGCTCAAGCGATCCACTTACCTTGGCCTCCCAGAGTGGTGGGATTATATGTGTCAGCCACTACACCTGGCCCATGACTGGTATTTTCTTTTATTCATTTATTTTTTTTTGAGATGGAATCACTCTGTCACCAGGCTGGAGTGCAGTGCTGCGATCTCTGACTCACTGCAACCTCCGACTCCCTGGTTCAAGTGATTCTCCTGCCTCCGCCTCATGAGTAGCTGGGATTACAGGCACGTACCACCAAGTCCAACTAATTTTTGTATTTTTAGTAGAGATGGGGTTTCACCATGTTGGCCAGGATAGTCTCGATCTGTTGGTGGACACTTGGATTGATTTCACCTTTTGTCTCTTGTGAATTATGCTGCAATGAACATTGGTGCACAAGTATTTGTTTGAGTCCCTGTTTTCAGTTATTTTGGGTGTATATACCTAGGAGTGGAATTTTTGGGTCATATAGTTATTCTGTTTACTTTTTCAAAGAACTGCCAAACTTTTCACAGTGAAAGTGCACCATTTTACATTCCTACCAGAAGTGTACAAGAATTAAATCTGTTCACATCATTACCAACACTTACTTTTTTCTCCTTCCTCCCTTCCCTTCCTTTCTCCCTCTCTGCTTCCTTCCCTCTGTCCCTCTTCCTTTTCCTTTCTCCCTCCCTCACTTGCCATCCTAATAGTGTAAAGTGGAATCTCATGGTGGTTTTGATTTGCATTTCCGTAGACAAATGAGTTTCAGCATCTTTTCATGTGCTTATAAGCCATTTGTATATCTTCTTTGGAAAAATGCCTGTTGGCAGGTTCTTTGCCTGTTTTTTAATTGGGTTGTTTGTCTTTATGTTGTTGAAATACAGTAATTTCCTTATTCTGGGTATTAAACCGTTATCAAATACGTGATTTGCATATATTTTCTTCTACAGGTTGTCTTTACTTTCTTGATAACATCTTGTTGCACAAAAGTTGTTAATTTTGATGAAGTCCAATTTATCTATTTTTTCTATTGTTGTTGGTGTTTTTTATTTCATATCTAAGAATCCATTGCCAAGTCCAAGGTCATGAAAATTTTCTCCTATGTTTTTCCTAAGAGTTTTATGGTTGTAGTTCTCATGTTAAGTCGCTGATCTATTTTGAGTTAATTCTTATATATTGTATAAGTAGGAGTCCGGTTTCATTCTCTTACATGTAGATAGAAATTCAGTCGTTTCAGCACCGTTTCTTCTAGAGACTGTTTGTTCCCTATTGAATGGACTTGGCACCCTTATTGAAAATCAGTTGGTCCTGGATATATGGGTTTATTTCTGTACTCTCAGTTCTATTCCATTGATCTATATGTCTATCCTTATAACAATCCTATACTGGTTTTTTTTTTTGAGACTGAGTCTTGCTCTGTCACCCCGGTTGGAGTGCAGTGACATGATCTTGGCTCACTGCAACCTCTGCCTCCTGGGTTCAAGAAGTGATTCTCTTGCCTCAGCCTCTCGAGTAGCTGAGATTACAGGTGCCTACCACCATGTCTGGCTAATTTTTGTATTTTTAGTAGAGACGGGGTTTTGTGATGTTGGCCAGGCTGATCTTGAACTCCCAACCTCAAGTGATCCACCCACCTCAGCCTCCCGAAGTGCTGGGATTACAGATGTGAGCCACTGTGCCCGGCACCTATACTGTTTTGATTTAAACAAATGGTAAGTTTTATAGTAAGTTTTGAAATTGGGAAGTGTGAGTCTTCCAACTGTATTCTTTATTTCAGTATTGTTCTGGCTTTTTGGGGCCCCTTGTAATTTCATATGAATATGAGGATAGACTTTTCCATTTCTGCAAAGAAGACTCTTAGAACTTTGATGAGGATTGTGTTTGACATTACTTTGGGGATTATTGACATCTTAACAACATTGTCTTCCTATTTGTGAACATACTCTGTTTCTTTAGGCCTTTAATTTCTTTCGACAGTGCTTTGTAGTTTCATTGTGTAAGGCTTTCACTTCTTTGGTTAAATTCATACAATAAACTCATAGGTATTTTGTTATAAGTGGAATTGTGTTCATAATTTCCTGTTCAGATTTTTCAGTGCAGATATATAGAAACAACTGATTTTTGTGTATTGATCTTGAATCATGCAACTTTGCTGAATTTGTCATTAGCTCTGGTAGTTTCTTGTAGATTCTTTGGGATTTTCTATATGTAGAATCATGCATTCTGCAAATAAGGCTTTACTTCTATTTTTCAGTTACGATGCCTTTTATTTTTTGCCTCATTGTTCTGTTTAGAACGTCCAGTATAATATCTTGTGGCAGCAATGAAAGTGGGGGTCCTTGTCTTGTTCCTGATATTAGGAGGAGAGTTTTTGGTCTTTTACCGTTGAATATGATGTTAATGGGTTTCTCAGAAATGCCCTTTATCTTGTTGAGGAGAGTCCCTTCAATTCCTAGTTTTCTGAGTGATTTTTTTTTTAATCATGAAAACCTGTTGGATTTTATCAGATCCCTTCTTTGTGCCAATTGTGATAACCATGTGATTTTTTTCCCCCGTGCTTCATTCTACTAATGTGGTGAATTACATTGATATATTTTCTTATGTTGAAGCCCCTTTGCATTCTTGGGATGGAATGCACTCACTTGGTCGTGGTGTATAATTGTTTTAATACACTGTTGAATTTGGTTTGCTAGTATGTTGTTAAGGATTTTTCATCTGTGTTCATAAGGAATATTGGTTTTTAATTTTCTTGTAATGTTTTTATTTGGCCCTCGTATCAGGGAAATGCTGTCTTCAAGAATGAGTTAGAAGTTGTTCCCTCCTCTTTTTTTTTGTTTTTTGTTTTTTGTTTTTTGAGAGGGAGTTGCGTTCTTATTGCCCAGGCTGGAGTGCAGTGGCGCAATCTTGGCTCACCGCAACCTCCGCCTCACAGGCCAAGCGATTATCCTGCCTCAGCCTCCCGAGTAGCTGAGATTCAGGCATGCGCCACCACACCCAGCTAATTTTTCTATTTTTAGTAGAGACGGGTTTTTCCTTGTTGGTCAGGCTGGTCTCGAACTCCCGACCTCAGGTGATCTGCCCGCCTCGGCCTCCCAAAGTGCTGGGATTACAGGCCTGAGCCACTGTGCCTGGCCCCTCCTCTTCTATTTTTTTGTGGCGAGTTTGAGAAAAATTGATGTTAGTTCTTTCTTTAATTTTTTTTTTCTTTTTTTGGAGACAGAGTCTCGCTCTGTCGCCCAGGCTGGAGTGCAGTGGCATGATCTCAGCTCACTGCAACCTCCACCTCCCAGGTTCAAGCCATTCTCCTGCCTCAGCCTCCCGAGTAGCTGGGATTACAGGCGTGCATCACCATGCCCAGCTAATTTTTGTATTTTTAGTAGAGGTGGGGTTTCACCATGTTGGCCAGGCTGGTCTCAGACTCCTGACCTCAAATGATTTACCCACCTCGGTGTCCCAAAGAGCTGGGATTACAGGCATGAGCCAGCACGCTCAGCCTTTTAAGTATTTTTTAGGATTCACCAGTGAAGCCACCTGTACCTGTACTTTTCTCTGTTAGGAAGTTTTTGATGAATTCAGTCTCTTGTTACAGAAATTTGAAATTTTTCTATTTCTTCATGGGTATGAATCAGTTTTAGGTAATTAGTGTCTTTCTAGGAATTTGTCCATTACATCAAGTTAATTTTGTTTGTTCACATACAGTTGTTCCTAATAATCTGTCTCTCTCTCTGTCTCATTTTTCCTGAGATGGAATGAATCATTCTTTATGGCAGCTCTAGCCCCAGGTTGTTTTACCTGTGTTTCTGACTGACTGGCTATAAACTGGTGTTCCCACAACTCCCTCCTTGGATTTGATTACTTTGTCAGAGTGGCTTACCAAACTCAAGGAAATACTTACTTATATTTACTGGTTTATGACAAAGAAAGGATGTTATAAAGAATCACAGTGAAAGAGATACATAGGGCAAGGTATAGGGGAAGGGACTAGAGCTTCCAGGCCCTCCGCGGGTACTCAACCCTCCAGGAACCTCCATGAGTCCATCTATCCAGAAGACCACCAAACCCAATCCTGTTGGGTTTTTGTGGTGGCTTCCTTATGCAGGCATGATTGATTAAATCATCTTAACCTTCAGCCCTTCTCCCTGCCCTGGAAGTTAGCTGAAAGTCCCCCACCCTCTAAACTTGCCTTGGTGATAAGCCCCCATCCTGAAGCTACCTAGGGGCTGCCAACCACCAGTCATCTCATTAGCACACAAAAAGACAAAAATTAACATAACTCTTAATTCTAGATATTTCAGGGTAATGGTTTATGCGTGAGTCTTATTTTCTTGTTTCTGTGTCTATTTTCTAATTTTTCTATAAAAACTTCTATATTGCTTGAATTTTCAAAAATTTCATAATATATAGGCCCAACTACAAGTTAATCTGACTTGGGAGATTCCAAGGGTTTTAGGAGTTGTATGTCAGGAAATAGGGATGAAGACCAAATGTATATTTCAGAGTATCATACATGGCATGTATTTTTCTATTTTTAAACCTTTAATCCATAATGACTTTATATTTAAAGTTTTAATAGGCAGCATGTAATTGGTCTTGCTTTGTTACCCAACGTGTTAGCCTATGCCTTTTGAGTATCTGGACCCAGGGGTTGGCAAACTATAGCCCATGGGTCAAGTTGGGCTTGCTGTTATTGTAAATACAGTTTATTGGCGCCAGGTGCAATGGTAATCCCAGCACTTTGGGAGGCTGAAGTGGGAGTATTGCTTGAGGCCAGGAGTTTTAGACCAGCCGGGACAACATAGCAAGACTCTGTCTTTAAAATAATAAATAGGCCGGGGGCGGTGGCTCACGCCTGTAATCCCAGCACTTTGGGAGGCCGAGGTGGGCGGATCACGAGGTCAGGAGATCGAGACCATTCTGGCTAACATGGTGCAACCCCATCTCTACTAAAAATACAAAAAATTAGCCAGGCTTGGTGGCGGGTGCCTGTAGTCCCAGCTACTCAGGTGGCTGAGGCAGGAGAATGGCGTGAACCTGGGAGGTGGAGCTTGCAGTGAGCCTAGAATGTGCCACTGCACTCCAGCCTGGGCGACAGAGTGAGACTCCGTCTCAAAAAAAAAATAAAAAAAAATAGCCAGGTGTGGTGGTGTGCGCTGGTAGTGTCAGGTACTCGGGAGGCTGAGGTGGGAGGATCCCTTGAGCCCAGGAGTTCAAGGCTGCAATGAGCCATGATTACACCACTGCACTCCAGCTTGGGTGACAAAGTGAGACACTGTCTCAAAAAAAATTTTTTTAATTAAAAGAAGTTTATTGAAATAGCTATTCCCATTAGTTTAATATATCGTCCAAGGCTGCTTTTGTGCACGGTGTGGCAGGATTGAGTAGTTGTATGAGAGACTCTACAGGCAGCAAAGCCTAAACTGTTTATTAACCTGTCCTTTACAGAAGAAGTTTGCCAGTCCTTTTTATTTAATGTGATTATTGATATGGTTGGTTTTAAATCTCCCATCTCGGTGTTTGTTTTTTTACTTGTCTCATCTGTTCTTTATTTTTCACTCTTTTTCTGCTCTCTTTTGGATTGAATATTTTTATTCCATTTTATCTCTATTACTGGCTTATTAGCTATACATCTTTTTCTCTGACTTTCTTAATATACTACTACTTCTTCTACAGTATAAGAACCTTAGAGTAGTATGCTTTAATTTCTTCTTCCAGCCTTTGTTCTGTTGTTGTTATACATTTTTTCTTCCACATGTTAGAAATCTTACAATATGTTGTTACTTTTATTTTAAACTGTAAAAAAGAAAAAAATTATATTGATCTACATGTCATTGATGATAGTCTTCATCCCTTTGCGTAGATGTGTATTTCCATCTCGAGTCATTTCCTCTGCCTCCTGAAGGACTTCATATTTTGTAGTGCTGATGTGCTTAATTAACTCACTATACTTTCTCTCTAAAAAAAAGTTGTCTTTTAGGAAGGAAGAGATTTTTGCTAGGTGTGGAATGCTATTTTTTTCCCCTTTTTATATTTTAAAGATTTCACTCTTGTCTTCTGGCTGGCATTTTTTCCAACAATATGTTTTCTGTCATTTTTGTTCCTCTCTGTATTTTTAATACTTTGACTATAATGTGCCTTGGTTTGGTTTTCTTTGTGTGTCTTTTGCTTAGAGTCTGGTGAGCTTCTTGATTTTGTGGGTTTATAGTTCTCATCAGATTTGGAAAATTTTGTGGCATCATTTCTTCAACTAGTTTTTCTTCCCCTCACCCGTTTGTCCCTGATACTCAATTACACACACAGTAGTTCCCCCGTATCCTCAGTTTTGCTCTCCACAGTCAACCACGGTTTGAAAATATTATATGGAAAATTCCAGAAATAAACAATTCATCTGTTTTAAGTTCCATGGCATTCTGAGTTGTCTTCATCTTGTCACGTGAGGCGCCACACAGGCATCGTGTCATCGCATGCCACCACAAGAAGGGTGAGCACAGGATGTAAGATACTTTGAGAGACCACATTCACAAAACTTTTATTACTGTATATTGTTACAATTGTTCTAGTTTATTATTGTTGTTAATATCTTCGTGTACCAACTTCCTGTACCAAATCTAATTTATAAGTTGTATTTTATTGTAGGTATGTCTGTATAGGAAAAAACGTAGTATATGTAGCGTTTGGCACTGTCCACAGTGTCAGCATCCACTGGGGTCTTGGAACATGTCCTTTGCAGATAAGGGGGGACTCCTGTATATTAGGCTCCTTGATACTGTCCCATAGCTCATTGATGCCGTTGTTGGGGTTTTTTCAGTTTTTTTTTTTTTTTTTTTTTAACCATTCCCTCTTTCATTTTGTGTATTTCTCTTGCTTTATCTTCAGATTTACCAGTCTTTTCTTCGGCAGCATCTAATCTGCTCTTAATCCCATGCAGTATATTTTTCATGTTAGTGCATTTTTCATTCATGGAAGTGCAATTTACCATCCATCTTTCACTTTCTTTCACTTCTCTCGTTGCGTTCATGTTGTTCTCCTGGTTTGGGGTCATATTTTTCTGCTGCTTTGTATGACTGGAAGTTTTTGTTTTTTGTTTTTTGACTGGCAGTTTTTGACTACACACTGGACATTGTGTTTATGGGTGCTAGAGTTTGTTGTTTCCTTTAAATATATTTGGGCTTTGTTCTAGAACATGTTTAAGACACTTGGAATTTTTAAGCATTGCTAGAGTGGGTCTGGAGAGCCTGGGACTGTGGAGACAGACCTTGCTGTGAAGGCTTGACTTATGTCACTGTATTAAGGGGTCATTCCCCTCTCCCGGTGGACTCTGGCATTTTGATAGTTGTTTTACCTTCTCCTTTCACTAGTTCCCACTAGTGAGCCAGTAGAAAAGTCCCACTGGTTTTCTCACACATGAGAGCCTCAGTGCTCAGAAAAAGTCTTCAGGAGACCCTGTGCAAATTTATCACAAGGTCAATATGGCAGGATGCCCCTTTTTAATAGTAGCTTACTTCTTTTGTCTATTTTGAAATAGTGAATTCTTGCTTTCTATCAGGTGATAATGACTTCATAATTACTGTGGGGCTCTTGTTAATTCCAGCCTTCTTTATTCATTTCTGCTGCTCTAGCAGCATCTTTTAATTGGGCTTAGATTCTTGTGTGTGCTGGTTTTGAAGATGTACTGACAGTTCCTTTGTGTTTCCTAGTGTTTATGCTTATTTCTGTTTGTTTCAGATATGTTTGCTCTTTGTTGGAATCAGAATAAAGGACCTGTGTGTTGTATACTTTATCTTTTAAGATAGTTCTGAAAATAACCTAATTTTCAGTAGAAATCTTTGTAATAACTTGGCCAGGTGCGGTGGCTCATACCTGTAACCCCAGCACTTTGGGAGGCCGAGGTGGATGGATCACGAGGTCAGGAGATTGAGACCAGCCTGGCCAACATGGTGAAACCCCGTCTCTACTAAAAATACAAAAATTAGCCCGACGTGGTGGCATGTGCCTGTAGTCCCAGCTAGTGGGGAGGCTTAGGCAGGAGAATTGGTTGAACACGGGAGGTGGAGGCGGCAGTGAGCCGAGATTGCACCACTGCACTCCAGCCTGGGCGACAGAGCAAGACCCCGTCTCAAAAAAAGAAATAAATAAATAAAAATAAAGAAATATTTGTAATAACTTGTCTTTTTCTTGTTAGTTCTGAATTGACTTGGTAAGCTACATACTAGCGTAGAGTTAAAGGTAATTGTATTAACTATTTTTCTGTAGCTTTTTTTTTAAAGTAATCATTGTTATAAAAATAATACTGTAATCTATGAATGTTTGAAAATGCAGGTAACCGTTTCTAATTAGAAAATGAAATTTAAAATGCCACATTTCTGTCATTCAGAAGTTGCCACCATTAACATCGTATTGTTAGCTGTTTCTGTGTGTTTATTGTTCTTACCATGAGATTGTATTGATTAGCTATTTTACCACTTGCTTTTTTCACTTTTCTCTGTTCTGTCTTGTCATGTATTACATATTCACCTTATTTAATATGCAGTCCATACTCAGATTTCTTCAGTTTTACCCAGAACTTTTTTTTTGTTTTTTTTTTTTTTTTGAGATGGGGTCTCGCTCTGTCTTCCAGGCTGCAGTGCAGTGGTGAGATCTCGGCTCACTGCAAGCTCTGCCTCCCTGGTTCAAGCAATTCTCCTGCCTCAGCCTCCCATGTAGCTGGGATTACGAGCACCCGCCACCACGCCCAGCTAGTTTTTGTATTTTTAGTAGAGATGGGGTTTCACCATGTGGCCAGGCTGGTCTCAAACTCCAGACCTCAGATGATCCAGCCACCTCAGCCTCCCAAAGTGCTGGGATTACAAGTGTGAGCCACCACACCCGACCCCCAGAACATTTTTTACACTCGGTTTATGTAAGCCAGGATTTGTTGTGGACCCTGTTACATCTAGTGGTTGGGTTTGCAGTGCTTTCCCTGACTGTTGGCCAGACCAGCCTCTTGTCCTGCAGAGATGCCCCTCCTTCCAGATGTGTCTGGTACTTTCTTATAGTGTTGTTTCAGCTTAGTCCCCTGTCCCCTGAGCTTCTTTTAAATGAGAAGTTCTACTGAAAGGCCCAGTTGATTCAAGTTAAACATTTTGGGCTAGAATATATATGATGTTCTATGCTTCTTGTGTCACTTCAGGGACCCCAGTCATATTTTGTTGCTTCAATACAATAGATGGCAGTCTGGTCTTTGTGTGCATTATGTTCTTTCTGTGGACTGGAATGCAATGCATTTAACACCTGTTGATGATCCTGGTCCTAGATGGTAGTTTTATTTGGGGGCTTGCTGTGAATGAGGTGTTTCTGATTCTGTCACATGTAGATTGTTAGCAGACATTCTTCTGTAAACTCTTGTTTTACTCAGCAGTTGGGACTGTTTGGTTTCTCTGAAATATAGTGCCTCTGGGAAAGGCAGGATAGTTTTATCCTTTCCTTTGAGCTGTGACTTTTCAAAGTGAGTAGTTAGTTAACCTTTCCCAATGGTGATTCGTGAAATGCCTTTTTTTCTGACTTTCTTGAGCACTTCTGTGGATCTCCTGTGACTTCGTGTGTTTGGGTCTCTACGGCCATTTGTCTTTCTGATGCTCAAATGTTACAACATCCAGGTGCTCCTGGTGCTTTTGTCATGACCCCTCCCCTAAAGGGCCTGTGAGGATGGGCCCATTCTTTGAGCATTTGTCTCATTTGTCTTTGAGCATTTGTACTTATACTTTTCTGTAGGTTCTGAAGTTGGCTTCGTGAGCTAATTCTGAATGCACTGTTACCTCACAGGACTGTCCATATCACGCGATTATGGACTTGATACGTCTTTATGCTCACTTCTTAATACAGTCTGCACTTTTAAATAAGTGAGCTATGCTGCACAGGTAAAGAAAGTGTTTTGTATGACTACACTTTCTACACGCTTTGTGAAGTAGCTGAGAGCAAAACAGGAGTAGATTTTTACTTCTTTCAACTCAGAGAAAAAGAAGAAAAGTAATCTTGGGCCACATGGACTTTACAATTTTAGAAATGGAAAATGTTTTTCTTGTACACCTTCTCAGTGTCTGATTTTCACTTTTTGATACAGTTTTATTTAAAACCCTCTGCCGCCCTGCACTTCATCAGGATTCTGCCCCAGGCCTTGTTGTTTCTCTCTCTCCTGTTCCCTCCCTGTCATGTTAGCCACCCCAGCCCCCGCCCCCCCGCCCACGTCAGGTCAGGCAGACACAGTTGGAGCTCTCTGCGTTATACTCCTTTACCACTTCACAGTCATTATTCATAGCACCTACCACCCATGAAAGACAGTAGTTTCTTGTGAAAAACAATTTTACAAAATATCTGTGTTTCTCAGTTGTGAAACTGTGAGGTTGGGATCCCATCTGTCTTATCCATGGTTGGGTTCCCAGAGTCCAAAAGGAAATATTTGAGGGTTGGATTAGTGATGACTGCGAAAGGATGAGGTAGATTACTGTTCTGTGGAGCTTGTAATTGTTTTGTCTTAGGCCATTTTACCTGCACGTAAGGTGGAGGCCTTCCTTCTACGTTTCCTCCCTTCCCTACCTGCTGCCAGCAGGCTTTGGAAGTCAGCCGTTGAACCCCTGCTCTGAGGATGCTGCTGCTGTGGGAGGTCTCGGCTCATGCATTTCTGGCCTCTGGACCCCTTTCTGGGACCTGCGTGCTCCTCTTCTCTCCATGTTCACCTGCCCCTGAGAGTTACCAATACGCAGTGTGTTTCTCACACTACTGCCTCTTTCAGCTGATTGTGAGGTTTTCCTGACACCCTTGTCTACACTATAGGTCTTTTGCATAATTTTCTCACTCTAGCAAGTGTAACTTTTTGAGTGAAAAATGATTGATTCCATCTGAGAAAAAAATCCTCTATACGTTCTAGATCTTTGTTTAACTGCTTTGAAAGGTATTTAAAGAGTAAGAAAAAAATACACTTTTCTTTCATTCCCTAAGACGAATGGATTGAACAATAGCGGTAAGGTATAGTTTAAAAAGACGGTGTTCAAGATGAAGATTCTTTTTTTTTTTTTTTTTAATTATACTTTAAGTTCTAGGGTACATGTGCACAACGTGCAGGTTTGTTGCATATGTATACATGTACCAATACTATGCAGCCATAAAAAAGGATGAGTTCATGTCCTTTGCAGGGACATGGATGAAGCTGGAAACCATCATTCTGAGCAAACTGTTGCAAGGACAGAAAACCAAACACTGCATGTTCTTACTCACAGATGGGAATTGAACAGTGAGAACACTTGGACACAGGGCAGGGAACATCACACACTCGGGCCTGTCATGGGGTGGGGGGCAGGGGGAGGGATAGCATTAGGAGAAATACCTAATGTAAATGACGAGTTATAAATCATGCTACTATGAAGATACATGCACATGTATGTTTATTGCAGCACTATTCACAATAGCAAAGACTTGGAACCAACCCAGATGAAGATTGTTTTACTTTGAAGTACTTTTTTGTTTCTTTATATGTACTCATGAAGCTACATGGGTTTTAGAATCCTTACGTTTAGGCTTTGCGTACATATAGAGGATGTAGATAGTTATTTGTTGGGAGGTCTCCTCTGTTTATTTCTTATGAATCTGTAATTTTGACTTGGATTATTTCAACCTTTTCCTCAGATTTCATACTTAAAGGGTACTCCATCAAAACTTGCTGAGAGCTTTATAGTCTGTCCTCTGTATCCAGGGGTTCTGCATCTGTTGATTAAACCAACTGTCTGTTGAAAATATTTGGGAGAGAAAATGCATGGTTGCATCTGTACTGAACATGTACAGACTTGTTTTCTTGTCACTGTTCTCTAAACAAGGTAAGTAGGAAGATGTGCATAGGTTACATGCAAGTAACTGCACGATTTAACATAAGAGACTTGAGCAGTCTTGGATTTGGTGCCTCCAGGTGGTTCTGGAACCAGTCCCCTATGGATACCGAGGGATGACTATACTTTCATTTCTCTTTTCCCCTGTAGATTTCTTAGGTACCAAGTAATGTCATCAGGTTCATTCTTTTTCCTTCCTTCCTTCCTCTCTTTTCTCTTTCTCTTTCTCTTTCTTTTTTCTCTTTCTCTCTTTTTTTCTCTCTCTCACTCTCTCCTCTCTCCCCTCTTCCTCCCCTCTCTCCTCTCCCCTCCCCTCTCCCCTCTCCCTCTTTCTGTCTCTCTCTCTCTCTTTCTTCTTTTCTTTTTCGATGGTGTCCTGCTCTGTCTCCCAGGCTTGAGTGCAGCTCACTGCAACCTCCACCTCCCGGGTTCAAGCAATTCTCCTGCCTCAGCCTCCCGAGTAGCTTGGAGTACAGGCATGTGCCACCATGCCCAGCTAATTTTTGTATTTTTTGGTAGAGATGGAGTTTCGCCATGTTGGCCAGGCTGGTCTCGACCTCCTGGCCTCAAGTGATCCACCCTCCTCAACCTCCCAAAGTGCTGGGATTACAAGCATGAACCACTATGCCCGGCCTTATAATCTCATCAGGTTCTAATTAAATATTTCTTTATCTTCTGAATTTACATAATCTCTTTTTTTTCTCCCTTTTTAAAAGGACCTTAAAGGCTTTGATCCAGGAGAGAAATACTTTCATAACACATCATGGGGTGATGTTTCTCTCTGGGAACCTTCTGGAAAGAAAGTGGTATGTATTTTTTGCATTTGTTTTTCATGTTTCCTCAAAAGTGAGCAGTGACTGTAAATGTGGTCTAAAGAACATCACATGTATTGGGGTTGCTGGTGAGTGAATGGGGAGGAGGAATAATGCAACCTTTCAGAGAAGTAGCAAGAAACCAAGTATAGTGTGTGGTCAGGCAGGGTTACTGATGCTCTGTTCTGTGTGCAGAGTTGATACAGTGATGCAGTGAAACTGTTGTTTGTCCTTGATTATAAGATATCATTGCTGTAAGAAGGACGTTTGATTTAATAATTGTTCTGAGTAAAACAAAATGCCACTACATTAAGTGCATACAGTGAATGTACATCCTGGTTTCAGAAACTGAAATAAAAATGTAGACCTCTGAATCAAGGAACATTTTAAGTAATTAGAAACCTCAAACTTTTAAGCAAATTCAGGCTAAAACATGAGCCATACTGCTGAATTCTCATTAAAGTGTTTTCTGGGACACCTTTTCTGCCACCAGTTGTTAGCACCTTCCTCGGTATCAGACTCAGCTCATCCCAGACTTGACTTGGCTGTCCCCTCTCACCAGCTTCTGTGGTCAAAGTCATGCTGGCCTTGGGAATTTGGGCTTTAAGGTATTTCAGTAATTAGTCGTTGTCAGAATTTTTTTTTTTTTTGGGGGGACAGGGTCTCACTGTTGCCTGGGCTGGAGTCCAGTGGCGTGGTCTTAAGCTCACTGCAGCCTTGACCTCCTGGGTTCGAGGTGTCTTTCCACTTCAGCCTCCTGAGTAGCTGAGACTACAGGTGCATGCCACCATGCCCAGATAAGCATTTTTATTTTTATTTTTTGTAGAGGTTTGTTGAGACCCATTTTTCAGTCTCTGACCTGACACTCTCCTCTCTACCATGAGTTGCAAGTTTCCTTGAAACCACTGTGATTTAGTTCTCCTCCACCTGAGCACAGCTTGTGGCTACTACAGGATGCCTCATTTAGCAGATCTTGACTTCATGAATAGCAAGCCCCATTGATTTTTCTCATCCGAATTCTTAAAATATCTCGTAATGTAACTCCAGTTACTCAGGAGGCTGAGGCAGGAGAATCGCTTGAACCGGGATGGCGTAGGTTGCAGTGAGCTGAGATCACGCCACTGCACTCCAGCCTCAGTAACAGAGTGAGACTCTGTCAAAAAAAACAAAAAACTGAAGAATGGAAGAGTGTGTGTGTGTGTGTGTGTGTGTGTGTGTGTGAGAGAGAGTGATAATGAGCACACAGATTTAGGAAAGGATGAGAATTAACCCTTGATCACTGTGGTAGTACCACAGCCAGCTCTGGGGCTTTAGATGAAGCTAGGTCTTAGCTTCCTTGTTTGTGGAACTGGGGAGCAGGTGTTTTGTGTTTCACCAGCTCTGGGTTCTCAAGACTCTGTCATGAGACCAAAGATTTCACTGTGCTCTCAAGTTATTGCAAACCAGCAAGTCTTACTAGATGTTAGAACAGATTGCATCCTGTTGTATGAATATGCTTTTAGGCCGCGAACTTGTTAAATTTCCCAAAATGTGCTTTAAATAGAAATCCCATATGGTCAGTGTTGCGTTCTGTGGCCTTACCCTTATCTTAGGGTCATCCATAGTGTGAGTTTAGGCTTAGTCTCACTTTCTTTACTGTTTTATCAGATAGTTTATTGGGTACCTGCATGGGCCAAACACTGTCCATTTGGCTCCTACCTTCTCTAGAAATAGAGGAAGTAGAAAGATAGTAATGATGGGTTTAACATTTTGAAAGCTAGGTTAGTTATGGATAAATTCCAGAGGTTTTAGAATTTGGAGCAAAAACAACATTGGAATTAAGAGAAATGGGATGAGGGGGAGAAAATAACTTTCTTTTGTAGAAAATTAATGAAGCTTTTAAAATTGATGCTGTTATTAATAATTCAGAATACAGGACTAAGTAATTATATTTGTGGTTTTAGTGGATGACTTAGAACAGGGGTCAGCAAACTATGAGTTGTGAGCCAAATCCTATATTTGTATGAATTAGCCCGTGAGCCATGAGCTAGGAGTGGTTGTTAGGCTTTTAAATGTTTAAGAAAAAAATGACAATACTATTTTGTGACATGTGGAAAGTATATGAAATTCAAATTGGTGTTTGTAAATAAAGTTTTATTGGAACATAAATTACAAATTATTTTGGGGACTTTTGTACAACAATGGCAGTGCTGAGTAGTTGCCACAGAGACTGTACTGTATGGCCCACAGTCCTAACATAATCACTCTCTGGCCCTTCACAGAAAAAGTTTGCCAACCCCTGGGTTAGAAAACATTAAGTCAGGTTAAATGCCTAGCACATTAGAAGAAAAGGGATCAAGTCCTCAGGGACTGTGGAAGGTTAGCATCTGACAGTTTATTCAATTATGCTTAAGGCTTTCTTTTCTTTTAACAGAGATATCGAACAAAGCCATACTGTTGTGGCCTCTGTAAATACTCTACAAAGGTGCTTACTTCATTCAAGAATCATTTACATCGTTACCATGAAGATGAAATTGACCAAGAGCTGGTGATCCCTTGCCCAAACTGTGTATTTGCATCTCAGCCCAAAGTTGTGGGAAGGCACTTCAGAATGTTCCATGCACCTGTCCGGAAAGTCCAGAACTACACAGTGAATATTTTAGGTGAAACTAAATCATCTAGGAGCGATGTGATAAGTTTCACATGTCTAAAATGTAACTTTTCAAACACTTTGTACTACAGCATGAAGAAGCATGTGCTGGTAGCCCATTTTCACTACTTAATTAACTCCTACTTTGGCCTAAGAACTGAGGAAATGGGTGAGCAACCGAAAACTAACGATACTGTTTCTATAGAGAAGATCCCACCACCTGACAAATATTACTGTAAAAAGTGCAACGCCAATGCCAGCAGCCAGGATGCGTTAATGTATCACATTTTGACATCAGACATACACAGAGATTTGGAGAATAAGCTTAGATCTGTGATTTCAGAACATATTAAGAGGACTGGACTCTTGAAGCAAACGCACATTGCTCCAAAACCAGCAGCACATTTGGCTGCACCAGCAAATGGCAGTGCTCCAAGCGCTCCAGCGCAGCCTCCTTGCTTCCATCTTGCTTTGCCACAGAACAGTCCAAGCCCAGCCGCAGGACAGCCAGTGACTGTGGCCCAGGGTGCCCCTGGAAGCCTCACTCATTCCCCCCCTGCTGCTGGCCAATCCCACATGACTCTGGTCTCCAGCCCTCTGCCTGTGGGCCAGAACAGCCTCACCCTGCAGCCCCCAGCACCTCAGCCCGTCTTTCTTTCTCACGGGGTTCCACTTCATCAGTCTGTGAATCCTCCTGTGTTGCCCTTGAGTCAGCCAGTCGGACCTGTCAATAAGTCTGTTGGAACTAGTGTCCTCCCCATAAATCAGACTGTTCGCCCTGGGGTTTTACCCCTCACCCAGCCTGTGGGACCCATAAACAGACCTGTTGGGCCTGGTGTTCTTCCTGTGAGCCCCTCTGTCACCCCTGGGGTCCTGCAGGCTGTCTCGCCAGGGGTGCTTTCTGTGAGTCGGGCGGTCCCGTCTGGAGTCCTTCCTGCAGGCCAGATGACTCCTGCAGGCCAGATGACTCCTGCAGGGGTTATCCCTGGGCAAACAGCAACTTCTGGGGTTCTTCCTACTGGCCAGATGGTCCAGTCAGGAGTTCTCCCTGTGGGCCAGACAGCTCCGTCACGGGTTCTTCCCCCAGGCCAGACAGCCCCATTGAGGGTTATCTCTGCAGGCCAGGTGGTCCCGTCTGGGCTTCTTTCTCCCAACCAGACAGTCTCCTCCTCAGCTGTTGTGCCTGTAAACCAGGGTGTGAATTCTGGTGTTCTGCAGCTTAGTCAGCCTGTTGTGTCGGGAGTTCTTCCTGTGGGCCAGCCAGTGAGGCCTGGGGTCTTGCAACTCAACCAGACTGTGGGCACCAACATTCTGCCTGTGAATCAGCCAGTGAGACCTGGTGCTTCGCAGAACACCACCTTCCTGACATCAGGCTCTATTCTCAGACAGCTCATCCCTACAGGGAAACAAGTGAATGGGATTCCAACCTACACGCTGGCCCCCGTGTCTGTCACTCTGCCGGTTCCCCCTGGAGGCCTTGCGACTGTCGCTCCGCCCCAGATGCCCATCCAGCTCCTGCCGTCAGGTGCAGCTGCACCAATGGCCGGTTCCATGCCCGGCATGCCCTCTCCTCCAGTGCTGGTGAATGCTGCTCAGAGCGTGTTTGTTCAGGCCTCCTCCTCTGCAGCAGACACAAACCAGGTGCTCAAACAGGCCAAGCAGTGGAAGACCTGCCCTGTCTGCAACGAGCTCTTTCCGTCCAACGTCTACCAGGTCCACATGGAGGTAGCGCATAAGCACAGCGAGTCCAAGTCTGGTGAGAAACTTGAGCCTGAAAAACTGGCAGCGTGTGCACCATTTCT
Organism: Homo sapiens; assembly: GCF_000001405.40. Taxonomy (NCBI): domain Eukaryota; kingdom Metazoa; phylum Chordata; class Mammalia; order Primates; family Hominidae; genus Homo; species Homo sapiens. The sequence goes on from NC_000018.10 coordinate 80,137,630, forward strand.
AAAGTGGATGAGAGAGAAAACGGTGCGATGTCTGTCTTGTAAGTGCTTGGTCTCTGAGGAAGAGCTTATACACCACTTGCTGATGCATGGCTTGGGGTGCTTGTTCTGTCCATGCACCTTCCATGATATCAAAGGTCTTTCAGAGCACAGCAGGAATAGGCACCTGGGGAAGAAGAAGTTGCCTATGGATTATAGCAACAGAGGTTTTCAATTAGATGTCGATGCCAATGGCAACCTGCTCTTTCCCCACCTTGATTTCATCACCATATTGCCAAAGGAGAAGCTTGGGGAGCGGGAAGTCTACTTGGCAATCCTGGCTGGGATACACTCCAAGTCACTGGTGCCTGTGTATGTGAAGGTGAGGCCTCAGGCTGAGGGCACCCCCGGGAGCACCGGCAAGCGAGTGTCCACCTGCCCCTTTTGCTTTGGCCCCTTTGTGACAACTGAGGCCTATGAGCTGCATTTGAAGGAGAGGCACCACATCATGCCCACAGTCCACACGGTCCTGAAGTCTCCCGCCTTCAAGTGCATCCACTGCTGTGGGGTCTACACGGGAAATATGACCCTGGCTGCCATCGCCGTCCATTTGGTGCGCTGCAGAAGTGCTCCCAAGGACAGCAGCTCAGACCTGCAGGCCCAGCCGGGTTTTATTCACAACAGTGAACTGCTTTTAGTCAGTGGTGAAGTGATGCATGATTCCAGTTTTTCTGTTAAGAGAAAGCTGCCTGACGGCCACTTAGGGGCCGAAGACCAGCGGCATGGGGAGGAGCAGCCTCCCATCCTAAATGCCGATGCAGCCCCGGGTCCAGAAAAGGTGACGAGTGTTGTGCCTTTTAAAAGACAAAGGAATGAAAGCAGAACAGAGGGACCTATTGTCAAGGACGAGGCTCTTCAGATTTTAGCATTAGATCCTAAAAAATATGAAGGCCGTTCTTATGAAGAAAAGAAGCAATTTCTTAAAGATTATTTCCATAAGAAACCATATCCTAGTAAAAAGGAAATAGAACTGTTGTCCTCACTCTTTTGGGTGTGGAAAATTGATGTGGCTTCATTTTTTGGAAAAAGAAGGTATATTTGCATGAAAGCAATAAAAAATCACAAGCCTTCTGTACTTTTAGGCTTTGATATGTCTGAACTTAAAAATGTGAAACATAGATTGAACTTTGAATATGAACCATAAAACTTGCAAAAAAAAAAAAAAGTAACTCTAAAGTAGTAGGTAGATTTTTTTCAGTTGAAATTTCACAGTGTTGTCCTCACTGTGTTGGTGAATCAACCTCAGTGGTCACTGTGCTGCTCTGCAGAGTTACTTCAGGTGCTGGAGAGACCCCTGTTACCAGGAAGCCAGTAGTTATTTCACATCTATTGTTTCCTGCAGTTTGATTTGTAACAGAACAGTTGTTTTCAGGTTTTTTTCTCTGTCATGTAAATGAAATCTTTTGATATTTCATGCACGCCTTGTTTTCCCACTAGTGTCAGTATCGTATGATAAGAAACTGAAATCTATAAATAATTTGCTTTTTCATTAAGGACATTTCAGCCTTTTTCAGAATACTTGATTTAACTGCGAGTGGAAGCATCGATCTCCTTCAGCTTTCCCTGTAGCAGCAGATGGTACAGTGAGTGTTCAGAGACGTGGGTACAAACCCTGTGATGTATGTATAAGGCTCCCTGAGGATGCACTGCATTAACTTACGCTGACTTCTTTGTAAGATCTTTGCTTATAGATTATAATTTAGATCTGTATTTTTTTAGGTTTATCCTAATAGCTGTTTTTTTTTTTAACCATAACTCATAGAAAATCAAATGTTTTTATTTGTTAAAAGTAGACTGAATTTGACATCTGGTATGCTGGTATGTAGCTCATACATCAAGAGTTATTTTACAAATAAATTTATTCTGTAGATGCAGAAATATTTTTCAGTGTAGATTTTCCCTTTTGATATGCTAAGTCATTTCTCCGTTCAGAGGTAAAACAATAAATTTTTAGTGCCTTTAGAATAAACATTGAAAGAATACACCCCAAAACTCTTCTCCTAACTTAACTACTCATAAACTAGTGAAAGGGAAGGTCTATGATACTCAGGAATAAGATTATTGCCCCTGAGTGTGAAAACTAACTTAAATTTCAGCATAGGGTTTCAGGGGACATGGCGAAGTTTACAGACTGAGATCTCAGTCTCCATGGTTGGTACAGTAAGTCTTTGACCACATTTTCTGAAGGTCATGTTTAGTGGAGAAACGGGCTTTTCTCTAGCTGGTTTAGGCTGGAAGCTGTGTCCGGGTCGATGGGATGGCATATTGTTAAAGAATCTCCATTGTCGTCACTGTCCTGTGGATGTTAAACCTCGTTTTTTTCCCCACACGATATTAAAACTTAAAGCACCAGAACCAGTCATGGAGACCAGCCAGTTTAGATGGTAAGTCATATTTCTGGTGGTACACAGCAGAGGAACCCCTTCACTCTATCTTTAGGTAGAAATATTTGGAGGATGTGACAGCCTCTGAGAAACATAATGTTACTATGTGGATTTTAAAAAATATAATACTTGCATGTAATTGCTATAATGTTCATATTTGAGGCAGTTGTGAAACTGGTTTATGATTGTTGGTGTACTCTGTTGTAAATTCAAAGAGAGCTTGTTGAACATTTTTTTTTTTTACCTATTGTTTTCAGAGTGTCTATTTTGAATTAAAATTTGTTACACCGCTGCAAATAGAACTGTTTAATTCTTTTAAAAGTTAAAACATTATTGTGAATCATAGGGATAACCTCTATATGGGAATAGATACCACATTTATTTTCTAAAAAAACCTTACCTGTCATTTGTGTGAAAATAAGAACATAACCCAAAAGGTCTAATTACTGGGGTCACAAAATAGGTGTAACTACAGATTCCTGATGATTCTATACTGGTAGCCCCCAAAGTGCCAAAGAAGGTATGTAACTGGGGTGTCAGTGCTGTGAAGTTTCCTTCACTGTGGCTGTGTTCAGGGTGAGTGTGGAGGAGGTGCTGATGAGGAGGCAGCTGCCGTCTGGCGTGGTTGAATCCTCACCTTCCTTTTGTTGTGTACGTTAGGGTTTCCCAGCCTCAGCACTGCTGACATTTTGGGTCAGGTAATTCTCTGTGGTGGGTGGCTATTCTGTCACTGTAGGATGTTGAGCAGTGTCGTTAGACACTAGTAGCACGCATGTCCCTACTCTCTCCCCATTGTGGCCACCAAAAATGTCATTACCAGGTGGTCCCTGAGGGGCAGAATCTTGTCAGAACCCTGGTAAAAGAGCTGATTTCTTGGTGCAGTTTAGCTGTGGTAGAACTGTTCATGCTGTCTTTAATGTTATGCTAGTTGCTGGTTACTAGTTTTTTAGGATTAGAGATTAAGATTTGATAGAAGCTGAGCTTCAAAAAGCACATGTGGGAGTTCTTGCAAATGTAAGAAATTTATTATTTGAAAATGAAAAAATGAGTAACAGATTAATAGTTGTGAACAAAGTTTAAACTTATTAAATTTAGAAGGAAGGAGTTTTTTAAATACAAAAAATTGTGTACTTTAAAATATTTAATCTACCTATGTAGCAGCAGCTTTAAAAATACTACACACTTGAAATCTATTCAGGTAAAACACATTTAAATATAGCATACTATTTTAGCTTCTCTGAATTTTGTTGCTCTTCTTTTTTTTTTTTGAGACGGAGTCTCGCTCTTTTTCCCAGGCTGGAGTGCAGTGGCACAATCTCGGTTCACTGCAACTTCTGCCTCCTGGGTTCAAGCGATTCTTCCACCTTAGCCTCGCGAGTAGCTGGGATTATAGGTGCATGCCACCACGCCTGGCTAATTATTGTAGATGGGGTTTCACCGTGTTGGCCAGGCTGGTCTTTAACTCCTGACCTCAGGTGATATGCCCGCCTAGGCCTCCCAAAGTGTTGGGATTACAGGCATGAGCCACCATGCCTGGCCTAAAATTTTTTATTGTAAACAGAATCTTGCACTGGTGCCCATGCTGGGATACAGTGGTGTGATCATAGCTCACTGCAGTCTCGAACTCCTGGGCTCAAGTTGTCCTCCTGCCTCAGCCTTCTAAGTAGCTGAGGTGCCTACCCATCATGCCCAGATTATTTTAAACAGTTTTTGTAGTGATGGAGTTTTGCTGTGTTGCCCAGGCTGGGCTTGAACTCTTGGCCTCAAGCCATGCTGCCACCCCTCAGCCTCCCAAAGTGCTGGGATTACAGGCATGAGCCACCAGGCTGGGCCTCTGTTACCCTTTTTTAGCAGCTATTTTAGTCTGATGACTGTTGTGTGCAGTTTCTTAGATTCACTAAACAAAGCAGCAGTTAATTAAGCACTAATTAAGAAAACTTAGCCCCAGAACTGTCCTAATTTTCAAGGTCTTTTTAGAAAATAGCACACATGTACTAACTGCTTGATATTGCTAGGAAAGGGGCTGCATACTTGATGATAGTCATCCTTGCTGCCTCCTGTGCCTGTGGCATGGCCATCAGCATGCGTTCTCACATTGAGTCCTACCGAGTGAGTGGTAGTCTCCCCTCTCACACCTGAGGAAATTGAGGCATGGAGGTAAATGACTTGCCTGAGGTGGAGGCCTGTGAGGGTGGACAGTGCTAGAGTGATAGCTGAGTGGCTTCTAACATGTATTATCCCATTTAAATCTCACAATAACCCTATAGGTATTAAGTTGTCTGTGTTTTCTAGAGGAAGAAACAAGCTCAGAGGCAGAGTTGGCTAGCTGTCCCAGTTTGCTAAGAACTTGAGTGATTTCTCTAGACTTCAGTGCTAAAAAGGAACCTCTTAGGCAGAGGGACAAGCTCGTTACTCCACTCAAATTTCAGTTTGCCCAGGAAGACATGTTGCTTCTCAGTGGTACAATATTATCGTTAGACCTGTACATTGCCCTTTGGGTATCAGGGTGAATAGGGCATCCTGATCCTAGACATCCTTTTTCTGGTGGTGCTGTCAACAATAACAACATAGAGATGGTTACCAGAGCAGTTCCTATGTGCCAGGTGCCATTCTAAACATTTTGCATGTTAAATTTGATAGTGACAATATATTAGTGACGAAGAATGATAGTCCTGAGTTAGTGAAAACAACGATAAAAAAATGCATGCAGTTTTGCTGTTTAGATTCTCTCTGCTGAATTTTCATGAACTAAGCAACAAAATTGCCATCTATGAAGTACTGCTGGAAGTTTCTCTTATGGTTATTAAGTGTCCAGTTTCTTCAAGCTAATTTCTTTTCATAGGTGGTGAAAGTAAGTGTGAGATGTTTCTGATGATGAGGGCTTACTTGGTAGCACACCTGCTAACTCAGGCTTCTGCAAGTTCGGCTTTCTGTTGTGCAGATGCTACACCACAGCTTTAGAATTCTGATTTTTGATCATTTGTCCTAAGTACTAAGTCTTTAATATTAACTGCAAGTTTAAATGTCATTTTAGCAATATAGAGGTTATGTAGGGAAGCTGTTTTCATATTTTGTGAATGTGCCTAAAAATACATTACTTAGAACAGTACCCAGCCCTTCACTTTCTTCAGATCCTAAACTCAGGAGTTTCTTAATTTATGATCCATGAACTCCCTTGGGTAAAAAGTGTAAATATGTGACCTAGAAGGTTGGAAAAATGTTAAAGTCTAGAATATTATCAGATTTTTCATAATAGAGAGTTAAAATGAGAATGTACTTAACTACCAACCTCAAAGACCTATGCTTATATGGGGACTGCTGTCTAGGAGACCACCTTATAAAGTAGATGAAACGCCAGAGCCTGTGGTGTCTGAAAGGGATCTTTAGGCCCATCATGGTGTCCAGTTCAAAACAAATACTAATACCAGTCATTCACGCAAATGATTCAGCTGTGCATTTTGAGAGGAAAAATATATGTAAGGTTGCTAAACAGTAGCTAGTGTTGTTCTTCATGGCCTTTTAAAGAGGGTGCTCCAGACCCACTTATCTTCATTTTGCTCATCACCAGCAACATGATTTCTTTTTTTTTGCATGCTCATCTCTGAACTAAACATTATTTCTTTTAAAAAAGAAAATACATAAAGTCCTTTTCAGAAGGGAACTTTCCGATAAGAATTTAAGATATTTAAAGTGTAAACTAAACTTTGGCAGCCACATAGACGTCTATGTTTGCTGTATGCAAACTAAGCTGTGAGGTCATACTTTCAAATACAAATACAGAATTAATTGCAATGAATCAATGTATTTTTTTTCCAGAAATTGTGTAGTTTCCTACAGTTTTGAACCCATGATATGGAAAGTTTAATGTTAAATAATTTGTCATTCACCTAAAAGTGCACTAGAAAAAATAGAACATTAGCAATGAATCATAAGGCTTTAGTGGTTCAGTGGTTCTTCTGACAGTAATCTTTCTGTGTTAGATGTATGTGTATCTCGAAAGAGTCATAAAATTCATAAAAACATCCTGTGAGAGTCACAGATCCATTCACTCGTTGGACTTCCTGGCCTCCTACCAAGCAGCTTGTTTAGAATGGGAAGACTGAATATATGGAAAAACCACACAAGACAGTTTGCTGAAAATAAAAACAATTCAAACTCCAAGCATCACATATATATAATTAGGATCCCAAATTTGGACTCTTATAAGCTACAAATGCTTGAAAGAGTCCCTGTGTAGGCCCAGATTAGACGTCTCATTACAACAAGGAAAGTGATCTTTGGTCCTAAAAAGGATGGGAGATTCATCCACCGTTTGTTATTATATTGTGGAAAACAGCTTATGAAAATAACTGGGAATTTATAAGAGGTCATTTTAAAGAGATTAGGAATTTTTTAGGGAAGGTCATTTTTGGCTATTAAAACATTTTTCTAGGTTTTATATGTGCTTTCAAATGATTAAATATATCAGTAAGACTACACGAAAGGAGAGGACAGAATTGAAGGGGAGGGCAAGGATTTTTGGAATGCACTTGGGAATTCCAAGTTCAGCCCTGCTCTGTTGCCCTGCTCTGTCCCCTGCTCCCATTTCCAGCCCCACGACCCCTTTGGGATGAAGCAGCTTGGGTGTCTAATTGTGTTGGTTCTAAGGCTGCCACTCTTCTGGTTATGTCTCACATGTTGTTAGAAAATTGATAACCTCATCCCAGAACTGCACATTGTATTTACAGTGGTTCTCTGTACCCCCATTTCCTAGTCACAAACGACTTCACTTCTGACTTCATTTTTTATTCATAGGTGATAGTAGTGATCATCTTTGTCTAATAAGCTCCTAATTGAGAAGTGAGCAGAATACATCTGTATCAACTCCCAGTGCTGTACATTTTCTAGCCATTTCCTAGCTATTTGTAGCATCGGTTTTTTGTTTTTGTTTTTTTGCTTTGATATAATATTCCGTGTTTAACTGGTTTGATAAATTAGGGTAAAAGTTGAGATACTAAAAATAGATGTGTTGCTACTAAAATGCTAAACATGGTTTCAGTTCAGTATCTTATGAAAAACAAAGTTCAGTATGAAATCTGTTTAGTAATAAAGTTAGACTGTCTAGGGACATCACCATGTCTATCAGTTCTTACCTATTTGAGTCCTACTTAGAAATCCTTAAAAACATTTTTAGAATGCACATGGTTTTGTCTAAATTAAACTTCTAGTTTCCAGGGTCAAAATACTTATCCATAATGTCTGAAGGACTTGGTATAATTTAACAATATCCTGAATCTAATTTCTCAACACTAAAGAAGTTCTGACTATGACTACATAAGCTTCTACATCTGAGAACCCATGCCAAGTTCTTGCTCCCTTGGCCTGCTTTTCCGTTTACAAAAAGTGGGGGTGGGAGCAGTAGGATGATTCCTTCTGTGTTTCTTAAAGGTGTTTTCAGTATAATCATGTTTATTTTCCATGTGCTAGAAGTGGGGACTGGATCTTTGCCATTTCCTGAACAGTTAATTAGCAAGCTGCTTACCTGCAGTGATCTGCAAATTCATTGATGCCACACCCTGCTCTCCTGAAGGGTTGTCATGGTGGCTGCAGGCAAAGACTGAACAGGCAGATTCAGAGTTCAGAAAACAGCGTATTCCTGAGCGGGACTAGATGTCTTTTTGCTTTCTAATACAAAGTCCAGATCATTTGAACTCAGACTTCGGAGATTAGCATAACTGTCTTGATAAGTTTGCTCTCTTTACGTCTCTCTGTAACAAGGTCTTTCTGCCTGTGGTAGCCCTCCGGAGAAGTGATGTGCAGAAGAGATCACCAGGAAGAACGTGCCAGAATGATTGCTTTTATTTAAAATCTACCATCCATTAACTTAAAGGTTAAGCTGCCACCTACATTTGGCAATGTTATATGCTTCTAACAGTGTTTTCTCACTGTTAAAATGTTTGTGCATATAATTTAAGATTATAGAGTATACCTACTCCATGAGCAATAGTATAAATATTTTACCATAGGGCTAATACTGCAGACCTTTCTTCCTAAAGCAGTAAAGTATCTTGGACCAAATTTCCCTGGTTATATTACCACATACATTTATCTCCTATTAAAGTTTATATTGACTTTAGATAACATTTCCAGTAGTTGAAAGATGCTAATGAAATATAAAGGGCAACTTGCAGTCTGATAAAATTACACGATGAGGTGCTTCAGCTGTTGAACACAGTGAAGTAACTGCTGAGCTGGTTATGTCCCTTATGATTTTATTTGTATTGAGTTCATTTGAATCTTTCAAGTTGACCCTGTGTGTCTGCTTTGTTTCAGTGGCCTTAGCAGAGGTGTGCAGTACCCTTTCGTTTACGAGATTAGGGGAGTACCACAAATCTAAAACCTAAGAATAAAGGGTGAGATTAAAGCATGTTACTCTGACTCTACATCATTTTGGGTAAAATGTGATCTTCATTACTACTTTCATATATATAGGTTTCTAAAATTTGTTGAAATCAGTCATTAACGCTGGACCAGAAGAGTTCAGGTGGATTAATCTGTCATCACTGTGGGCTCTTGGGGGTATGGCTGGCTTGAGTCTGTTTAGATTGCTTCCAAGCCCTTTCTGTTGATTTTGTCCATTTTCTCTACAGCTCCTATGAGTTGGTGTTACATTGCTATTGACCAAAAGCCTGAACTGCCCTAGATATTTAAATTCTAATATTTACTTGCCAGGCGCTAATGGACACAATCATAACCCAAAATGAAAATATAGTAAATCAAATAGCTTTTTTTCTGCTGTGAATTCAGCTGGCATCTGGATATTTGAATAGACCAATTAAAAATACAAGTATCTTGGCAACTTCATTGCTACATCTTAGTGTTTAAATTACAGCAGTATTAGAGATATAAACCAAACATACCTTATCTAACATCCCCCAAAACTCATCAATTCTAATTCTAGTTAGAAAGTCTTCAAGACTCCTGTCTAAAGCTTTGATTTGTAATAAATAGGATTAACTAAGTTTGTGCATTTATGAATAGAATCTTTAACAGTTTTTAAGAACTCTGCAAAGGATAGCATTGGTTATTAACTTGATAATTTCATTAAATTTTTTTCTTGAGACAGGGTCTCACTCTGTCGCCCAGGCTGGAGTGCAGTGGTGTGTGTGATCTCGGCTCACCGTAGCCTCCGCCTCTGGGGCTCAAGCGCTTCTCCGGGCTCGGCCTTTCAAAGTGCTGGGACTACACGCGTGTGAGGCACTGTGCCTGGCCAACTTGATAATTTCAATAGCAAAACGGTATCCTATAGAAGGCTTGTTTCTTAGTTGGTATAAGTTGCTAAGTAATCATTAATTCAACTCGATAAACCTGGTGGGTTTTGTGTTTCGTTCGTGTCATTTGTGAAGCCCGACAGGAAGAGTGGAGCCCTGCGCTGTGTGCGTGCGTTTTAAAGCGTGCTGGAAACGTCTACAATGGCAGCGCAGCCAGCAGCCACGCGGCCTTGGCCACCCCCGAGCTCACGGCCGCAGCTCGGCCCGGGCCCCCTGGACGTCCGCCCTGGGCAGGGGCCGCCGCCTCCGAACGCATCTCTGCCTCCCTAGGACGAGGCAGCCGAGGGAGGAGAGCGGCCAGGACTGCGCTGTGGCTGGACGGCGGATGAGGCTTCTTTCAACAAGGCGAGTTTCAGTGAGAAATGCGTGATGCTTTTGATGTTTCAACAGAATATTGTTTCTAAGATTATGTATCTTGCACGTTTGGCACTTGAGGGGGTGCTCATCTTTTGATTCCGCTATTGAGGTAGAGGCGGGACGGGGGAAGCAGCTTTCAGTAAGACCCGCCCGCTCTTGCCCTGTCAGTTTACCATTGCCATGGCAACACCCGGAAGTTGCCGCCCCCTTTCCATGGCAACACCCTGATGGCCGAAAGTTACTACCCTTATTCCAGAAATCTCTGCATAATCTGTCGGTTTGCATATAATTAACAGTGGCTATAAATGTGAGTGCAGCCCTGTCCTGTCCTCAGCTGCTGCCCTGGGCGCACTGCCTTGCGGGTCACTGTGGCTGCTCCTGTGCTTCAGCGGGACTAGAAGCTGCCGCCCACGGGCAGCGGGGAAGAAATCTGGGCAAAGCCATGAGCCCTCCGAGGCTGAGCTCCAGTTTAGGGGCTCACCTGCCTTGCATCGTTCCGAGTCCTGTACTGGACTGCATCAGGCCGCGTCTCCTCAGGGTGAGTACTTGTGGCCTCAGGGTAAAGGGCTTTTCTCAGGACGCGAGGCCATTGCTGGGAGAGGCAGATTAGGCTGGGGATCCGGACTCCGTTCCTAGCATCTGCTACCTCAGGACGGAGACGAACATGCTATAAAATGTTTAACCGTGTGATAACAACTCTCCTAGAAAGGAAAGGGGATGCCCCTGAGGAGACTCGGTGCTCCCCACAGAACTCCCCAGCGATCCCAGATGGGAGAAGCTGAGCTGCGCGGGCGCTGCCCTCACTCCGGGGGTGAAACGTGGCTGTGATTTCCACAGGTGACAGAAACCAGGCAGTGATTCAACTCGTATTTGACTTTCACATTCTCCAGCAATGTTCTTCAATCTGGGAAGGGTAGAAAATTAAAGAAAGGTAAGGAGAGTTAAAAAATGAGATCATTTCAAAGTAGATGCAGTCTTGAAGCCCAAATGAATTACGAGATCCAGTTTGAAAGCTGCTGCAGAAGTGATTTCAGAATCGCGCGGTGGCTCCGGAATGGGGAACTGCTGCTGAAAGAGGTCGGAAAGGGTGGGGACTGAATTTCGGGTAAGAGGACGCCAGTGGTTCTGGAGCACGCGGCCTTCAGCCATGCCTGCGTTCACAAGTACATTATTTCAGACTCACTCCAAGTTTACATCTCTAAGCCCATCCAAGCCATGGCAGCGCGAACCTCTCCCTCCCCCAGCTCAAGGCCTCTGGGCCCCCAGGACAGAGGACAGAAGAGCCAGCCCCTCCTGGCTCAGGGTTGCCGGGACCCCGTGATGGCTGCTGTGCCTCTCCTGAGGTGCCAGGTGAGAGCTGAGACTTCTGCTCCCGCTGCACCAGCTCCGTTTGTCTCCAGGCGCAGTGTCAGTCTCGTTCTTTAAGCGCTTCTGAGGTCCCATCAGCACAGGTCTCGTCTTACCTGGAAAGGCTTGTTGCCTTGTGCCTGGGACTTTTTATTCTGTGCTTTTCTTCTGGATATTAAATTTCATATCCACGCTTGCTTGTCACTCAGACCTTATTGCCCTCTCCCTCCCATTGGAACACTCTAGTCATTTCTGTTTTCAACTGTAAACCAGTCTCATTCATGGTGAGAAATTAATGCTCCCTGGGTGTGGTCAGCAGACGGTATCAAACCATGCAATCTTTTAAGGTCCATTCAAACACAGACCTCCAAAATGATTTATTGTTACACATATTATGGTCATAAGGCGTTTTCAAATCATAGGTAAACAGGACAGTGTATGTGTGCAAAAGAATGATTGTGCCCAGAAATCTCGGTAAACAGGTCAACTAAGAGCCCAAAATATATTTCTAGAGTGCTTACACCCAGAAGTGAGTACTGATTTGCTTTTAATTAATATTTGGAATGAATGGGGTGCCAGGAGGACCCAAGTATGAAGTATTTATGTGGGTGGTGAGACTAGGAGTGATTTTGTTGTGTTTTTATATTTTAAAAATTTTCTAAAATGAATGTGCATTTAGTCCTCTAAAAATATAAGTGGTGTCCCATTTAACAGTGCTACCAGTTGGAAAAAGGGATTAACCCTATTTACCCAATTTATTGTATATAAAGTTGTTGCTGTCATTGTTGAAATTAGGTGCTGCTAGATTGTGCAAGTATCAAAGTTCAAAAAAAGTGGGTCATCTGATTGGTTGTTGATCACTGCAACAGCAAAGTTCTAGGCAATTAATGTTTTTGTTACTTTTGAAACATAAGGGCAAGGAATTAACAAAAAGTGTGTGGGACAGGGACAACTCCTCCCCTCTGGCCTCATAACAATGTTCTTGAAGTTTGCTTTTTCTTCTCTACCACTTGCATTTGCTAAGCAGAAAGTGTTGGGGTGTGTACTCCACAGGAGTGGTTCACTGAGGTGATGCTGCCCTGCACCAGCACCCTGAGGTGAGGAGACTGCTTTGGGGCAGGCAAGGGGCCAGGAGAGAGCAAACAAGTATTATTTTTCCTGTGTGTAGACTCATATTTAATAATTGTTGAAGAAAAAAGCCTTAACACCACATGTAGCAAGTTTTAATAGAGTTTTCTGATTACCTTGGTCCCATGGCTGACCAGTGACCGCCATTATGCCTGCAGAGATGGGATGGTGAGCCATCATTTCTCCTTCCTCTTTCCTGAAACTAGTTCTGATACCATCAGTGGCTTAGTCTCTATATGTCCATCAGATCCTGCCCAATGCTGGGGACAAAACATGAATGAAATGGAGTTACCCCTCAAAGAGCTCCCAGCTCTAAAGCCATGATCCTGTGCTCCATCAATACACAGGAGCAAGGGGGAAGGCAGATGTTCCAGGAGGAGCAGAGAAGGCTTCACAGAGGGAGGCAGCACAGCCGACCTCAAGTGTGAAGGGAAGCTGCAGGGGAAGTGCAGAGCAGTCCCTTTCAGGCCAAGCAACAGCACAAAATACCTTTGAGACATAGACATATGAGAGGCACAGCTCATTTGAGGAGCATTGAAGAGTTTAGGGGCACAGAATTAGACTTCAGGGTTAAGTTCAGGACCTGGGATCAGAGTCTGGTAAGTTTAAAGGTTCTTGAAATAATTCTAGTAAATAAATAAATGTGGTAAGACAGTGCAGCAGTACAGGTGCAGAAGCTTCAGAAGCCGTCCTTTCTCCTCTCCTCATCCTCTTCCTTCCCTCTCAGCCCTAAACTGAGGCAGAGCGAAGAGGGCTCCAACTGGCAGAGGAAGAACTGGTGGGGCTTGGAGTTGGCTGTGGAGCCAAGCAGGGTGGTGAGGAAGGGTCCCCTGGGGAAGGTGAGAATGGCCCCTGTCAGTGTGAGTGGGGCTGGGAGGCTGAGAGGTAGCTGTGAAGGGGCATCGGGCCTGGAGATGGGGGAGGGCACCTGTGTGGGGAAGAGGGTGGTGGTGGTGACGGGAGGTTGGTGGTTACATTCAGGGGACTGATCAGCACATGAGTATATTAAGGATAATGGGAGCAGGTTTCTTACAAACAAGGAAAGGAAGAATCAATAGAGATGTAAATGCGTGTGTGCACATGTATGTTTGTATGTGAGAGAGAGAGAAAGATCATCTCCAAGACCACCCTCAGGTTTAGTGAGTTTCAGAAAGAACTCACAGGCCTCAGAAGTCATTCTGCTCATGGCTACAGTCTTCCTAAGGGGACACTGTAAGGGGAAAAGGCACAAGGCAAAGGCTGCAGGAAGCCTGTGTGAGTTGTGAGCACCCTCTCCTAGGGCAGTCAGGAGGGATGTTCCTGACTCCTCCAGCAGTGAGCTGTGATGATGTGTGAGGTGCTGTCCACCAGGATGCTTGCCTGAGCCTGACTCCTGCGTGTGGTTTGGGGGATTGGTCCCATAGGCACACAGGAGGCTACAGAACCCCGGAAGAAAATCGGGGGTTCGTTGTAAGTCACATCATTTGTACGAATTGTCCAGAAATTGTCTGGACAAAAGGGTGCAGGTGATGCATGTTTCTAAGTGTGCAAAACACTCATGCTACAGTGTCCAACTTTTTTGGCTTCTCTGGGCCACAGTGGAAGAAGAATTGTCTTGGGCCACACATAAAATACACTAACACTAATAATAGCTGATGAGCTAAAAAAAAAAAAAAAAAAAAGTCCATGCATAATTTTCATGATAACCTTATTAAAAAGTGGGCAAAGGACATGAATAGACATTTTTCCAAAGAAGACATACATATGGCCAACAGGTATATGTGAAAATGCTCAACATCACTAATCATCAGAGAAATGCAAATTAAACCACAAGATATCTCATCCTACCCTAGTTAGAATGGCTGTTATTTAAAAAGTCCCAAAACAGATGTCGGCAAGGATGCAGAGAAAAGGGAACTCTTATACACTGTGGGAATGTAAATTAGTACAACCTGTATGGAAAACTGTGGAGATTTCTCAAAGAACTAAAAATAGAACTACCATTTGATCAGCAATCTTCCTACTGTGTATCTACCTAAAGGAAAAGAAATCAATATATCAAAAAGATACATGCACTCTTATGTTTATCGCAGTACTATTCACAATAGCAATGATAGAGAAATTAGCCTGAGTGTCCATCAGGGGATGACTGGATAAAGAAAATGTGGGATAAATATATACACAGTGGAATACTATCCAGTCCTAAGAAAGAATAAAAATGTCTTTAGTGACAACATGCATAGATTGGAGGTCGGTATCTTAAACAGGTCAGATCCCAAAAGACAAAGATCATGTGTTCTCACTCATGAGTGGTAGCTAAAAAATGTGTGCACATGGATGTAGAGAGTGGAATGACAGACATTGGAGACTTGGAAGGGTGAGAGGGTAGGAGGTGGGTGGGTGATGAGAACTTAAGGAGTACAATGTATATTATTTGGGTGATGATACCCTAAAAGCCCTCACTTGACCAGCACACGTTGTGTGCATATATCCAATTATGCACGGACCTTTTTTTTTTTTTTTTTTTTAAGATCATCAGCTATCGTTAGTGTATGCATGCTGAATAGGGTATCCAAAACTAGTACCCCACGGATTTATACAAATAAAAAAATGGTTACTAGTAAGGATGACTGTAAGATTTCTGCTTAGATTACTATTGTAGTAGCATTCACCTAAGACATTCTTTGTCCAAAATACTTTCAAATACAAAAATCATGATTCCAAGAAAGTGAAGAAACAGGATGCTCAGAGAAAGGATTGCCCGTTTCTCACTGATTGTCTTTCTATGGGTCAGTGGTGCTGAGCAGGGAATATTCCCTTCCATATTTTCAACAGTAACTTGAGTGACCCTTTACATATAAGCAGACTTTTAATTCCAAATTTTTGTTTGTTTTTTTGAGACGGAGTGTCGCTCTGTTGCCCAGGCTGGAGTGCAGTGGTGCGATCTCAGCTCACTGCAAGCTCCACCTCCCAGGTTCATGCCATTCTCCTGCCTCAGCCTCCCGAGTAGCTGGGACTACAGGCGCACACCACCATGCCCAGCTAATTTTTTTTGTATTTTTAGTAGAGACGGGGTTTCACTGTGTTAGCCAGGATGGTCTCCATCTCCAGACCTTGTGATCCGCCCGCCTCGGCCTCCCAAAGTGCTGGGATTACAGGCATGTGCCACCACGCCCGGCTAGTTTTGTATTTTTAGTAGAGACGGGGTTTCTCCATGTTGGTCAGGCTGGTCTCGAACTCTCAACCTCAGGTGATCCAGCTGCCTCAGCCTCCCAAAGTGCTGGGATTACAGGCATAAGCCACTGCGCCTGGCCTAATTCCAATGTTTGACCGAGGAATGAAGTCACTTACACTGGATGGCAGAGTCTGCCTATTGCTGGCTAGAATAGACAGTGAAGATGCATTCCCGAATAAACCAAAGGTGGTAGATGGTGTCTTTCCTTAGCCAGACTGTGTGGATAAACATTGCATTTTTATTTATTTATTTTTTTGAGACAGGGTCTCACTCTGTCACCCAGGCTGGAGTGCAGTGGTGCAGTCATAACTCACTGCAGCCTTGACCTCCTAGGATCAAGCGATCTTCCCACCTCAGCCACCTGAGTAGCTGGGACTACTTTTTTTATTTTAGGCAAAGAGAATGTACTTGGCTAATTATAAAAACATTTTTTTGTAGAGACAAGATCTGTGTTGCCCAGGCTGGTCTTGAACCCCTGAGCTCAAGAGATCCACCTTGGCCTCCCAAAGTGATAAGATTACAGGCATGAACCACTGCACCCAGCCTGCATTTCTACAAACTGATAGATGGGGTGAGAAAAACAGTTAAGCCAGAACATACAGGTGCAAATTATGGCTCTGAAAAGTATTTGTGTGATATTAGAAATATTAGTGTGCCTTCATTTTCTCATCTGAAAAGTAATGGTAAATGGTAAAAATTTACAATATCCTCCTTCTGGCTCTGTTTTTCTTGTCATTTATTGATAAATGAATTATGTGTTATCTTTTGTTTGTTGCCTGTTTCTGAAGCATAAACTCCAAGGAAACATTGGTTTACTCATCCACACTAAGTAGGATCGTTAGTAATCGTTAGTAACTGAACATCAGAGAGAATATGACAGCCTCTGAATAAAGAGCTTATGCTGGCATGGGAAACAAATGCAAAACCGTCGTGGCAAGCAGAGGGCATGAAGTCGGGGTTTCAGTGTTTCGCCTGTTGCCTGTTACCACCCATTACACAGAAGTAGATTTGGGACTCAGGTACTCTTATTAGTTGGTGTGGTGCCCTCTGTGGCCTGGTTCTGGATCTGCAGCCCAGTTACTGAAAGTAGATTTGGGGCTCAGATCCTGTCATCCATGTATGTGGTGCCTTCTGCGGTCTGGTTCTGTGCAGTTCTCTTTTTATGACTGGTAATCTCTGTGGCCCAGTTCTGTGGAGGTGGTTTTCCATCTCTGATTCTCTCATCAGTGTGTGCTGGTCTTTGGAGTCTAATTAATTCGAAGTTGATTTTGGATATTATCCTCATTCGTGTGTGGTGCTCCCTGTGGTCTGGCTTTGTGGAAGTCAATTTTGGATTCTGATCCTGTCATACATCTGGCATTCTGCAGTCCCATCACATGGCACTGTGCCCTTCTTATGCTGCAGTCTTATTATGAGAAAGGAGGTTCCATACTCTGATCCTCTCATCTATACGTTTAGGTCTCTGCAGTCTGGCCTCAGATGGGTTTCATATAGGGTGTGTAATTTGGCTCTGAAGTGGTAAGACAGACTTTTCTGTCATCACGGCCATGTTGCTTAATAGCTCACCTGACAGTCTACTGGAAGTACAATTCTTGTAAAAGAGCTCTTGCCTGGCACTTTGTCTTGAGAGCAAGGGGACTCAAGTCAAGAAATAATGTGTTTATCTTCAAAGCTCCCTGGGAAAGCAAATTTGGAAAATGGCACTCATTTTCTGGGTTGCAAGATCAATGATGAATCATGTTTGCTTTTTATTACTGTTATAGAGTTATGTCTCTCCTTGGGAACATGGCTCAGTATTGAAAACATTCTCAATACCCTCAAGTTGTTTTTTTTTTCCCCATGAGGATAAAGGAGAATAAAACACAAGATAAATGAGGAAAGGTAAGAGGGAAAAAAGAATTTGTATATTGATTTGGAGTGTCTTCAGGAATAAATAGGAGATGTTCAAAGCATAAAGGAGAACGTTAAGAAGACTAGGTGTATAGATGTGGCGCCAGAATGGTGGTGGTGGGAGATAATTCAAAAAATAGTATTTGTGCACTTAGGAAATACTTTTGCAGGTTACCTGATGTGAAATTACAATATTGATACCAGCACATAACATCCTAGAGGGAAATCCTATGTGCTTGTTGGATAGGGTCTCGGTCATCAAGTCCAAGTTTATAGGCAAGTCCTATAAGCTTGGGGGATTAGCCAATGGTTCTCAAATGTGATTCCTGCACCAGCAGCATCAGCATCTACTGGGAACTTGTTAGAAATGAAAATTCTCAAACTCCACCCAAGTTCCTTAAATCAGAGCCTCTGGGGTAATCCAGGCACTCTTTTATTTGTTTTGTTTTTTTGAGATGGAGTTTGCTCTGCTGCCCAGGCTGGAGTGCAGTGGTGTGATCTTGGCTAACTGCAACTTCAGCCTCCCGGGTTCAAGCGATTCACCTGCCCCAGCCTCCAGAGTAGCTGGGATTACAGGTGCACGCCACCATGCCCAGCTATTTTTTTGTATTTTTAGTAGAGCTGGCGTTTCGCCATCTTGGCCAGGCTGGTCTCGAACTCCTGACTTCAGGCAATCTGCCCGCCTTGGCCTCCCAAAGTGCTGGGAATACAGGTATGCACCACTGTGCCTGACCAGCAGGTGCTCTTTAAACAAGCTGTTCGAGGGGACGAGGGTTCACCCTCCGGTTTGTTTGAAACAGGAGGTCCTTGAGCTCACGCTGAGCAGCTTACCTTTCCAGAAATGGGCAAGCTGGAAATCAGCTAAGTAGGTTCATACTTTCAGTAGGAATGGTACACATTAAGTATCTTAGTGCATTTGGGAACTGGCCATTAGTGCAGCCTTACACCATTTTAATAAACTATTCAGACCGTGTGAGTTTTAGTGCTGCCATAAAAAACTTC
The DNA here is from genome assembly GCF_000001405.40 of Homo sapiens. Lineage (NCBI taxonomy): Eukaryota > Metazoa > Chordata > Mammalia > Primates > Hominidae > Homo > Homo sapiens. The sequence continues at coordinate 80,156,298 of NC_000018.10, forward strand.
ATACTAGTGCCAACTTTTAAAATGCAAGGATCAAAAGTTGACCCTACCACACTTAGTTCATACTTGCATCCTTTAAAAACATTCCACAGAGGTGCAGGTAACTTACATGTCCTTCTGTTGGAAAATTTAGATTTTCGCTAATATAGATTTCACAACAATCATGGCATTTTTTAGATACTTTTGCACCTTGCCACAAAACTCTCACTCGCTGTGATCATTTTATGTGAAACCATAAAATATTAAATACCCTCACCAAATTGTGAATAAATTTGCCATATGATGTGGACTATCAGGTCAGGGAAACCCAAGCCTGAGGCCACACCCGGCTGGCAGCCAGGGGCACATGTGGCCTCTGCTTACACTTAAGCCTCGTATCTCATCCTGCTGAAAGCGGACATTAGTTTTGGAGAGTGTACCCAGTGTTGGCACTTGACTCCTGCCTCATCAGACTGTGGGGGTCAACTGTCCAGCTGCCGACAGTCCAGAGTTGCTGTGGGGACTCAGCAGGTGGCGAGTACTTGTGAAGCTCCTAGTAGGGTACCTGTGCTGCTTCCAGGATGCTGGTGCTCAATGTGATCACATCTGTAATTTGCTGAGTAACTGAATTTGTAATTGTAATTTGACTCTTGATGGCTGCCAGAACGACAGTGTTAATGAAAACCGTGCCAACCAGGGCACATTTAGGAAGGACTGTGTGCTGTATAAATATTCAGAAAAGCTTTTTCAAAAAGACTTCGAGAGAGGGTTCTGGACTGTCATCTGTCTATCTGATGAGCTTGGGCCCATTTTCTCATCTGCGTCCCTCAGAGAGTATGTGCGGATTCCGTGAAAGATGGTACATGATAAGCACTTGATAAATCTGTCATTCTCTTTGAGGGATTACTTTATCTCTGGTATTCTCTTCCACTTAGAACACAGGTGAAATATTCATGCATTTTGTTTACTCAAAAGTCAAAAAAGTTTTTATTCTCTGATATATAAAACCAAGAAAACTTTAATACATAATATGCATAGTTTTGTTTTTTTAAAAGGAGAAAGTGGCAGAAGTACAGACCTGTGTAGAAAAATACACCCAAGCAGCTGTTCTAAGCAGTAATTCCTAAAATTATGAATAGCACACAAATCTCAGTGAAAGCCTCATTTCTTAAAAAAAAACTCACATTTGCTTAACAACTTAAAATGTGATAAGAAATATAACCTTCCTTCTTGATAGCCGACCCAGTTATATAACAGACATTCAAGAATCAGCAATAACTTAGTAAAAGAACATTTCCTTTGTGAGGGTAACATTATTAGTTTTAGTTCCACAAAAACTGCTTCTGACTGCTGGGGCACTGAACGACATGCCCTTCATCAGAGAGCAAGTCCGGGGGGTGCGGATCCTCACCGGAGAGGTCATGGGGAAGCATCTTTGGTCTTCTCTTGCTTAGGAACAAAGGGCCAGCAATCCATTGCATACAAATAACATCAAACACAGGTGCAGGAATTCACAACTCCTCAGCAAAAGCTATTTCTTAAAAATAGAACTTGCTTTTCACTTAATATTCAGAAAAAATGAAAATGCTGAGATGCAGTTTTCCCTCTTAGCAGTTCCATGTTCACGAAGTCAGGACAGTTCTGCCACTGACCAGCAGGTGGTGCTGGACCACAAGGAGAAGCAGCGGGAGGTACGCAGCTCCGACAACCTAGAAAAATATTTCTTTACCTGTATCTGTATGAAAGATTTGGTCAGAGTTCTCAAAGTATAAATGTAACATTTTATTCAAGCAAAACACATTATATAAAATTTAATTGTATCAAATAGGAATTTTTAAAATTACTAAATATATAAACGTTGCTGGAAGATCAACATAAAGTGAGGATGAATTTAGTATTTGTTAAAAATCACTAAGTTCCACGTGACTTCTTATAGTTAAAAGTGAGAACTGCCAGTGACCATTCTAGAAATGAAAATTAGCATGTATTGTGACTTACTAAAAGAAACGTCTGTTTCAGAAAACAAAGATGAGAACTCACGTGCAAATGACTGCATTCTCAAAGACATTGCTGGACATGTGCGATGCTTATCCTTCATTTCTGCTGAAAACATTTCCGAAATCGCCCTCAGAGTCAGTCAACCCACAGGAAAAGGGTCATCTTAGAGGCAATAGAGGCTTACATCCCAAATGGGACTGCTGAGCCCAGTCCAGCAGAGCTGCTGCTTCCTACCCTGGATTTCCCCTTGAGGCTGAATGGGCCACCTATGTGGGTCACAAAAATAGCCCCTGGTCTGGTGCTGTGGCTCACGTCTATAATCCTAGCATTTTTGGAGGCTGAGGGGGGACCGTATCACCTGAGGTCAGGAGTTCAAGACCAGCCTGACCAACGTGGTGAAATCCCATCTCTACTAAAAATACAAAAATTAGCTGGGTATGGTGGCATGTGCCTGTCCCAGCTCCTTGGGAGGCTGAGGCAGGAGAATTGCTTGAACCCAGGAGGCGGAGGTTGCAGTGAGCTGAGATCCCTCCAGCTTGGATGACAGAACAAGACACTATGTCTCAAAACAAACAAAAAAAAGCCCCGGAACAATTCCACAGCTGCGGGTGCCATAAGTGTGCTGGTGGGAGCTCTCCTGTCCCAACCGAATTATGACTATGAACAGTGTGAAAATCTGGAATTCATCTCCATGGTTGTACATGGACAGGTTTGGGTGTATTTTTTTTTTTTCCCGAGACAGAGTCTTGCTCTGTCACCCAGGCTGGAGTGCAGTGGTGCGATCTCAGCTCACTGCAACCTCTGCCTCCCGGGTTCAAGCGATTCTCCTGCCTCAGCCTCCCAAGGTAGCTGGGATTACAGGCGCCTGCCACCACACCTGGCTAATTTTTATATTTTTAGTAGAGACAGGGTTTCACCATGTTGGCCATGCTGGTCTCGACCTCCTGACCTCGTGATCAGCCCACGTAGGCCTCCCAAAGTGCTGGGATTACAGACGTGAGCCACTGCACCTGGCTGCATTCGTTATTAAAAACCAGCCTCTTGTCACGTACATCAGCACAGTCGGCCTCGCCTGCAAGTCAGCAGAGAGCACAGCAAGAATGCTGAGATATGTTGCATGGGCCAACTTACTTAAAAACATGAATTTGACTATTTTAAAAAAGTAATTTTAAAGCTTCACTTTAAAAACAAAGTATTTGTAAAAATTTTAAAAAGCATTTTTTTGCACTTGGTCAGATCTTTTCTATCACTTTGCAAAGGCGCCAAGACCTGCACTCAGGCCTGGTATAGAGTGTCTCTACAGGCGTTCATTTTAAGTTCTGTGGCGAAATTCTATAAAAATAGGCAATACTTGTGTTTTTATATCCGGAAGTTGAAACAAAGAGCAGCGTTGTTTTTGTGGTCACAAAAACAACAAAAAATGAGCGGATGCAGTCTGCAGGTCCTGTCCCTGTCCTTACCGGGGAACTGGAGCTAGGATTTGGGGGCCTCTCGGGAGTCTAGAGCGTGACCGCGGGCCCGTGCTCCTCCACGCCGCCTGGCGGCAGCGCCAGGCTGTGACGGGGGTCGGCCCGCAGGGAGCTGAGCAGCCGCTGGAGGCCGCCGTCCAGGGCCAGGTCCCGCTGCAGCCGCTGCGCCAGGCCCGCGCCATTGACCCGGGAGAGGCTGCCTGCGGGCGCGCCCGGGGTCTGGGGGGGACGTGCAGGCTCCAGTGTGCCCTCGATGACGACGTCGTTGTCCTCATCGCTCTCCGCCTCGTCGGGGTGGAAGTTCTGCAGGACGCGCGGGGCGGGGGGACCCACGAAGCCCGCGGTGCCGTCCGAGGGCGGTCCCGAGCTGCCCAACGCGCGGCCGCCGCGCACCACGTTGTTGCGCTGGTTGGCGGGCTTGACGGTGACGATGAGGTTGTGGCTGTTGGCGATCATCATGTCCGTGACCTGGTCCAGCGTCTTCCCGGCCACCTCAATGCCGTTCACCTCCAGGACCTCGTCATTCACAGCCAGCAGCCCGGTGCTCTCCGCCAGGCCCCCGGGTACCATGCGCGAGATGAAGATGCCGGGCACCTTCTCCAGCCCGTGCGGGGTCACGCGCACGCTGGCGCCATCGCGGATGTAGAAGCCCAGCGGCTTCTCGCAGCCGTGCCGGTGCAGCCGCACTCGCCGGTGCGTCTCGGGGACCAGGTCCACATCGATGATGGATGATACGGGGCGGAAGTCGCGCGGGAGGCCGATGTCCAGGTGTGCACGCCGCCGGGGTCCTTCATCACGCAGCGCGCCCAGCGCCCGCCTCCGCCTGCACAGCGAGCCCGCGCCGAGGCTGCCACGCTCGGCCTCCTCTGCGGGAGAGGGGACAGTTAGAGGGGACACACAACCGAGCCCCGCCTGAGCCCTCGGCCGTCATACACCTGGCACTGCTGTTCCATCTGCGTGACGCCGAAGCACCCAGGGTGCACAGGAGCATTCCAGACCTGCAGGCTGAGCTGAAATCAGGCAAGCTCAAGTGCAGCCCCTAAAATTAACTCTCTAGCACTCTCCTTACAGCTCCACAGGCACCAAACCAAAGAACTCAGAGATTAAAAGGTGCTAGCAGGCAGCTGCAGCAGAGAGAATCAATGGCAGTGGAGGGTTTAGGGCTTGGAGGGCTGGCGAGTGCCTCAGCCTTCTGGGAGGCAGCAGGCTGGACTGGGGACTTCTTAAGCTTTGCCCATTCTCCCATATTTCCTTCTCTCAACTGTAAGACGGAGGCTCGTTTTTTTCTAAGGTTAATTACAACTAAGAGAGACCTTTCCTGCTTTCTTCTTTTCTATGCGCAAGCCCCACCACAGTGTCTTCTAGCCAGCATTCAAGGCCCCTGAATGTGTCACTCAGTCGGGCGTGTGAGCATTTCCCTGCGTTTTTGGTTAGCAGCTGATGAGGGGAGATGAGTAGAGGAAGGAGTGGGATCAGAGGATGGCTGCTTCCCTTCTGTGAGGTCCCGCACAGTCAGTGCTATTTGTAGGCACATGGAGCCTCAAGGCTCACCAATATGCCCAGCCTCCCATGGGGGCTGTGCAGCTCTCTTCCTCAGGTCTCCCAGGGACCCTGTGGGATCCGCCTGCCCACACCTGCCAGCCTGTGGCATGACACATTTGTGGCAGTGTGTAAACTTTACCCTAAAGTTGGGCTACTGCAAAATAAAATGAAAGTCCACTGAATTAATCAAGCAGAAACGTAAGGAGCTTAGTCTAAAGTAAAAATTTTAAGTGAAGAGACTGGTGGCATTTGGAAACTCTGAATAATGCATTTTCCTCATGTCAGAAAAAAAATCTTGTTTCATTAATTTTTATATGAAACCTCTTGTTCTTGACACACACGACTCTGTAAGACAGGCGTCTCGGGGAGCAGAGGGAAGGGCTTGCTCTGTGAGGCTTGGTCCTGTGGAGTTGGTGGCATCCACAGCAGCCTGCTCTTTGGGCTGGGGAGGCTCACATCTTTGCTTTGCCAGTGAAAGCCAGTAGGACCGGGAGCCCAGGCAGAAGCAATGCCATAAACAGGCGCTCCTCAGAGCAGAGACCTCCAGGCTCCAGGGGTCAGTCTGGCTTCTGCATTTCAGTGAGCAGGCAGGGCCCATTATGACTTGCTTTGGAGATGGGGAATGCTGGTTGACAGTTCTGGAAAGGACTCGAAGACAAATTACTTCCACCATGGAGGCAACATTCAGGCAGCTTGGAGAGGAGGCCAATGCTCAGGCATCACATCTCTCAACCCAGCAGAGCCCATGGCTGCCTAGACAACGAGAAGGCCCTAGCACAGGCTCTGGCACATGCTCCAGGCAGCAGGGTTAATGCACCCTGGAGCCGGGATGCCCCAGCATGAGGACTGTCTTCCTGGGAGCTGGCATCCTGGCCAGCACTCAACACATGCTGCTCAGTGACGGAACCCATCCGTCATCAGTTATCAGCATAATTTATTACCCACTGACACAGTAAGGTCTGGAAGGACTTTTGAAATAAGATGACTTTTAAAAACTATACCTGTAAACCCTGTTTACCCTGACGTGATTATTATGCATTGTATGCCTGTATCAAAATCTCATGTAACCCATAAATATATATACCTAATATGTACCCACAAAAATAAAAAAATAAAATGACACTTGTAATACTTCTTCCCAGCTGTGACCACCGGGGCTGGGTGTGCATGTCTGTCAAGTCCTTTCTTGCACACTCACACGTACATGTGGCTATGGTTGTGCTTGTTTTATAGAAATGGGATCTTGGTTCCTGGCCAGCACCCGGCCTCTCTGCACCTCATAGACACTGCAAATCCTTACTCAGTGACTTCAGGGATACAGGTGAGTGGATAAAGTCCCTGCCCTGAAGTAGCCATGAAGCGAGTGGGAGAGATACAGACTGAATTTTACATACAGCTACATGGAGAACACCGTGAGACTGGATGTGCACAGGATATGATAGGAACAGTGCGGGGGCATCTGGGGAGGTGGCAGTTATGCTGCCCGGGGTGTGGGGATCAACAACACAAAGTTCAAGAGAAGACGCCGGAGGGTGAGTGGCACAGAGCTCCTCTTCCCGTGATGAGGAGAGACTACCTGTAGAGTCCATCTGGTCTGGCTGCTGCCGCAGGTTTGGACTAACCAAGGGCCTGGGACAGAGTGGGCTCTCCCTGGACTAAAAGCTAAACCTCACTGAAGGCATCTGCCTCATGATTGCTCATTCTAAGTGGGAGGGACTGTGGATCCATGGGGCCGCAGATGGAAGTGTGGCAGTGTCCGAGGCACAGTGCTCTGCCTGCTTTCCATGATACGGGCTCTTCCCAAGGGGTCTCCTTGGATGACAAATCTATGCACTTTCAAGAAGGCAACCCCTCTGGCAAACTCATGCCTGCAAGAACATTGTGGTGCAGGTGGCCATCCACATGCTCCTCCTTGAGGACAGGCCCTATGCTCAGGCCCTGTGCTCAGAGCCACGAGCAGCAGGGCCCAGGAGAAGAGACTAAGGTTTTATGCAGGGCAGGTGAGGCCTGAGATGCTGAGGGTAGGGGAGTAAGAAATGGTGTGTGTCCATGTGTGAAACAGCCTGGCCGCCTGTCCCACACACGGGCAGAGTACAGTGAGGCTTGGCCCGGGAGAGGTGACACCTACTGTTCCAAGCATCCTCTTTCTCTCTACCACTGACTCACAGAGTTTGAGGTTCAATTTCACCTCCCTCTGAGAGCCGCTTGTCTTCAAGTCCCAGTTCACAGCCACCCATCCCGGGAGCCCCACCCCTGTTCCGCATGGTGCATTCCCTTCCACCAAAACCACAAACCTGTCTGCGTCACAAGGGCCAGGTGGAAGCATCTCGGCCATCCCCACAGGGCAGCAAGTGCTCTGGCCGTGGTGCACGGTGGACTGGATTGAGGCTCAAGCCCAGAACTGTAGGATACAGAGAAGGGCACAGCGGGCCGGGCCCCTCCTCGTAAGGGGCTTATAAATCACTTAGGTAGACCAGGGTTCCCTGCACCAATAAAAGCAAGTGTGTGGACCTCTGCTTCCCAGAAGTCATGTAGTTCTTCCCATCCCTCCTAAGTTCAACAAAAACCCTGGATGTTACATACAAAACAACAAATATAAGATGACGCAGGAGAGAAGTCGCACTAGCTGGGGCCTCAGGACCGGAGAAGCAACATGGCAGCAGCTCCTTGGGTTTTCTTTTAGCCTTGTCATCCCAGACTTGGAGCTGAAGGCACCAGCAACCTGGATGCACCAACAGGCATAGACCAAAAAGCCCCATCAAAAGTCTGCTCTGTCTGTACAAAGATCAGAAAGAGGCAGCCTAAAAGGACGGAACACGTGTGGACAATAACTACCCCACCTGCTGCACCCCACACACAGAGCCTGGACCCTCACCTCCTCAAGGCTAGAATGGGTGCCCAACAGCCCCTGGCTCTGGTGCCAGAGAGACTAAGCAGGGAGTGAGGACCTGGCCTTTGTATTTTGTCCATGGGCCCCACAGTCTTGAGTGGGCCTCTCCTCCCTCAAAACACTTAGGGGCCATCCTAACAGCCCCTCCTCCTGGCCAAGTCCCAACTACTGCAAATCCCTCCCCTGCACTCCAAACCCTCCAACCTGTGAGGGGCGTTGCCTCTGTGATGTGCTCTCCATGTGTCTAAAAGGCTCCAGCTTTTAACTTTCATGGTTGGGTGTTTCCACCGGGTCCACACTGCTCTTCACGTCACAACTGAATGTCATGCCCATAGTAAGAGGATGAAACTGGGGGGTCCTGGGCCTTCAAGGACTTGAGCAGAGGGGAGCCTTGTTTACCCACCTAACAATAATGTAAAATATAATCCTAGCCAACCTCAAATTAAACCTTTTGAAGATATGTAATGGGGGAACCTGCCCCCAATATTTCAACGTAGGTTCTATTTTCCATAAATGTCAGCCAGCTGAGCAAGAGAAAGAGTACAAAGAGAGGAATTTTACAGCTGGGCCACCAGGGATGACATCACCTATCGGTAGGTCCGTGATGCCCACCTGAGCCTCAAACCAGCAGGTTTTTTATTAAGGGTGTCAAAACGGGAGGGGGTGTAAAACAGGGAGTGGGTACAAAGATCACATGCTTCAAAAGGCAAAAAGCAGACGTACTAATAACGGTCTAACAAAGATCACATGCTTCTGAGGGAACAGGACAAAAGGAAAAAGCGGAACCACTGATAAGCATCCAACAAACACAAGGCAAAGGGCAAAAGCAGAACCACTGATAAGGGTCTATGTTCAGCAGTGCACATATTGTCTTGATAAACATCTTCAACAACAGAAAACAGGGTTCGAGAGCAGAGAACCGGTCTGACCACAAATTTACCAGGGCAGAGTTTCTCCCCACCCTAGTAAGCCTGAAGGTTCTGCAGGAGACCAGGGCGTATCTCAGTCCTTATCTCAATCACATAAGACAGACATTCCCAGAGTGGCCATTTATAGACCTCCCCTAGGAATGCATTCCTTTCCCAGGGTATTAATATTAATATTCCTTGCTAAGAAAAGAATTTAGTGATCTCTCTCCTACTTCCATGTCCATTTATAGGCTCTCTGCAAGAAGAAAAATATGGCTCTTTTTGCCTGACCCTGCAGACAGACCTTATGGTTGTCTTCCCTTGTTCCCTAAAAATCACTGTTATTCTGTTCTTTTTCAAGGTGCACTGATTTCATATTGTTCAAACACATGTTTTACAATTTGTACAGTTAACAAAATTATCACAGTGGTCCTGAGGTGACGTATATCCTCAGCTTACGAAGATAACAGGATTAAGAGATTAAAGACAGGCATAAGAAATTATAAAAGTATTATTTGGGAACTGATAAATGTCCATGAAATCTTCACAATTTATGTTCCTCTGCTGTGGCTCCAGCCAGTCCCTCCATTCAGGGTCCCTGACTTCCCGCAATGGATATGTCTTTGCCTCTAAAATTTTAGTAAAGGTTTGTTTTGAAAAAACATGGTGTTGAACTGTTAACCTCCAGGAAGTTGCCAGAAAACATAATTTATCATTTCCACTGGGTGCGCTGGCTCACACCTGTAATCCCAGCACTTTGGAAGGCCAAGGTGGGTGGATCACCTGAGGTCAGGAGTTCAAAACCAGCCTGACCAACATGGTGAAACCCTGTCTCTATTAAAAATACAAAAATTAGCTGGGCGTTGTGGCATCCACCTGTAATCCCAGCTAGTAGGGAGACTGAGGCAGCAGAATCGCTTCCAGACAGCGGAGGCTGCAGTGAGCTGAGATCGTGCCATTGCACTCCAGCCTGGGCAAGAAGAGCAAAACTCCATCTCAAAAAAAAAAATTATCATTTCCGCTTATTTCCTAACATAGCTACCACTTTGTCACCATTTGGACCTGTAAACAAATGTGACTGTTCCCTTGTATTTTTCCTTCTGAGATGAAGGCAGTCATGTCAGCGGCACACAGCCTCAGCTCATGGACACCGTATGGTCAGGTCGGCACCAACACAGCACACCACCCCAATCATGAGTGTGTTCCTCCTCTCTGCCGCACCCCAAGCAGAACAAAGGCCCAGATGCAGGGCTGCAAGTGTCTCTCTCAGCAGCCCCACTGCATTCTGCTAAGCAGGCGACACAGTCTGGGGCACGTGTGCCATGGCAGACACTGCTGGTGTGACCCTCGGTCATGGGGGCATCAGGACGCCTTGTCTCAGTGGAAAATCTCCACCTCCCTTAGAATTTAAAGGCGTCAAGTTCATTGAAAGCGATCAGTTACAGCCTCCTCCATGGTCAGATCTAGTTGCCCCAAACACAACAGCTCCGTGGCAGCTTTTTTACAGCAGCATTTTCAAGTTTCTGGTAAATGTCCTCTGTAGAGAGCGTCAGACAAGCAGGGGAGGTACGTGCCCCTTTCATCCTGTCCTGGCTCCTTACATCCTCAGAGCACGAGACAGTCCACAGGGTCCTCACTCCCCATGTCCACCTTCCCGGGGAACTTCAGGGGAGTGCATAGCCCTCCCTGCAGACCAGGAAGGTCTGGTCCTCCCCCGACCATAAGGGGGCTGTTCTCACAGAAGTCCCTTCAGGGCCCCTTCTCCACACCACAGCCACCTCTTTTGGGGCCCCACAACTGCAAACACTTGAGGATCCAACAAACCAGAGCCCCCTTTGATCTCAGTCGTGCTGGCCAGACCCTAACATCCCATGCTGACCCCTCTGGCCTTGGCCCTGTGCTCCAAGGGAGTTTCAGCGCATCTAAAGGTGCAGGGCTCCGTGTGTCACCGTATGGAATAATTACCACTTTTCAGGGCAAGACAATGGCCAATCAAAACAGTGACAGTTCACAATTACAAGTGACACCCATTGGGCCTCACAGGTCACATCCCTGCTGTGGGTCCTCTGTTGTGGTTCCTGCCTGAGAGCATCATGTTGCGTGTGGACGTGTGTGCAGGATAACACGTGGGCAGTGTTGTGTGTGGACCTGTGTGCCGGATAACACATGGGCAGTGTTGCGTGTGGACGTGTTGCAGGATAACACATGGGCAGTGTTGTGTGTGGACCCGTGTGCAGGATAACACATGGGCAGTGTTGCGTGTGGATGTGTGTGCAGGATAACACATGGGCAGTGCTGAGGACAGGGCACGGCTCTTCATGCAGCAGCTCACTCAGGGCAGCAAGCTTGGAGCAGGTACTCCTGGGGACAGGGACACAGGCTCAGGGATTCAGGGCCCCGGAATGGCCTGGACAGGGAAGGTCTTTTGTGTAACCCCCATGACAGGCAAGGCAGCAGCAACGCTCCACCATGTTTCCAGACAGACTTGGGGTCCTGGGAGGAGGCGCTGCAGAGGGTGGAGCTGGGGCCATGAGATGTACCCAGGCCTGTCCTCTCTTCCTCCCCCAGCGTCTCTGATGCTCTGAGCCACGTAGGGAGGACGACCATGGGAACATGGCCTAAGATGAACGCCCAGGGGATTTCTGAGCAGCAGGGAGTGTATCCCCTCATGGTGCAGCACCTCTCAGCAGCAGGCACACAGACCACCCTGTACAAAGGCAGGTTCTGAACCCCTGGGCCTGGGGTGCAGCTCAAGGACACTCAGGTGAGGTTGATGCCATGGGTTCATAAACTAATTCTGAATGACAGGAGGTTGATGAGCTAAGTAATGTCTACCACTGTCAAATGGCTGTGTAAGCTGAAAGATGAACACGTTCATAGGCAGGGGGCAAAAGAGCCAGTGGCTCCGTGGAGGAAACGGGCCGACACCCCACTTGGAGGAGGGCCAGCAAGTGCATGCGACTCTGGTTCTTCCTGAACTCTTGAAGAGATGGGCCGGCCGTGGTCTGCACCCTGAACCCCCTCCCCAGCATCCAAGGGCCCAGGGTGCGTTTGGTGCCAACCACCCCGCCTGCTTCCAGTGAGCTGCAGCTCAGGTGAGAGAACACACAACCTCAGCCTGTCTGCAGTGGGAGGTGCAGGAAGTACTGCCCGCATGCAGCTGCGGTGGTATGGGGACGAGGTGACTGAATTTCAGACAACAATCCGTTTCTCCATCTCTTTAAATATGAACCCTTGCATATGGACTTCATTAGTGAAAAATTCCAAACTTTCTTAGAAATAAAATTTGTTTTAAAGAATACCCCATTTCTAAAATTCCAACTTTGATTTCTAAAATACCTTTTTACAAGAAAAAAATTGTCACTGCTTCTTTTTCAAGCAATATGTTAAATCTGGTATTTTCCACAAAGTAAACAATTCAAGGAGTCACATTTTTTAGGCAACTGTCTAACCACCCTCTCTCCCCATATCCTGTTTTCAGTCAAATTATGTTTGTGTGTGTGTGTGTGTGTGTGTGTGTGTGTGTGTATGTATATGTATAAACTTTTTTTTTTTTGGAGACAGTCTCGCTCTGTCACCCAGGCTGGAGTGCAATGGCACAATCTCGGCTCACTACAGCCTCCACCTCCCAGCAATTCTCATGCTTCAGCCTCCTGAGTAGCTGGGATTACAGATGTGAACCACCACACCCAGCCGTCAAATTAAATTATATTTTCTTCTTCCATTTCTATTTTGAAGTATCCGTAACAAGAGGGGAAATTGAAGTCTGGTCCTATGAAGCTCTCACGGTTACAAGTTTTCAAACTAAAGATTTTCTAAGAAATATTTTCTTACAAATAACCCCTTCTGTTACATAAGGGCTTGACCTGATTTATTAAAACTATCCTGACTCTCTGGCGAGGAAGGGTGGGAACTGCTGAAGGTGCCTCTTCCAAAGGTTTCCAGGGTCCTTCTCTCGGATGGAGCCTGTCCAACTGCACTCTGGGGAAGGGAGAGAAACAGGAAGGCGTCGCCTTCACGCTCCGGTCACTCAGGAAGGTGGCTGTGCATGCCTGAGAGCTTGCACCGGGGTGGAGGTAGCCACGGTCCCGAGACACGCCCTCTGCCCACACCTCCCTACCAGCCTGGCCAGACGCCTGGGGTGCCCAGTCGTCTTCATGGTGGCAGCTGCAGAAGTAATGACAACTCATGGGCATTTGGAGAACGCACCAGGCCCACGCTCAACATTGCATTTGATTCCTGCGAGCGCTCAACAAGGGAAGCACCAGACAGATGCTGAAATTTAGGCATGGCAGCACTGCTTTGCCTCCCTTGGCAGCACAGGGCTGCAGAAGGACTCAGAATTGCGGGGAACCCTCTGCCTCAAGGCGCTCCACCAGGACACAGACACCCCCTCAGCGGCCCCTCTGCTTTTTCTTCAGAATCTGATACATCTGGCCTGGACGGGAGATGGTGCCCTCGGGCGCCAGAGTGTGGGGTCCTCTTCACAGCCACTCCCACCCCAATTCCTGATCTTCCGAGTTTCCTGGCTCACAGTGTTCCTTGTTCTCAAACCGCTCGCTTCACTGCTTCCGATTCAACTTCATTACCTAAAGTGAGAGATACAGCTTCTTTCTTTCCCTCTCAGGATCAATGACTCGGTTTTAGGTCACCATGGAGAGGGGATTCAGAGCTCACGCATCCGCCACACTTGATTTCAGGAGATGAGTGGCTGCGAGTCACCCTGCTGTGAGCCGCCATGGTCCCCTGGTGAATTGCCCAGGCCAAACGCCATGGCCTCACCTGCTCACGGGCAAAGCAGCTGCCAGCTTAAATGGTAAGAAATTAGTAAAGGAAGGAAGGAAGGAGGGAAGAAGCCGGAAGGGAGAGCACGTCTCCGTCCCTCGATGACGGCATCAGGACACACCACGTCGGAGACTTCAGCTGCCAGATGAGCACGGCCTATTAGGGCCTCGTCCGGTCCCCGCTTATCCAAGGGTGGTTAAGACCAAATTCCTTCCCCATAATTAAACAGCATGTAGACACATACAAAAATACCGCAGAAGAACTACACCACTGGGTCAAAACACATGCCAGAACAATATTTCATTTTAAAAGACAACATAAATGTCAACATTTAAAAAGCCTGCCACATAAGGTGAAAAACAAAACCTGTTGTGTACTGACTAGTCTCAGAACTCCTTGGCAGTTTTATCTTTTCCAGAAAACTCTGTCTTCAAACCCCAAGACCTGTCTCCTTGTGGCATCCTCCACAGGCTTGGTCTACAGCATGCATCCTCAGGGGATTCTTCCAGGCTTACCTGGCCACGATCCCCAGCACAGAACAGCTCAAGATCACCGTCTACCCCCATCTGCCAGAGCAAATCTATTTTCCACCAAGAGCAGGACTGTCGGCTGTCAGTCACCAAGGACACCCAGGTTGATAGTTGGAGGCGACCAGCACATTCTGATGAAGTAGGTGATGGTGCCTGCCCCAGGACCTGTGTGCACTGCAACAGGCAGCCTGCAGGGCGTGTGCCAGAGGCCAGGGCCTGAGCAACAGACACAGCGCTGCCCAGTGGGCCCTGCACCCTTGCAGTGAGGGGCAGCCTCAACCAACGAAAACACCACACACTAAGTCCTAGTTTCCATCTAAGAAGTGTTTTCTGGAACTTTAAGCAACATTTTATTTCCACAGATGTGGGGAAAAGGGAACCCTATGGTGCATAATTATTAACTTACTTTAGGGTCCTGTTTCTGGACTCAGTGGACTCAAGTGTAGCCAGGTCCAATCTGTGCACTTGCCTCTGGAATGTTCTGCCAACACCCTTTCCCCAGTTTTGCTGGGGAAGGCTGCAGGCAAGGAGAGGAGGCTATTCCTGGCCCTGACCCAGGAGGAGAGACGGGAAAGGAATGAGCAGACTTGAGCTTAAATTTTCATTGGAAGTATTTAAGAAACACCTCATGTTGGTCCTGGTTCTCTATTATTTCTCTCTATTAAAAATACCACCCCAAGTAATCTGTACTCACTATAGAAAAACTGGAAGTAAAAGTAATAATTAAAAAAATCCCTGAAGCCATAACTCACTCTTCTATTACTATAGTCAGCATTTGCTGTGCCTCGTCCAACAAGCTGGGGTCGCCTCAGGAAAGAAGACTCTACCGTGCCCACTGCCCTCCCTCCAAGTCCTCCTCCTGTGGCGTCCCTCGTCGGGTAGTGCTGCCTTTTGGGAAGTCACTCTGGGTGGGGGTCTCCACCCTCCTGGGAAGTCTCCGGAACAGAAAGCAGGAGACACCGGCGCATCCAGGCCCCATCCCTCCCCGAATTCACGGGCAGCCAGCAGGGGGCGCCACAGCAGCGCAGCAACAGGCACCCGGTTGCCGGCATCACCGGCCCACGCTCGTTCCCTGTGCATTTTGTTTAAAATTTTTGAGAGAAAATTTACATAACATAAAATTAACCATTTTAAAGTGTACAACTCAGTAGCTTTAGCGTGTTCACAATAGAGTGGAACCATTACCGCTAATTACAGCACATTTCCATCACCCTAAAAGAAAAAGTCCGTTTCTCCCAATGCCTTCCTCTCCTCAGCCCCACACCCATTAATCTACTTTCTGTCTCTGTGGATTTTCCTGCCCTGGACACTTCATATAAATGGAATCTTACAACACGTGGCCTGTGTCTGGCTTTCTTTCACTTAGCATCATGTGTTCAAGGTCATCCACATTGTATAAGGAGTTCAGTATTCCATTGTGTTGATATACCACATTTATTCATCCATTAATTTAATTTGGGTTGTTTCTAGTTTCGGGCTATTGTGAATAATGCTGTTGTGAACACTTATGTACATCTGATACGTGTTATATCAAATGTTCATTTGAAAAGGGGGAAGAACGATAGCGTGTTTCTCTTTTGGTTTGGATGTTCAGTCTGGGCTTTCCAGAGACGCAGAACCAAGTTTTTGTGTGGACACGTTTTCCCTTCTGCTGGATATACACCTAGGGGTGGAATTACTGCTCATATGTCTAACTGTTTGAGGAACTGCCAGACTGTTTTCTACAGCGGTTGAAACATTTTCTATTCCCCCCAGCAGTTCTGAGGGTTACGATTTCTCCACATTCTTGACAATACTTGTTTCTGTCTGTCATTATCAGCCATCACAGTGGGTGTGAAGCGGTGTCTCACTGTGGTTTGCATTTCCCTGATGACTGGTGATGCTAAGCATCTTTTCATGTGCTTATTGGCCACTTGAATATCTTTTTTGGAGAGATGTCTATTCAGATCCTTTGCCCATTTTCAACTGGGTTGGGTTGTATGTCTTTTTTTTTTTTTTTTTGAGACAGAGTTTCAGTCTGTTGCCCGAGCTGGAATGCAGTGAGGTGATCTCAGCTCACTGCAACCTCTGCCTCCCAGGCTCAGGCCATTTCTGAGGCTGAGTGCCTCAACCTCCCAAGTAGTTGGAATTACAGGTGCCCACTACCGTGCCTGGCTAATTTTTGCATTTTTAGCAGAGACGGTTTTGCCAGGTTGGCCAGGCTGGTCTTGAACTCCTGACCTCAAGTGATCTGCCTGCCTCGTTCTCCCAAAGTGCTGGGATTACAGACATGCACCACCATGCCCAGCTGGGTTGTCTTTTCTATTGACGTGAGTATTCTTTACATATTCCGAATAAGAGTCTCTTCTAAGAAACATGACTTACAAATGCTTTTGTCCATTTTGTGAGGGGTTCTGTTTTCTCAATAGCGTCCATTGACGTACAGCAGGTTTTAATTTTGATGAAGTCCAATTTATCTAATTTTTCTTTTTTGCTTGTGCTTTTGTTGTTATATTTAAGAAATCATTGCCTAATGCGAAGTCACATCCCTGTGCCATTCTAAGTAAAGTAGCAAATAACATTATCTGTTGCTCTGGTAAAAACAAGCACACAAAAAACCAGAAACATAAATGTCACCATATGCTTGGACCCAGGCTTATGAGAACATTTCCATCGGCCTTGGAGAAGTGAGCCCTGAATATCAGGCATTATTAGTTGTCTGGAACCAGCATGATGTAAAAATGAACAAACCAACTACCCAATGTAGAAAGTCCTTATTAAGAAATTAAGTACCACCATGTTCAGCCACTAGGTTCCCAACATCATGAGCATGTGATGCACACTAGGAAGCACGTTGCTTGGGGCTATGGAAAAAGTTTGTCGTGGAGGACAAAGACAAGACTCAGAACTACAAGGGCAGGGGTCACAGCTGGATACCAACCCAACCTGCTTGGAAAGGGGCAAACGCGGCCGTGCACGGTGGCTCACGTCTGTAATCCCAGAACTTTGGGAGGCCGAAGTGAGTGGATCATTTGAGGTCAGGCGTTTGAGAGCAGCTCGGCCAACATGGTGAGACCTCATCTCTACTAAAAATGCAAAAATTAGCCAGGCATGGTGGCGAGCGCCTGTAATCCCAGCTACTCGGGAGGCTGAGGGAGGAAAATCGCTTGAACCCAGGAGGCGGAGGTTGCAGTGAGCCGAGATTGTGCCACTGCACTCCAATCTAGGTGTCAGAGCAAGACTTCATCTAAAAAAAAAAGGGGGCAAACCCTGGGGAGACCCCACCTGGGAAGGGGAAGAAGGCAAACACTGATGCTTTTTTCTGTTAAATGAATTTCTTCAAACAATGGCTCTTTCCTAAAAACCCCTCAAAGTAAAAATAAAGCGAACCCAGACACACTTTTCTCTGCCAAAAGGAAATGGTGTCTCAGCTGGAGGTGGCTCTGGAGCTGCTCCCCAGCAAGTTTGCTCAGCCTCCTTCAAAGCGCATGGCTACTGCCTCACAGAAGCCACTGAGTTATTAGTCCTGGGGCAGTTTCCAGGTCACAACAGGTCACTAATGCCCGAATTGCCTTGGCTTTGTGGCTTCAGGATACAGGGAAAGGCATTCAGTCTGTAGAGTTAGGGAAGCTTTGCCCTATCCCAGAGCCACCGCCCACTGCCTGGACCAGTGCTGAGCCCAGTGTTGACATCTATAAAATGGGATGTACCACCCTCACTCCACAGGGCTCCTGTAAAACCCCAAGGCTGTGCCTAGAGCCCTCACCTTTTGTGCTGCAGCAAGTTCACAGCCAAGCCTGTTCTTTCCAGGCCCTGTATCCTCTCCAGGTCCACGAACCAAGGGCTGACGTGGAGGCTGAACTCCCACCTCCTCAGGAAAGTCCCAGAGGCTCCATAAAACCTTCCCACCTATTTCCTCCTTGGTCTTCCCAGACCTTGAGGCCAATGACGACTTCCTTTGACAGAGAGGGGAACTGAGGCTGGAGGCCGCTAGGTGACAGCAGGGTGATCGACAACTCCTGGGCTCAAGCAATCCTCTCACCTCAGCCTCCCAAAGTGCTGGGATTACAGGCATGAACCACCGCACCTGCCCACAAGTGCTTTTAATCACGTTTTCCACTATGTCCACCTGGAAGAACTCAGTGCACTGAGAAAAGACTCATGGATGCAGCCCACATTTAGTTCACACTCAGGGGTAACAGCATTATCCAGGAGCTCCGACTCCAGCACTGGGTGATGCAGGAGGATAACCTCCCAAAACCCATGCCCCTTTGCCAAAGTAAAAAATGTTCATTGTAGGCTGGGTGCGGTGGCTCACGCCTGTAATCCCAGCACTTTGGGAGGCCGAGGCGGGCGGATCACGAGGTCAGGAGATCGAGACCATCCTGGCTAACACGGTGAAACCCCGTCTCTACTAAAAATACAAAAAATTAGCCGGGCTTGGTGGCGGGCGCCTGTAGTCCCAGCTACTCGAGAGGCTGAGGCAGGAGAATGGCGTGAACCCGGGAGGCGGAGAGTGAGCCGAGATTGTACCACTGCACTCCAGCCTGGGCGACAGAGCCAGACTCCATCTCAAAAAATAAAAAAAAAAATGTCCATTGTAAAAAAACATGATCTCTCATGCATTTGTCTGTTCATTCCTAACCAATGCTCAGGGAGAGCACCCAACAGAGGCCAGGCTGGGATCAGAAGACTAAACAGACTGGAGAAAATGGATTAAACAAAGCAGAAAGAAAATGCCCCATAATCCTTCTTCCTAACAGTCTAGTACACACTTCCCCAGACTATTTAGTGCAACTAACACATGCTAGATGGGAAACACATAACACTTTAATAATTGTTTTGCTGCAGAAGTGTGAACATAATGTGTGTCTTAGCTCCAGCGGCCATAACAAAATACCACAGATGGTGCAGCTTAAACTATGCACATTTATTTCTAACAGTTCTGGAGGCTGGAAAGTCCCATATCAAGGTCCGGCTTGTAACAGTTTCTGGGGAGGGCTCTCTTCCCGGCTTACAGACAGCTGCCTTCTTCCTGTATCCCCACGTGGCAGGGAGACCGAGATCTCTGGTGCCTCCTCCTCTGCTTACGACACAGTCTGATTAGGTCAGGGCTTCGTCCTTACGATCTTATTTAACCTTCATCACCCCCTAAAGACACTGTCTCCAGATACAGTCAGACTGAGGGCTAGGACTTCGACATCAGAACCTGGGGTGACGTATCGATTCAGTGCACTACGCACACTGTTCCGTAATTGTTCTCTTGCTGAGTGTATCTGAGTCACGTTCTCTGTCAGGGCACAACCCTCGTTCCACCACCGCAGGGACATTAGGTGTTTGGGCTTTTGCCAAATGTTCACCATCACAAAAAAACACCACAGCGAACAACCACACAGACCCGCCACTGAGCAGCTGGGGTGGCCACTTCCTGGATGCACGACTGCTGTGTTTTGTGTTATGTTTTCTGAGAGACACCCTCAGGCTTGTTTCTCTGAAATTCTGCAGGTGGTACCTCTAAATCCAAAAACTCCAAATGTCCACCAGCTCCAGTCACATTGGAGGTGAGTGCCTGCTGGGATGTCATGCTGGTAAGAGTGTGGCAAGTTCTGAGGGGCTTCCTGAGGAGGTGGCTTCCAAAAGGGAGAAGAGGCTGGCTGTACCCGGAGGGTCTGTGGGAGGTGACCCAGAGGTGGAGGAGGAGAGAGCTCCTAGAGCCAGGATGAAGACAGAAAAGCGGGGGTGGGGGGCAACTGATACGTCTTGAAACACAAATTCACATTTTTTCCTGGAAAGTATCCGTGGTATAGAGAAGCACATTAAAGAGGAGGGAACAACATTATAAAGTAGGAATTGGAGCAGATAACTTGATCAGGTTTAAAGTACACACATGTGCTTTTAATCAAGTTTTTCCTTGTGTCTCTACCTGAAAGAGCTCAACCCACTAAGAAAAGACTGATGGATACATCCCACGTTTACTTTACACTCAGAACATATACCTGTTTTTCAAAGCCAGTACCTCTTTATTTCAACTCCAGACCTAATGCCCAAGTAAATGCCAACTTACAATGTATACTTCCTACTCCCT
Source organism: Homo sapiens (assembly GCF_000001405.40). Classification (NCBI taxonomy): domain Eukaryota; kingdom Metazoa; phylum Chordata; class Mammalia; order Primates; family Hominidae; genus Homo; species Homo sapiens. The sequence goes on from NC_000018.10 coordinate 80,176,460, forward strand.
TCAACATTAAAAACAGAACAAAGGCCCGAGAGCCACCACACAGCAGCTGGTCCTGAGTCTCAGCTCCCACTCAGGTCTCAGCCTCAAGAGAAAGGCAGGCAACAGTTAATGTTGGCCAGGGTGGGGAGAAGGGCTGCAGCTTGCTATGGAAGGGGGTGCAGGCAAACATTTCTGTGCGGGACTGGAAGGGAAATATGGGAAAGAATAAAAGTACAAGTCAGCCTTGAAGAAAGCCTCCCCCCTCATTGCCTGCTGTGGAGAAGGCCGAGCTCCCGACAGGGCAAACAGCTCACTAAAGTGGAAAAATGCTCCTCCCTGGTGCCGCGGCGGCCACAGGCAAAACATGATCTATGTAAACAGCCCTTCACGATCCTTAGAAAACAAACAGGATACACACACATGCACGGGATAAGTCACAGTCCAGATGGGAAGCACGCACACACACATACACACACAGGATAAATCACAGTCCAGATGGGAAGCATGCATGCACACACACACAGGCATGTGCACACACACACAGGATAAATCACAGCCCAAAAGAGAAGCACGTGCGCGCGCGCGTGCACACACACACACACACACACACCACAGTATAAATCACAGCCCAAATGGAAAGCGCGCACACACACACACACGGGATAAATCACAGCCCAAATGGGAAGCACACACACACACACCACAGTATAAATCACAGCCTAAATGGGAAACACACATACACACACACCACAGTATAAATCACAGCCTAAATGGGAAGCGCACACACACACACACACACACACACACAGTACAAATCACAGCCCAAATGGGAAGCACACACACGCACACACGCACACACACACGGGATAAATCACAGCCCAAATGGGAAGCGCACACACACACATACACACACATACACATGTACACACACACACACACACAGGATAAATAGCCCAAATGGGAAGCATACACACACATACACGCAAACACGCACACACAGGATAAACCACAGTCCAAATGGGAAGCACACACACACATGCACAGGGGATAAATAATCCAAATGGGAAGCACACATGCATACGTGCACACACATGCACGCGGGCACACACACACAGGATAAATCACAGCCCAAATGGAAAGCGCACACACACATGCATACACACAAACACACAGACACACAGAATAAATCAAAGTCCAAATGGGAAGCACACACATGCATGCATGCACACACACACAGGATAAATAGCCGAAATGGGAAGCATACACACATATACACGCAAACACGCACACAGGATAAATCACAGTCCAAATGGGAAGCACACGCACCCACGAGATAAATCAATGCCCAAATGGGAAGCACACACACACATACATACATGCAAACACACACAGGAAAAATCGCAGTCCAAACGGGAAGCACACACATGTGCACACACACCCACCACACATGCATGAAATAAATCGCAGTCCAAATGGGAAGCTCACACACACACATGCACAAGATAATCACAGTCCAAATGGGAAGCGTGTGCATACACACACACACACACACACACACACACACAGAGGCATGGGATAATCATGGTCCAGCAAGACCACATATTGTCTTAGACAAGAAACTTTCTTTTCTGTGCTTGATTCTTGCAGATACAGCTGTGGTTTGCTCCTAAGACCCACCCAGCACACGTGAGATGGGGAGACCTGGATTGCATCCCCATGTCTGTCCCAGTGGAGATATCATTGGAAAAGCTGCAGTGATCTCTATAAAAATCTCAACCACCCGCTCCCAGTAGGTTCAGTGCTGCACTCTAAGAGGAGAACAGGTCTGACTCCTCAAGGAGATGCCTCTGGTCCAGGCTTTGTAAACTTGGGCCTTCCAGCCAGATTCCTCCGAGCTCAGTGTCCGCTGCTGCTGGGCTGAGGGGAACCCCACTCCTTCACCACCGACTCCTGCTCCTGGCTGCACCTGCCCTTCCAACAGTGTCTCCTCTCAAGAAAGGGAGAATCCTCCAGCCTTCTGTGCCTGCATGCTGAGAACCCATAGAGAGGAGCATCCCTGGAGAATCCCAGCTTGCAGCCATCTTCCCTCAAGCGCATTTCCAGTGTCCAGCCTGGCTTTCTGATCATTTTTGCTTTAGGAAGGCCTCCGACCATGGCACTTTGGTAAAACCATGTCCCAGCCCCCAGTCTCCCTAGCAACGCCGACTCTCACCCCAGATGGTTCCTGCCAGGATGGGAGGGTGGAGCTCACAGAGTTTGAAGGAGTGCCACCTTCACATGGCACAAGTGTCTTTACAGAACACATGAGGCAGAAAACAGACGTCCACGAATCTGGGCAGATGGACACATGCCGACAGCATGGCAAGGTCCCCTCCTTTGCCCTGCCCCATCACTTCCTCCCATGTGTAGGAGCAGGTCCACCCAAAACAGTGTGAAGGTGTCAAGCCAGTAGCTCCTCTTCTGGGGAGGGAGTGAGGAAGGAAGAGCAGGAGACAGGCAGAAGAACTCACTGGGCGGGTGGCGACCTGCAGGGAGACAGAGAAGGACACGCCAGAGCCCAGGGAGAGCACTAACCACCACTGACAGTTTCCCATTTCATATATTTTTTCCGAGGCCACGAAGAGGAGGAGCCTGTCACAAAGCGCCAGTGGGAACTCACTGCCCCCGACACCTCCCGACGCATCAGCTGGTGAGCACCAGAAGCCGGCCCAGTGCCCACAGCCAAGCCCACGTGGTGTGGCCCACAGCACCTTCACAGGAAGGGCCTGAGGGTTGGCTGCAGTCATTTTTTTTTTTTTTTTCAAACTGGAGGGGAACGTTTTTCCTTGGTAAACCCCCGGCGCTGAAGTCACTCAGGTGAGCCTCGGTGAAGAAGCCTCAGACGCTCAGCAAGGCCCAGGGAGGATGAGCTCATCTCTGGAGGCCAAGCTCACATGCCCTAGACTGCAGCAACATGCCCTCCCGCCCACGCCCGCTCCCTTGCCAGGGTGTGTCCTGCCCTCAGCGGGCCACTGGCCCCCAAATCCACCACAGAAGGCCAACAGGACAGGGGAGTCCCAGTGACATGCCACTGCCTCCCCCCACCCAGGAGGCTTGCTTTAGGGTCCCCTGCTGCCCTGGGCCCACGTTAAATCAGCTGTTCCATGCAAAGACTTGCAGAGCCAAGAGGAGAGGTGCAGGCGAGTTGTTAGGAGCATGAGTTTCACAACGGTGTGGTCTCACTGCTGCCCCTGGCCACTGCCTGTGCCTTCCGGGCAGCGACTGCACCTCCTCCTCAGTTAACAAGCACAGTGGCGGATGCCCATGCCATGGGTTCCGTGCACGGCGGTCACCATCACCACACGGAGTCCAAGAGCAAGAACTCTGCCAAGACACTGTTATTATCAAAAGCAAATGGTTTGGGTAATGCAAAATCCAAAACGATCCTGAAGTTTATATTTTGGTTAGGAATGCAATGGCCAGAGAATTGAAGCCACATGAAGGTGCCATGAGCGTGCTGCCTGGCCCATCTCAGAGGGGCACCCAGCTGCCAAGAGCTGTGCCGTAGCTGGTCTCACCTCTGTCTAGGGGGGCAGAGCCTGACGGGAACGCCCCATTGTGCCTCAGAACGAAAGTTCAGTGGTCTGCAGAGAGGAGAGGAAAGGGGAAGCTGAATGTCCCGTGGAAAAGTGGCACAGAGGCCTGGCTGGGTGAACCAGGGCCCGGGACGGGAATGGCCATTGGTGTGTCAGCTGCTCACCTGGGCTTGGGTGTCCAGGTCCTGAGCTCACTCCTGGTGATACACCCTCAGCAGCCCAGGTGGCAGAGGGGACAAGGAGCGCCTGCTACCTGAGGCCTCTGCTTGGGAAGTTCCTGTCAGGAGAGGCAGGCAGGGCGTGGGCAGCGACAGCTGGGGCCGGCAGGTGAGGACACGCAGCTGGGAGGGGCGCAGCCGGCAGCACCTGGGAATGCAGCACTGTGCTCTTCCTGGGGGCTGTGGCCTCACAGAGGCTCCCAGGCTACACTGGAGGAGGCTCTGCTCCATGGTGTACACCCCCCAGGTATCACCGGGGCCCTCCCAGGACCAACCCAGCCGGTGGTCAGGGGTCCTTGCTCTCTGCCGGGCACACTGCGGCCTCTGGGTGTTTTCAGAACGGCAATCACATTCTCAAGCTTAACTGTCTCTATGGCACCGCAAATGGCAGGGCTGCTCCCCACTCCCTGGAGGAAGTGAGCCTGACCCCCAGTTCCTGCCAGTGAGCTTGGCAGAGGCACCACAGGCTCTTGGGTCCCCTCATACAAGCTTTGTCAGGGGGCCGGACGTCCACCTGCAGGCCCAGCCCTTCCTCATCACAACAGAGAGCCCACCACAGGGGACAGCCACAACTTAGCCCCGTGGTTCTGCCCCCAGCAGACATGTGGTGATGTCTGGAGACATTCTAATTGGCACAAGTTGGGGGGAAGCTCCTGGTATCTAGACAGCAGAGGCCGGGGCACCGATAGCTCTCCACATGCAGATGCCCCACAGCAAAGAAATGTCCAGCGCAGAACGTCAGCAGTGCTGAGGGTAAGAACCCGGCCTCACACGCACGTTTCCAGCGGGCTGGAAGGCGGCTCCTACAGTCAGGCTGTTCAAAGGTCTGAACCTCACGCGCGATCTCGACATTAGAACATGGGCTGCGACCGGAGAAGCAGCCTGCGGGGGTGGGCCAGGAAGGGGCGCCACCCTGAAGGCTCAGTCTGTGTGGCAATGACACCCACAGACAAGCCCTGCGTACACTGACCGTAGACTGGTGTGTGCACCAAGCATGCCAGGGACCCCAGGTCACACGCCCCTGGGGGATAGGAGAGGTGGTGTCTGTCCCCTGGTCCCTCAGCCAAGTCAGCCGATGTCCCCAGCTGGGATGTCTGCGGAAGCTGTGGTCCCGATGCCACACACGCCAAGGCAGGCATCACGCTCTGGGCACCGGGGGACCCTGCGTGCTTGGGTGCATTGCACACCCAGGTCACCAGGGACACGGTGACATGCCGCTGTGAGCCCTCAAGAAGGCCTCATCTCCATACAGCGCTGCGGCCAGCTGGTGACAGGTCTCAAAGGGAGGGAGCAACCCTACATCTCTGCTTCCAAAGTCCGGTAGGTGTGCCCTTCCCCTAAACTCAGCAGATCGGATCTACCTCCCCTCTCCCAACAAGGAGGGTCTCCTCCCCATCCTCCCTCATCAGCGACTGTGCCCCTGCCTCCTGCTTGGGGAAGAGCTTCTCTCTGCTGCCAACCTGGAGCCTGGCCCTTCCCTCCTTCCTGGCTGGAAGCTGCTTTCAGCTCCTGGCCTTCCTGATGGGCATCGGCTCCCCATTCCTCGCGTCCTCTCCCCCTGTGCAGAGCATGTGTGGGGACAGGCAGCTGGATGAAGCACCTCAGAGATCCACTGCCCAAGGCTGCCCGGTAGACCTGTCCCTGGGAGGGAAGCAGCCCAGCCCCGCTGATAGAACCTGCATTTCAAACAGACCCAGGGCTGCAGCACACAACACGTTTCCAGTGGAGAAGCCCTTTGCAGAGTTCAGAGCTCTCGCAGGCCTCGTGTTCAACTCCTCATCTTGCCACCTGCTTTTGTTACGCAAGAAACTGAGGCAGAAAGCAGGGAAGCAACACAGCTGGGTAGGGCCCAGCAGAGTCTCACCCCAAGCTCCCCAGCTGCTCACCCACAGTGCTCTGGGCCCCTCCCACTTCCACAACTGCGACCTTGTCTTTGACCTTGAACTTCTGTCTCCTCCTCCCAAAATGCCTGTGACCAACTGGGCTGCCTTTGACGAGCTGCTCTGAGGAACAGCAGCCACTTGCCCACTGGCCCCCAGCCCTCCCTGAAGGGTGGCAGCTGATGCCTGTGTGCCTGAAGGCAGCTCCTGCCCCCAGTATCCACAAGGAGGGACAAACTCTCACATGGACAGTGAGGGTGTGACAGGCCCTGAAGAACAGGTTCTGTGTCCACTTTAGATGCTGGAACTACACTTAAAGAGCGACCAGCTTTTACAGATACAAAAATAAACATGTTTGCCTTTGCTTGTTATTGCCAAGGAAGCCATCTTCCCCTGCTTTGACACCTCAACTGTGAATGCATTTCCCATAACATCTGAAAATGTACACTAAAAATCAAGTCACACTTAAAGGTAGTGTTTTTGGCCAATTTGTTCTGAGAACAAATACAAAACTGCATAAAAATAGCTTCCACAGGGAAAAAAGGTGCAAGTCCAACAGACACCCTTTCCAGTCACCTAGACATCACCTGGGTGTTGAAAACCACCTTGAGCCCAAATCCACCTGCACCATTGATTCTCTCGTGTCAGGTGCATCCACGGGGCTTATCAAAGCTCTGTTTTATTCTTTTAAAAATGACAAGTTACTATTTTGGGCAGGACAAATGTTCCCAGAGAACTTTTAAATCTGATGTTATAGTTTTATTTCTTAGTTCTAGGTACAGGGCTAGATGTTTGGCTGAAGCTGCGTGTGCCACAACACTGCAGGCCCCACACCACGCAGCCAGACGCCCCTCCCAGTCCTCCTTCGTCCTGACGTGGCTCCCAGTGGAATGAGATGGCTGGGGTCTCATGAGGGGCCAGCTGCGTGGGCCATCCATTCTCTACCATGGCATGCCGACAACAGGGGCACAGAGAAGTCCCCCTTTCAAACCAAGATTTGAGCTGAAGAGTCAGGTTCCTGGTCGCAGGGCTCCGTCATCTGCAGGAAAATTAGTGAAGAAGTGGAGGGCCTTGCAATGTGAAAGGGTGGGAGAGAGAAAGCCAGAGAGACTTCTGCAAAACAAGCTGCAGATAGGCATGGAGAAGAGCAAAGCCGCATACAGGCATAGTGGAAAAGTACGCTGACCTTCTCAGTGGCTCTAAAACAACAAGCGAAAGACAAAAAACCACCAGCATCCGTCTTCTTCCTTTCCAGCCAGACAACTCTCCCTGGCCCTAATGGGTTTCAGGCAGAGATGGTTTCCTGAGGGCAGCACCAGTCAGAATGGGTGGAGCAGGCCCCAGAGCTTCTAATGGTCCCAGCTGAGTCCCCCAAGGCTCAGCACGTGATCCTGCCGGTCGTACACACAGCCCCAGCTCGAGCACTGTGCGGCCACTCTCTCTCCAAGTACTCTCTGCCCGGGAGCCCACTTCATCCTGCTTCATCAGTCTCTGAAGCTGAGAGAACACCCTTGTTTGTTTCTGCAGACATTCCTTTGCTTCAGCACTCACCGCTCCCCAGACCACAAAGGTGTATGGACTTAGCAAAACCAGTCATAATGATTTTTCTATATCAAAACCAGCCCTAACAATTTTTATACAACTTTTAAATAAAAACAGTGGAAAATACAATAAATAAGTCCTCTAAATAAAGCTGTGGTATGAAGTTTAAATGCCCCAAGTCAGAAGTCAATTGGATGTCTCTGTCTGAGCTGAGAGCACATGACATACAACGAAACCACATGGACAGACACAACCCCGAATGCCAATTCCAGTGTCCTGTGCAGTGATGACCACACTGTTAGAAGCATTTTAACTCTTGTTTTTACAAACTTTCTTTTTACATATATGTTAGCGGTCAAAGAACTCTGTTTTTCTTGGTCCAAACCAGAGGAAATTTATTGTCCAAACCAGACCCACCCCAATGCATTTGCCTCTGATGTGAGAAAGAAACACTAGGGCTTCAACCAGATGAGGGGCGTTTAGGAAAACCCACAGCTGAAGTCACATTCAATGCGGAACACTGGGCACCTCCCCCTAAGGTCAGGAACAAGACGAGGGTGTCCGCTCTTATTCCTTTCAGCCTCGGCACTGATGGTCCTAGGGCAACTCTATGTTGACGCCTCTGAGGAACTGCCGGGCTGCAGTGAATCCAGGTGACCTCACAGAAACTTGTATGTGAGCATTCGCAGCGGCATCATTCACAGTGGCCAGGAGGTGGAAACAACCCCGATGTCCATCAACTGATGAACCAACCGATGAACACAGGGTGACCTGTCCATACAGTGGGGTCTCAGCCACAGAGGGAGCAAGGCCGTGAAACCTGCAGCGGGAGCAAGGCGGTGAAACCCGCAGAGGGAGCAAGGCCGTGAAACCCGCAGCGGGAGCAAGGCAGTGAAACCCTCAGAGGGAGCAAGGCCGTGAAACCCGCAGCGGGAGCGAGGCGCGGAAACAGGCCATGACACGGACGAGCCACACCATGGATGACCCCACGGACACGCCACCAAAGCACCATCATGCTGAGTGACAGAAGCCAGGCACCCAGACCATGCACCGTATGATTCCTTTCACGTGAAATTTCCAGAACAGGGAAATGCAGAGCGACAGAAAGCAGGTTAGAGGTTCCAGGGGCTGGGGGTTGGGGGAATGGGGAGAGACTACTTAACAGGCAGAGACTTGTTTTTGGGGTGGTGAAAATGTTCTAAACTGACTATGGCTGCACAACTCTGTGAACACACTAAAAACACTGGCTTGGACAACCTAAATGGTCGGATGCTGACTTAGGTCTCAATAAAGCTAAAAAATAAGGTGGCTCCTTCCAGCTTTGCGGGAACCTAACTGCTAGTCCCATGAACTTACCCTCCTAGGTGTTGCAACCTTGAATGTCTTTTAAGAGAGAGATTTGTGAGAGAGCCTAATCTTTTCTCTGCTTTTAATCTACTCTCCTTCACCAAATTGGACTAAAATCGACGTTGATGAATTACAATCTGAAAGTCTGTACCTTTCCCATACAGTCTAAGGGGAGTTACCAGCACATCCCTTGCTCTATCCTTGGATAGCAGAATCTGGTGTGATGTGCCTCGCTGGGAGGAGTGGGTCATTCCCTCGAGCATACAGGTGACACACTCACAGGGTCTCTCACATATCCTCAGAAGGTGATTTTTTTTTTTTAAGAGGCGAAGTCTTGCTCTGTTGCCCAGGCTAGCTGTGAACTCCTGGGCTCAAGCCATCCTCCTGCCTCAGCCTTCTGAGTAGCTGGGACTACAGGCATGCTCCACCACACCTGTCTAATTTTTAATGTATTAAGAAGTAATTTTAAAATATTAATGAAATTAACTTTTGTTGCTTTTCTTATCTAGTTAAATTTGGAGCCAACATTACCTGAATGTCACACGACCTAGATGAAATTATTCTAGGCACATGACCAGCAGCCCTGGAACACAAGGGACACGCACATGCTCCCACACCCACACACACATGCACCCTCACACACGCATATACCCTCATATATGCTTGCACACCCTCACACATGCATACACCCTCACACACATGCACCCACACATGCACCCTCACACACGCATATACACTCAGACATGCTCGCACACCCTCACACATGCATATACCCTGACATGCTCGCACACCCTCACACACGCATATACCCTGACATGCTCGCACACCCTCACACACGCATGCACCCACACAGGCACCCTCTCGCATATACTGTCACATATGCTTGCACACCCTCACACACGCACCCACACATGCATACACCCTCACGCGGGCTTGCACACCCTCACGCACGCATGCACCCACACATGCACCCTCACACACGCATATACCCTCAGACATGCTCGCACACCCTCACACACGCATATACCCTGACATGCTCGCACACCCTCACACGCATGCACCCACACAGGCACCCTCACACTCGCATATACAGTCACATATGCTTGCACACCCTCACACGCACCCACACATGCGTATACCCTCACGCGGGCTTGCACACCCTCACGCACGCATGCACCCACACATGCACCCTCACACACGCATATACCCTCACATATGCTTGCACACCCTCACGCATGCATGCATCCTCACACACATGCACCCACACATGCATACACCCTCACAAGGCTCACACACCGTCATGCACACATGCACCCTCACATGCTTGCACACCCTCACATGTGCATGCACCCTCACACATGCTCGCACACCCACACATGCTCGCACACCCTCACACATGCATGCACCCTCACACACGCATATGCCCTCACATATGCTTGCACACCCACACACGCATACACCCTCAAGGCTCGCACACCCTCACATGCACCCTCACACATGCTCGCACACCCTCACACATGCATGCATCCTCACACACGCGCACACCCTCACACACATGCACACACAGCCCTTGCACACCCCCCCAAAGGATGCACACACACATCCCTGTGCACACGTGCACTCATAGCTGCTGCTCTCGATGGGATAACTGAGGGCTACATATAATCACACGTGATACGCAAGCAAGTGCTAATCAGCATTTCGTCTGTAGCTGCTACTCCCCCAGTTTTAAAAGTAACATAAAATTTTACCCTCGGCCCCCAAATCTCCCTGCTAATCAGTATCTTCTCATCTTTTCTGGTCTTCAGAACCACCTTAAGAAATCAAGGAAGGGCTGGGCGGGGTGGCTCACGCCTGTAATCCCAGCACTTTGGGAGGCCGAGGTCGGGAAATCAAGACCATCCTGGCTAACAGGGTGAAACCCCGTCTCTACTAAAAATACAAAGAAATTAGCCGGGCGTGGTGGCGGGCACCTGTAGTCCCAGCTACTCAGGAGGCTGAGGCAGGAGAATGGCGTGAACCCGGGAGGTGGAGCTTGCAGTGAGCCGATTGCGCCACTGCACTCCAGCCTGGGGGACAGAGTAAGACTCTGTCTCAAGAAAAAAAAAAAAAAGAGAAATCAAGGAAGAATCCACTAAGGGTTACTCTAATGGTCTGACACCAGTGGGGCTGCTCCTAAGGACATGGGGCTGCCTGCTCTAACCTGTTCTCTGGCCCTGGAAGGTCAGTGTCCTGCTCTGCCTGGCTGAGGGGATGGCACGCGTGGGTGGGTGCTGTCAGGCTCTGCACAGCTGACTCCCTCCCAGTGAGAAATGTACTTGGAACACTGGGCTTAACTGTTTCTCACATTTTGCTTCAGAGTAGACAGGGCTGTGTCCCTCAGGCTACACACGAGGCGTGTGTGTGAGAAGGATTCTACCCACTGTGGACACATGTAACCATGAGCTTCAGCAAGGGGGACAACGCAGCATCCCCAAAGCAGCCCTCAGTGCGGCTGGGCTGTTCCGGTTAGATTTAGTTGTGAATCATCGCAATTCAGGCATTGTGGGAGGGTCACGAGGAACAAAGGACACCCTAGCCCCTTCCCTCTTGGTGTGAACGGGCCCCCCCATCCACCTCCTGGCTCCCCTGTGTGGTACCCACAGCACCTACTATGGGAGCGGCACCTGTGTTCATTTGTGGGCTCCACCCTGGCCCAGGGATGACCACTGCTGACCTGATGCTTTGCAGGGTCAGGCCCCGTTCGGAGAGATTGCCATGGTTCTGAGAAACGCATCATTTGGTGACTGGTCATCATGCAAACATCCTTGAGCGCACTCACACAACCTGGAGGATGTAGCTCACTGGATGCCCAGGCTACGTGGAGTAGCCCATTGCTCTGGGGCTACACACCCATACATCGTGTTACTGTGCTGAATACACTAGGCAACTGTGATACAATGGTGAGTATCTGTGTATCTAAATACTTCTAAACATAGATAAGGTGCAGAAAAAATAAAATCTTACGGGACTGCTGCATATGTGCTCCATCACTGACTGAAACGCTAAGTGGTGCGCGACCGTGCCCAACGGGAGGTGTTACGTGGCGCGCGACCGTGCTCAATATTAGAAGTAAGATGCCTTGGACACAGTAATATCCCTCTCATTTTACAGTATTTCTATCCCTCCTCAGTCTCTGCTACAGTTAATTAGATACAATTTTGTTTAATTATGTGAACCTTCTTGGGTCCCATGGCTGGCCCCACCCTGGCCTCTCCCTAAGGGCGTGGAGGTGGCCTGATCTCACTGCCTGCGTCAGGGACTCAGATTCAAAGACTGAACCTACATGGGTGTCTTGGGGAACAGAGACTTGGATTCCAGTGCTGGTGTCTCTTCCAACAAGAATACTTTCTTGAGGAGCACAGATGCAGTTCCAAGGACCTAGGCACCTCCTCATGGTGCCTTCCACCTGCAATTCCCGTCCTGGGCAGCAGAAGTTGCCCTGCCCCAAGTTCTGACAGCCCAAAACCCGGCAGGACCCTCCTAGTACAGGCGCCTCGACCCAACTGTGCCAGCACAACCATCCCAGCCCTCCTCGGATGCCCAGTTCGCCAGAGGAAGGGTCTCTCTGTTTCCCCACCTATTGCTCTTGAGTTTTTATGATGAAGGAAAAAGAAAGGAAACATGGGCCCCTAATTTCCCACACAGATGCAGGGCAGAGTTCACACGGCTTCTCAGGGGCCTGCATCTCAGAAGATGGGCAGCTCTCGGCCAGTCACCCTGGCCTGGGATGGCCGGGGTACAGCAAGTGACAGGCATGTGGGAGAGACAAGCCCACGAGATGGGCTTGCGGGGAAGTCAGGCGGGTGCAATCCCTACCGTTTCCCCACGTTCGTGAGGGAGGTGTGGACTTGCTGGGGCATCTGAACACAAGAGTGACCTGGGGGGTGAATGCAGACATGGGAAGAGTAGTGCTCATCCCAGCAGAGGCAGCAAGGTAGGCGTTGCCCAGCCCGGGGTTGCCTGACACTCTCTGGGGCAGAGAACCCAGTTCTAGGGGCTGCCCACGTGTCACTTCCACCCCAGATCTGGCTTCATGGCCTGGTTGTGATTCACCCTGTATTTATACAACACTACAGCAGTTACCAGAGAGCACAACTGTAATTGAAACAACCAGAAATAACCGTTGGCAGAAAAGCCCATATTTAGAGCAGACCTCCTTCAGCAATTCCCATGGCCAGCATTCAAGGCCAAATTTTGCCAACACATCAAACCAACCGTTTTCTTCTTTCTTTTTAAAGGAGATCACAGAAGGCCAACAAAGAGGCCTGGGGCACGTCAACGTGGTCCTCATCGGACTGGCCAATGGTTCCTTCCTAACTCAACCAAGGGCCACTGCGCCACCGCAGCTGTGGGACCGTATCTCTGGATGATAAGCTGAGTCCAACACAAACACAACAGTAAGCCTTTCTAGCAGAGGATGCTAGGCAGTTGCTCCTGGGGCTCCTCAAGGGGCCAGCATGAAATACCAATGGGCAAAACACCTTTTTCTTCTGAGTCTACCACGAGGACAGCTAACTCCAGATGTCTTCTCTTACCCGCTAACTGACACCACGTCAGGAGCCCACCAGGCCAGGCAGGTCACCCTGGCCCCACAGTCCTCCCTGCCTGGCGCACAGACCCTCTGGACAAAAACAGCTTCAAGCACGTCCCCTGGGAGTCCCCCGTCCGTCGTTGAGGCTGTTCTTTCATCTCCCAGATGAGACCCGACCTCTCCTTCCAGAGAGAAGGTCAAGCACCAAGCAGAACTCGATCAGTTTTTAAACACCTAGATAGAGGCTCAAAGGCAAATGAAATACTGCTGTCAGAAGAATTTTTAAACAGCTGGTTTGAAATACCATGTAGGATATGATTTATCTACCAAAGAGCTCATTCTCTTAAAGTGTACAATTCAGTGTTTTTTAGTATATTCAGTGTTGTGTAACCACCACCACCACCTAATTCTGGAACACTTCATCACCCCAAAAAGAAACCCCAAACCCATTAGTCACTCCCCATCCCAAGGATATGACTTTCAAGAGGTTCCCAGATTACTCCAGGGTCTATTCGTACAACTTACAAGCAAAAGTGAGCACAGATTCTTAATCTCTCCTTTTATTATAAGGGTCATGTATCATATACACCATTCTACCCCATGTTTTCTGCTTAATATCGTCAAGAGCCTGGATTTTAAAAAAGAAACGACCCAAGCCACCTTCTGGCCATTTCTAAGAAGCTGTCCTGTGCACCGGCAAACAATCCGGGCTCAGGTGGATGAACCCACCAGAGGCCAGAGGAGGGTGCTGAGGGCAAAGCCTCCTGGGATGGGCAAACTCTGGCAGGCCTGAGAGGGCTTCTGTGTACACTGCCTCTCGTCCAGAGTCTGTTCCCAGTGGGCACTCTGCAGTCCAAGGAGGTGTCCCTTTAGGCCTCTGACCTGTATAATGGGCCTGGTGTGCACAGGCCCATGATTCCACCCATGAGCGCCTGAGCACACAGCTGCTTCTCCACCTGTAAGTCCAGCTGTGGGGAGGAGGCATGGAAGCAGGCCCAGACACGGATCCTGGTCTGTCACCTGATGGCCACGTGGCTCTGAAAAGTCACACGGCCTCTCCAGGATTCAGTTCTGTCCTATATAAAAAAGGCAGCCACCCCTACCTCTGAGAGGAGGTATTGGAGACCATGGATTTGAGGAGTGGAGGGCAGGCGGGCAGCTGTTGGGGGCTTAGGAAGCCTACAGAGACAACGCCTCTGACTCCTCTGTGAGGCCCTGCAGCCCCTGGAACTCTTTCTTGGTCTCCAGGCAATCAACAAAATCACCATCCACGAGCAGGAAACAGAGCTCATTAAATCCCAGCCTGAAACAACAGATCCAGAACCTATTTGCCCAAATTCTCTGTGAAATGTGCAGGGTTTCTGCATCTCCCTCCACCTATAGCCCTGGGAACGACCCACCAGGGGCCAGACATTCTGGAGGCTCCATTAGACTCCTCTCATCCAACGGTAAAACAACTGTGGCAGGGCCAGCGTGTGAGAATTCACTGGCTCCGTAACACCAGGTGGATGAGTATTTTAACAGTAACAAAGGGTAAAGCAGAAGTTATTTTAATTTCAGAAGTGCCTGGCAATAGGCAGGAAGGTCAGTGAAGGCTTATTCAAGGGTTTCAGCAGCATATTCCAGGTAACTAGAAGATCCAGAGCTGATCACCTGTTAACCTCAAACCGGCCACCTCCCCAGGACCTGCAGGAGAAAATGTCGGGGCAGCAGCTGCCCAGATGCGTGGCCACAGCCCAGGCCTGGCAGAGCTACATGAGGCGATGCCTTTGTAAAATTCTCTTCTTTCTTTTTTTCCTCTGCTCTGTATGGTTCTTTGGGCTTTATCAACCTAGAGGAAAACGCCACTCAGATTGGGATGGAGTCATTACTCAAAACACTCTGAGTGCCGACCACAGCTCACCACCAGGAGCCCCCATGTGTGTCCCTGGGCAATGAGATGGAGAGACATAAATTTTCTGCCACAGATGATAGATTGCAGGCAGCTCAGACATATGAATTTCTACTGGTTCTTTTATCTGCTCACAAGAAATTTTCTTGAAAAATGTTTAAATCATTTAGGTTTTGGTCTATAAGAAAACCAAGTCTACAAGGGCATATGCCACAATTTAAATATATTTGTCAGACACCTAAGTGGGACCCTTGGACTTGGCCCAGCTGGGTTTTTGGTTCCTCGCCTGTAAAGAAGAAAGCTAGATTGGAGGACCTTTAAAACTCCTTCAATTTCAAATTCCTATGATTTTGATACAGCAGGAGACTCAATGTTTATTAACTAAATGTGCTTAGATGTATACGTGTGATAATGAGGGTAGCCAGAAAGAATCATGTGTTGGGAAAACTGTTTAGGTTAGAAAAGACTTGTTCCAAGATAGGGATTTATTTCCTAACGCTGACAAACCAGCCTCCAAAGCCAAATCTAAAATTGGTCAAAGGTGTCCAACTCCACCTTGATGATTCTGAACATCAAAAACGTGTACTTTCATGTTTTCAATGTACAAGAAGGTCAGCGTTAACCACAAGAAGTTTCCATTTGATCATTAAGGAGTCACTAAAAACCCTAGAAGGTGTTGGGGTCACAAGACCAGACTGCGCATTCTCTACGAGACATGATATGACAGTGACCCCTTCGTTCATTCCTGAGAAGCAAGAACATCAATGAACACTCTCCTTCGGTGGTCTCTGAGTCGTCCCTGAGGTGGGGTGCAGTGCAGGCAGAGGGGCCTTCTGGCCTCAGCTCCAGCTCAAGGGGGTCTTGTTTAGCTGCCACTTGGGAGCAGATCTGTTTTGGAGCCCTTAGGTGAGGCCTCAACTGAATGCCAACCCTAACTGAAGCCACTGCCCAGTGGGAGCCCAGGGGACGGGGGAGAGCAGGTGCCACGGCGGGAGCCCAGGGGACGGGGGAGAGCAGGTGCCACGGCGGGAGCCCAGGGGACGGGGGAGAGCAGGTGCCACGGCGGGAGCCCAGGGGATGGGGGAGAGCAGGTGCCACGGCGGGAGCCTGAAGCTCCACAATTGCCAAGGCAGCCCCAGGGACCTGTGTGGGGCTGTCATGACACATTGAAGGGTACACTGTACTTTCTGAACCTTACTGTGGTCCAGAACACCAAAGACAAGGAGGGAAGAATGATAAGAGTGAAAGAAAAGCACACCTGGCCTGGAGATGAGGGTCAACCAGTCCCAAATCTCCACTGTTCATTATCTCCTCCTCACAGTCCCCACGCTGTGGGCAGGGACCCTCCTGGCTCGCCGGCCGTGGGAGCTGGGCTGTCAGTCCTCCCCTCACTCCTGTGTGGAGGGCGGAGGAGAGGTGTCTGCAGGGGAGCTGCTTGGCAGCAACTTCTGGTGGATGAAGCACCAATGTGTCCAAGTCCTCCTGGCCCCTGCTGCCAACATGTCAACACATCACAGAAGACTGACATCTCAAGACAGAACTTGCTTCCTAGTTCAGAAAGGCCCCAAGCAGATGGTGGCTTAGGTCTCTGAGCTGTACTCTTTCTTAGGGTAATTTAACTCGGAGACCCACCTGAAGCCCAAGAGGCACAGCCCCTCCTCAGCACTGATGCCAGTATCACAGAAGGCTCGCTCCTGACCCTGACGTCCTCCCCACTCCAGGTCCTAGGAGCCTGTGGCCTGGGGTGTGGTCAGTACACAGGCGCTGGGAGAAGCAGCCAGGGGAGGAGGGTCGGCCTCACGCATGGCCTGGGGAAGGGTCCAGGAGCTCCCCAGAGACTCAACAAACTCCATCAGCAAGGGAAAATTCTTTCATGCTTTCTGAAAAAGTGTAATCCCTCACCCTTTGATTTGAAATTTCTAGCAAGACCATAGATATATCAGTTATAAACATGCCCCAAGGACATTTTGTAGAAATTTATACTTTTAGGTACAGAGCTGTTTTTTGGAGTCTGGCTTCAATGCAACAAAAATACAAAATGCTTTAATGGGTACAGAGTTTCAGTTTGGGAAGATTAAAACATTCTGGAGACAGATGATGGCGATGTTTGTACAATGTACCTAATGTACTTAATGCCCCTAAACTATATACCTAAAGATTGTCAAAATAGAACATTCTACATTACATATATTTTACCAGTATAAAAAGTAAGTCATTAATATTTGATACTGGTTAATGTCTTGGTGTTGACACTTTGCTCCACCCAGCATGTGGCTCCGAGTGGAACTGCTGAGGAGTGCTGGCAGGAAGTACTGGCAGGAAGGCGGGAATGCCCAGCATCCCTGCCACACACCATCATGAGGAGTAAACGGCTCCAACTCCAACAGCACCTCTCACCCCAACTCTGCCTGTGTGTGTCAAGTGCCACAAAAACAGTCGGGATTTCTGGAAGCCTGAGTACAGGTGGGATGTGCTGCACATGGTGACCTCCAGGCTGAATCATTTTCCAACAGGAGGGGATGGAAAGTACAGAGATATGGGGCAAAAACAGGAAAAGAAACTGCTGTGCAAGAGGAAATCCAAATCTTGCTTACGTTTCTGGAAAAGAAAAAAGTTCACAGTGGAAATTTTTATGTCTCTGGACTCCAAACTAATATAGGTATACAATTTCTACAACGAGCTACTTTTCATTAGTGTATATTGAACAGGGATCCTCCTGGCCACAGAAAACAACACGGCCTTAATGTGACAGCGCCACTCAATCCATCCTCGGTGCTGAGCACAAGCAAGCGAAATGTGAATTCATTAGTGTGAGGTGCGTGCCTGTCGCTACCTCTGCATCCTCTACGTAAATAAAGGTGCCAAATGGGCCCTAACTCATGGATACATGAACTAAATTTCAAACTTTAGCTGAGAACTTATTCACAATGTTTGACCTTTCTTGAAGCCTCAGTGTCATCATGTATAAAAGGAGGAAACTTATACAACTTGGTTTATTGTGAGAGTCACACGATAATTTTAGAAATCCTTGGTTAGCAGTAGAACATTACGTGTTTCTGAGAACATTCTAAATGTTCTCAGGCAGAGGTTCATAAACGTCAACGTGCATGAGCTATGGACATTCACCCCCCCGAGATCTTAGTTCCGTGGGGTAGGGGTGAGCTCTGGACTTTGCATATTTCATAATCCTGGCTCCAAAATACTAGTGCAGGAGGATCCTAGGCCACGTGGGGAATTATTTCTAAGGGTTCCTGAAGTAACAATGGTAACAGAGGTGAATTTTAGGAAGTAAAGGATGTGAACTAGGAAAGAGATGGACATAACTGAGGGGGGAAATGATACCCATGGGAACAGAGAAACCTGCGTGTGAGGTGTCAGCATGAGGAGACCAGGGGCTCAAGTGAGCCCCTCCGAGGGGATGGCTGTGCTGCAGCAGAGATATGACTAGAGACAACCCTCCTGGGCCGACTGCTAGAGAACAGCAGCGCCACTGTTGCGTCTCACTGTGTGGCTGGGGAATAAAACGGCAGGAGGAGGAGGGGACAGGAAACCAGCTCTGCCAGCCAGAGTCCCACCTTGGACGAATCACTTGAGCTCGAGATGATCATTGGCCTAATATGAAAAGAAAGCCCCAACCTGTGCCTCCACGCTTGGCCTCAGTTCCATCAAACTGCACCCACACAAATGTGTTAATCATCACACAAGCCACTCTGACATGACAGAAACAATGACATGGCCATTTTTACCACACAACACTCTGGCCAACTGACAGGTACAATCTGCTCACGGGCAGCATCCTTTTTGCTAGACTTGAACTCTGCAGACCTGCAGCTCCTCATCCACCGAGGCCAGGCTGACAGGAGCGTCCATGAATACAAAATGCCAGGTGCTTGGAGCAGGCGGGAATCCCTGTTCCCAGGGTGGGCAGCCATGTACCTGGCCCCCCTCGGTGCTATTCCGGCAGGAAAGCAGCCTCCCCCTGCACCTCAGGCCAGACCCTTGCCGGCCTTCACTGCAGCATTCAAGAGGGAAAATTCAAAGATCAGGAGTTCCTGTCCCACACAATAAGAGTCTTCAAAGATACATATATAT
This sequence comes from Homo sapiens, assembly GCF_000001405.40. Lineage (NCBI taxonomy): Eukaryota > Metazoa > Chordata > Mammalia > Primates > Hominidae > Homo > Homo sapiens. The sequence goes on from NC_000018.10 coordinate 80,195,557, forward strand.
ATATATATATATATATACACACATTTTTTTTTCTTTTTTTTTCTGACCAGGTGCGATGGCTCCATAATCTCAGCACTTTGGGAGGCTGAGGTGGACGGATCACCTGAGGTCAGGAGTTCCAGACTGGCCAAAATGGTGAAACCCTGTCTCTACTAAAAATACAAAAAAATCAGCCAGGCGTGGTGGCGCGTGCCTGTAGTCCCAGCTACTCAGGAGGCTGAGGCAGGAGAATCGCTTGAACCTGGGAGGTGGCCGTGTCAGTGAGCTGAGATGGCACCAGTGCACTCCAGCCTGGGCAACAGAGCGAGACTCCATCTCAAGAAAAAAAAAAGTAAACTTTTTTTTTTTAAAGTAAAAAAGAACCAATTCAAACGTTACTCTAGAGCCCTGCAAAAGAGTGGTCCCCTGGCAATATATATATTTTAGTTCAAAATACTCATACCTTTTAACCCAGCAAGAACATTTCTACCAGTTTCCCTTAAAGACAGAACCTGACAAGTATTTTAAAATATACAACATAGTTTATAATAAAATTGTAACAATTTAAATAACAATTAATAAGGACTTGGTTATACTTTGTTAGAGCTGTGTAACTGATATGTCCACCATTGATGTATGTCTACATACATCTACAAAAAGACAAAAAATATGGTGGTAGGTTAAAATAATTGCTATGCCATGTATATTATGACCCTGTTTGTGTAAAACTACGTCCAACTAACCACGTCTACAGTGAGAGGCCTGGAATGATTCTGCCAAAATGCAAAAGTCATTGCCTCGGGGTGGTGGGATTGCTTCCATGTCATCCAAATCTTGTTTTACAAATATGTTTTAAACAGAAGAGCTTTTTTAAAAACAACAAAGTTTTATGAAGAATTTAATGATGGATATGCTTATGATATGTTAGGTCTTTAAAGATAATCCAAATTATAAATACATTATGGGTTTAAATTTAAGAAAAGTAAGAAAATCACAGACTCCAAGCAATATAAACTCTCACCATTTACATACAAGGTGTTTTGCTGGGACTACAGGAGAATACAAGTTAGTCATCTGTTTCCCTCTCTGTTCCCATTGGCTCAATTGGAAGAGAATCAAGGCAGAGAGCAGGGCGGCTGCTCACAGCGCCTGCAGGGCTCGGCTTCATGTGGGCGCCCTGGAGGACAACCCTGGATTCTTCTGGAGGGGGGCCTCTGGCTCTGTTTCTTTTTGACAAGCTACATCAGCACATTTTCTCCTCCCTCAACACACTCCTACTCTAGCGTGAACGCGGCTGCAGGAATTTCATCTTCTCCACATTCCCACGGTGGAGTGGGAGACTTTTTTCTTTTATTAAAAAAAAAAAAAAAAAAAAAAAAAAAGAAAATCCTCCAAACACACAAACTTCCAGGAATCTGTGGCAATTAAAGCAGCAAACATGTCTCATGGAAAACCTCCTACCCCAGAGGGCAAAGCCCACGTTCTGTCTGTTCCCATAAGCACATGGACACAGTGAGGCTAATTCAGCAAAAATATACCTCTTCCCTGCCCCCAAGAAACAAAACCTCAAGCCCCTAGGCGGTGTCCGAGGAAAGAGACTACAATGGGGCGTGGAATGCAGAAATTGAATTCTGACGGCTTAACTGAGGGCTTCCTGATGAGCAGTGAACCCTCAATTTAAAAACCAAACATACCTCTAGCTATTTCCCTAAGAATCCAAGAAAAACAATTATAAGCAGGATTTCTATGCTTGATACTTGAAAATCCTGCCAGTGTCCATAACAAGATTCTCAATCATTCCATACCCCTTCCTTTTTCTAGTAACTCACTTAAGTGAAATCAGAGCAAAATACACCCCATCGGGCAAATTCTGATAAATCAAATAGTTTACAACTGTGTTCTCCTCATTCTAGGAACCCAAAAGAATGCCCAGAATGCCAAGAACAGTGAACAGCCATACGCAAACGGGCAATACTGATGTTAGCTTTAAAAGTAAGGAGTTCAGAGTGCTCTGTGCTGAACATCTTTCGGTGTAATTAAGCCTTCATATTCCTGAGGAGGAGCTACTAAGACACCCTACCAAGTCCTGGGCTGTGCCTGGAGGTGAGTAACCACACTGCAGGGTATGCTAGCATTTGCAGAGTTTATTTGATGGATAAGCAGGGAAAAGTTACTGTTTGCACTTCCTGTTTATCCTGCTAAAAATAGAGATGCTCCAAGTATCAACTTGGTTGTGCATTCTCTGGCAAGGGCCAGCTTCCCAAAACATTCCTGCACCCTTGGGGAGGCAGGGGAACAGAGAAGCGGGTCCTTAACACTTAACACATTCTGTATTTACAACCTAAATACGCAGACTCAAGTCCAGACCCTCTCATCGTGGCCAATCCATTCTGGTAACTGCTGTTCTTCTCACTTAAATGGGCACAGCGATACAGAGAAGGGCAAAGACAGCTGTCATGTGTCCAAGGGAAAAGCCCATGGCTTTTCACAGTCCCTGGCCAGATGCAGCAGAAGCCTAGCAAATAAAGAAGAAAGGCAGTGAAGGCCTAAGGCTGGGTCCTTTTGCCCCCAAATGCCATGTAGTCGTTGAGAGAACGTCCGGAGAGAACGTCCGGATCATCCCAGGAGAATGAAAAACAAGTCATTCCTGGCCTGTCGTCTGAGCCTCAAATGCAGCCTCTCTGCAAGTGGGGCTCTTAACCTGGTATAAGCCGAGAGCCCTTTAGCAATCTGATGATGCTAGGGAACACCTTTCTCAAAATAACGTTCCTAAAGGCATAAAATAAAGCACAGGGGATTATAGAGGAAATTATTTTGAAGACAATTATCAGAATAGTAAAACAAATGTGTGACAGATTACTTTTCTTATTCATGCATTAAATAACAATATGTACCGTTGTTTTTAAATAATGATTACTGTAAATGATATTTAGGATATTGGAATGCAACTACCACAGGATATGAAAATATCTCATTTTTATTGGTAACAAAGTGACAGGCCCAGCTAGTCCCATTGGGCTGTGCTGAGTGCCTTCCCAGTGAGGACAGGGAGACAGCTGGGGATGCCACACTCCTGTGCCCACCTGGGGCACTCACCAGGCTTGGAGCCCTCTCAGAGAAGCACAGGAAGTTTCCTATTACCAGGGGAAGAGAGGATTTTTTTTTAAAGTTTTGAACAAATATGTTTATTAAAAAGTCAAAGTATTCACATATGGAGAATGGCTGAATTTTGGAAATAAAGGCTGGAGATAAACCCAGAAAACCTTACCCAGGGCCATGGCTCAGATCCAGGGGTCTGATCATCAGCCTGTCCGCCCTGGTAAGGTAGACAGTCCTTTCTATTTTTAACAGCTTTATTCCGAAATAATTCACATAAACTTCACCCATTTAAAGTGTAGAATTCAATGGTTGTTGGTATTTATGCAAATCTCTAGTTCTAGAACATTTCTATCACTCCAGAAAGAAACCCCCTCCCTCCCAATTCTCCCCACCTCTCAGCCCCTGGCAACCATGAGTCTATGGATTTGCCCATTCTGGACTTTTCACATTACAGAGGATTCTTGTCACGTGTAGTAGTTTGTTCTCTAAAGTTGACATGGTCACTGAATTACTGAGCATAGAACCATTGCTTCCGGGGGACACAGGGTTAGGTTCCTGTTAGCCTCTGGTCACAACATTTCATCAATACACAGTCCTTGAATAATGAGAATCAACTTCCAAAGTCATCATACAATATGGGAACTTTTATGTCCGGCTTCTCTCACTCTTAAACATACGGTTTCTGAGGTTCATCCATCTGTAGCATGTGTCAGCGCATCATTTTTCATGGCTCGATAACATTCCACTGCATGACTAGACACACACGCACATGCGCACACTTTTTTATCCATTTATCAGCTGATGGACGCGTGGGCTGTTCTCGCCTTATGGATATTGTGAATAATGTTACTATGAACATTCGTGTACTTTTTGTGTGGGTGCATTTTTCCATGTGCTAGTATTTTGCTGAAGGGTTTTTACATCTACATTCATAAAGGAATGCTGTTCTGTAGTTTATCACTGTGTCTTTGTATGGTTTGGAGGAAGAGATTATTTTAAGCAACAGATTAATTTTTCTTTTTTTCTGAGACGGAGTTTCGCTCTGTCACCCAGGCTGGAGGGCAGTGGTGCAATCTTGGCTCACTGCAACCTCTGCCTCCTGGGTTCAAGCGATTTCTCCTGCCTCAGCCTCACGAGTAGCTGGGACTACAGGCACATGCCACTACACCTGGATGATTTATATATTTTTTAGTAGAGATAGGGTTTCACCATGTTGGCCAGGCTTGTCTCGAACTCCTGACCTCAAGTGATCCACCCGCCTCGGCCTCCCAAAGTGCTGGGATTACAGGCGTGAGCCACCATGCCTGGCTGAGCAACAGATTAATTTTTTAAAACATAATTGTGGGTTTATTCCAACATGTATTAGGAGAATGCTGACTTTTCCTCTGTGATAGTAAATTCCCTCTTAACATATATTTAAATAAAATACGTCCGTGTACAGAAAGTTATTAAGTAAATGACACAGTGGGTACGGCTGCAGTAGAATCTTGAAAATAGCATGACCGTGACTGACCCCTCGACACCCCTGCTGCAGTAAAAAGGCTGTGGGATTGAGTGTTGCCTCTCAGGGGCCTCAGCTCTGCCCCAAACGCAAACACACAGATTATGAAACATCAGCACAGATTACTATGCAGGGAGGGTGCCTGACTGTGCACCGGAAACAACTGCCCCTGACTGCCACCTGGAATGTCGTCATCTTTACAGTCAAATCCACTGAGGACAGCGAGAGGCAGCTCTGATTTTCCCAAAGACAGGACCGAGGGGCCAGTGAAGGGCTTGTCATCAGCAGATGTCGCTGTTAAGCTCTGACAACAACCCCAGAGACAGGCACTACCACCCGTGCCACAGATGAGGACGGTAGAGCTCTGCGGGATGAGGCGTGTGTTTGTGTCACAAAGCCAGGGAGAAGGTGGGGTCTGAGTTCAGGTCTCCCTAGCTCCACACTGTAACATGACAGAGGAAGGCAGGGGCTGCTGGCGACACGCTCACGCTATAACCACGAGAGACTGAGAAACCCTGAGCCAGCTAGTTAAACTGGGCTACTACTCTGAGGGCAGAGGAAGAAGGAAAAATAAATGATGAAGACTGAACACAGGGCCCCAGCCAGCAAGCTGGAAAGAGGCAGAGTGTCCGAGCTGCTGCTGGAGGTTAGCACGTTCCCATGGGCAACACACAAGCCCACTTTCTGGTCCCAGCCCAGCTTTGATGCATCCCCAGTAGAGGGTGCCAAGACGCCTGGGGCCCACCTCCAAAGGGCACAGTGCCTTCTGCTGGCCTTCACCCCAGCTCCACAGTCAGCGGGACAAAAAGACTTGTTTCCTGCACGATGGGCAACAAAGCCTGTGCGCACATCTGCAGTTTACACACCTTCTTCACACCATTGCTCACCCCACACCATGTGAGCAAATGCTGTGACCTGGGATGGCAGGGGCACAGCCAGGAACACACCCCCACCCTACGCTCCTGGTCGGGTGGAGACAGACGGCAAACCAGCTCTGGGAGCAATGGACAGAGCCCAGAGGAAGCCGAGTAAGAGGACAGAGGACGACAGGCAGAGGGGAACACGGGCTCATCAGATCAAGCAGCTGAGACCAGGCCTTCCTGAGAAGGCAGCCTGTGAACAGATACAGACACCCAGGCAATGTGAAGGGGTAGAGAGTTCCAGGGCAGGGGGCAGGGGGCACAGGCCTCCATTCCAGGACCAGCCAAGCAGCAAGCAGCCACTGCAGAGGGCAGCATACAGAGGACCGAGGTGTGGCACGCTGGAGGCTGTGCAGAGCCATGCAGAGACAGCGAGGGTCCTTGCCCCCAGCAACCCCGAAGGACTGATGTGGAAGCTGAAGCTCAGCCCGTCCCCCAGGCCACTGTGAGGAAGTGACAGCTGTGTTGACTTCTCAGCACCGTCAGCAGGATACCCAGGCCCAGTGAGAACTGCAGATGCAGAGTGTTCTGATCTTGTGCCAGAGAATCTGTCTGAAGTGAGGTCAACGAGTCTCCTGCCGTTCCCTTCATCACCACAAATGGGAATAACAGCCATAGCTAGTATTTACAGAGCAGGGACGAGGAGCTGGCAGCACGCTGCTCAGCATCACCCTCACAGAAACTGGATGGGGGTTACTATGAGGACCCTCGTTTTGCAAAGCAGGACGCTGGGGTGAAGGAGGCGGAGGGCCTCGTCTGAGAACTCGCCCAGCCCGCCTCCCACCCAGCACCCTGCTGCTGCTTCCTCTAGTCTCAGCTCAGCCTTTCCTCCGGGAAACCTCTCCTAGCTGTCCCAGAGACTCTGGCAGCAGATCCATGAGGGCAGACAGGGCACACTGCAACCTCACCTTGCAACTGTCACCACTGGCTGCTTGGTTCCTTGAGGTGGTCAGTGTTCACCACCTGCACCGTGGGGCCGCCCAAAGGAGAGGCAGTCAGTTATAAAAATGCCATTTTCCCAATATCAAGCCTCACCTGCAGGTGCTTCTTTCTTTCAGCATATTATTTTGAAACAACAAGGTTCTCCGAAGTTTGGAGATGGAAAAAAAATCTAAATGCAGTCCAGAGACGTGAGCAGTATGAGGTCCCACAATAAGTCAGCAGTAGGGCACCCCTTCCCTTTCAGCCATTAACCTATGTTAGTAATTTATTTTAACATAAAATGATATTATTACTTATAGCGAAACTGGGCCTCAGAGCTAAAAGTTAACCAAAGTTATCATCGAAAGCTAACATGCTCCCTCCTCCTAACAAGATGATGGAGGGCATGCACCGTAACCCCAAGTTTCATTCTGAGGCCACTGACTCAAGCCTCCTTATCACTGAGTCATTTCACTTCTAGTTAAATGACTGGAAGTATCAATATTATTCTTTCTTCAGTATTTAAAAGTCAGAAGTCAATATCATTTAAAGTAGAAAACACAGTTTAGTATTTTGTCTATTAATGCTGATGAAACAATTTTTAATTTCTTTAATCTCCTACTACAGGTTAGAAAACGAACCACATAGTCCTGTAATGACAGAAAAAATTGAAAACTGTATTTTAAAAATGATTTCTCAACAAGACCAGCCGGCCACTCAACCACTTCAGTACCTCGTTTCTGGATGAAGACCCTGAGCAGGGGATTTGCACTAGAAACCGCCTTGCAGAAGTTGTCATCATTGTTGATGGGCAGCAGGTCTCCGTGCACATCTGCATAGCCAATAGTTACATCACTGTTGGAGATATGGTGGGTGTGCACAACCAGCTTGTAGAAATCTTCAAACTTCCCAGGCTTATGACGGTCCAGAGAGAACCTTCGGAATTCCGCCCCAAACTACAATGCAAGAGACGGGGTGGGGGGAGGGGCATTAATAAATACCAGAGAAATATCCAGAAATAAGGTGTGGTTAGTGTACTTAACAAACAAGTATTTACATTCCACATTTTCTTTAATCAATCATCCACTGATAGACACATAAGTTGATTTCATCTTTGCTATTATGAATAGTGCTGGAATGAAGCTACAAATGCTTTTAATACGATTTCTCTTCCTTTGGGTAGAAACACAATAGTAAGACTGCTGGATCCAATGGTAACTCTATTTTCAGTTCTCTGAGATATCTCATACTGTTTGCTACAGAGGCTGATGAATTTAAAATGTTGTATTAAGAAAATAAAAGGACAAGTATTTATTAATTCTCCACAAGGGCCTGGGGAGATAGTGACAAACAGCTCAGTTCTCACAGAGCTCACAGTGACTAAATAAGAAATTATAATACAGGAAGAGGGACCCTAAACAATTAAAAGCAGTAGTGACTCAGGCAGCAGCTCGCTCATCCACAGAGACCCAGGACGGCCCTCTCGTCCACACTGACCGAGGGACAGCTCAGTCATCAACACAGATGAATATCCTGAGGACAGGATAGGACGGGCTGTGTAGCTCATGTTGTAGGAAAAAGCAACGTCAAAATTAATGTTAATTTTTTGGGTGGCATGAAAGGAGAATCCTTCCTCAGCAAGGTCCCTTGCCTCATCTGTGGTTGCTGAAGGGACATCTGCACAGCTTGGGGCAGGGCTTAGGAAACTCAGAGGCAGGAGAGGACGCAAGGCCGGATGAAACCTCGGGACTGTTTCCAAAGGCAAAAGACCATTAAGACCTTACGGGTCTTAATTTTAAGCTAGGAAGTGTCTTCATTTGATTTGTACTTTAGTAATGGTTACATTTCAAAAGGATCAGAAGTAGACATGAAATTGCAAGAATAAAGGAACCTGGTTAAAATCATACAAGTCCAAGGGAGACAGGATGATGGTCTGGTCTTTTTCCTAAAGGCGACATGTACACCCGCCTCAGGAGCTGTCATTAGGTGGTCCAGGTTTGGGAAACATCTAGGGACTAACCTCTTTTCCAGCAGACCCCAACCCTGGCTCAGATGCCCATGAGCTGCCCGCAGAGCTCCAGGATACCCTCCAAGAGAGGACCCCAGGGGGACATGAGGTTAGGGTCATGCCCAAGGGTTCCGGCTCCTGTCATTCCTCACTCGGCAATTCGGGATCTTTATTCATCAGGTGGTACATATACAGTTGAAAACTAATTAGATTGGTTCCAAAATATATACAAATAAAGTAATGTTTATGGAAAACTAGTCATTATATCATCTAGACATTGTATGAATGAGTCAGGGAAGGTCATCTAAGATCAGACGTGTTTGTGCCAGGATCACCTGGAGGCCCCCCAGAGTTCTGGATTTGACTGTGCTGAGGTACAGCCTAAGAATCTGCATTTTAACAAGTTCCTGAAAGAGCTGATGCTATTGATCTGGGGACCACACACAGAGAACCACTGGTTTTATGGGAATCAGCCACTAGACCTTAACCTCCACAGATTCTTTGTGAAACTGAATTGCTCAAGAACAAATCTCCTTTTCTACCTCCCTTTCAAAAAGCACTTCCCCCAGGTTACCAAAAGCAAAACAAACCTCTCATCCATTGTGCACTGCCCTCAGCAATTAAAAAAAAAAAAAAAATCTCCAGGGCCTACAACAATGGGACAATTCAAAATACTGGCTTGGGGCAGGCATGGTGGCTCACGCCTGTAATCCCAGCAGTTTGGGAGGCCAAGGCGGGCAGATTACTTGAGGTCAGGAGTTCAAGACCAGCCTGGCCAACATGGTGAAACCCCATCTCTACTAAAAGTACCAAAAAATGAGCCAGGCATGGTGGCACACACCAGTAATCCCAGCAATCTCAGGAGTCTGAGGCAGGAGAATCCCTTGAACCTGGGAGGTGGAGGTTGCAGTGAGCCAAGATCATGCCACCGCACTCCAGCCTGGGCAAAAGAGTGAGACTCAGTCTTAATAATAATAATAATAATAACAATAGTTTGGGAAAAGCCACTTTCAATGACTAATCAAAGCCCCTCTAACCTACGGTCTACATACTCAGTAAGGGAAGAAGTGGGACCCCAGAACTTGGTATTTGGACAGTTACATGCTCTGAACACGGCTGCACCCTGGAAGGGGCAGAGGAAAGGGCTCTCCTCTATCTCCTGCTATTGTCAGAAGTGCAGAGCAGAGCAAACCCTTGAAATCTCTCCCCGTTATTCAAGGGGAAACGTTCACCCAAGGATGACACTGGTACAGCATGTAGGCGATGCAGATTCTTTCACACACAGGGGCTCCAAAACTTTAAGACACACATGTAAAGCCTACAACATCAGTTTTATGCGGTATCTTTCAGATCACAAAGCATTTATTTCACTAACATCAATCCTTGTCTTTCCCATCTCACATAGCTCATATATACTCACACGGTTTGCATCTGTGTCCCCACCCAGGTCTCATGGTGAATTGTAATCCCCAGTGTTGGAGGAGGGGCCTGGTGGGAGGTGACTGGATCATGAGGGCAGAGCTCTTATGAATGGTTAAGCCCAACTCCAGGTGCTGTTCTTGTGATGGTGAGTGAGTGAGTGATCACGAGATCTGGTTGTTTTAAAAGTGTGTAGCACCTTCCCCCTCTTTTAGTCCTGCTCCTGCCATGTAGGATGCCTACTCCCATCTTGCCTTCTGCCATGAGTAAAAGCTCCCTGAGGCCGTCCCAGGAGCAGATGGTCACCATGCTTCCTGTGCAGCCTGTGGAACCGTGAGCCAATTAAGTCTCTTTTCTTTATAAACCACCCAGTCTGTAGTCTTTCTTTACAGCTATGTGAGAATGGACTAATACATATACCAACTTCCAAAGCAATTTCCTTGTATCACTATATGGCTTTCGTTTAACTGAATACATAAGATAATTTAATCATGTCTAATGCAACTAGTAAGAGTGTTTTTGAATTTTATATAATTCTCACTTCAGTATCACCGCAAAGGGATACAGCTCACTTTCACCTCAGGAACGCCAGGCCTCCCTGAAACAGCATAGGCTAAATGTTAGTTCTACAATGTTTCAGTCTTAACTTTATTTAGCAACTAACCTAAAACACATCTCAGTTTCTCAGTACGTTCAATAATTTTCTCAAAATATGTCTTAGCATGTTAACTTGAAATGAAAAATAAATTCAGACTGTTTCCTGAGAGAAAACAAGGTTGATTTGTGTTTAATGATGAGGCTGACTTTGCCAACCCAGCTATATGGTAAACATGCTTCATATGTTGAATGAGCTCCAAAGTTTTGACAAAAAGAGATGTGAAATGTGACATGACAAAAGCATTGTATTTAAAAATCATATTGGTATTGGGTACTAAATATTTTTATTTCCCCATGATATCAGATTAAACAAGAGTCCTCTAAATGAAGGAATTAGCAGGTATAATTCATTGTCACATACTTCTTGGTAAAGTCCTTCCAGTATACTTACCAGAAACTGAAACAGTGAATGGCTCTAATGACCAGGCAATAAACCTTGCAAGTCAAGTAGTTTCCAATTACTTGCTTTTGACAAAATATAAAGTTGTCCTAACTGAACTGTCAGCTAATTATCAAAATAATTTTGAGAGACCACCCTATTATTTTTGTCACACAACCTGTTGAGAGTTCAAAGAACTGAGCTGTGCTTAGGGGCCTTCACTCTCATCTACCTGAGTGTGCAAATGAAGCTTCACAGTGTTGACACCCAACAATAAAAATTGCAAAACAATTAGTGCCAGCCTACCTCATTTATCAATAAATACTTAACAGTAAATGAAAGATTCTTCAAATGTTTATTTGGATGGCTAGTGATTATCAATAAATACTTAACAGTAAATGAAAGATTCTTCAGATGTTTATTTGGATGGCTAGTGATTATCAATAAATACTTAACGTAAATGAAAGATTCTTCAGATGTTTACTTGGATGGCTAGTGATTATCAATAAATACTTAACAGTAAATGAAAGATTCTTCAGATGTTTATTTGGATGGCTAGTGATTATCAATAAAGACTTAACAGTAAATGAAAGATTCTTCCGATGTTTATTTGGATGGCTAGTGATTATCAATAAATACTTAACAGTAAATGAAAGATTCTTCCGATGTTTATTTGGATGGCTAGTGATTATCAATAAATACTTAACAGTAAATGAAAGATTCTTCCGATGTTTACTTGGATGGCTAGTGATTATCAATAAATACTTAACAGTAAATGAAAGATTCTTCAGATGTTTATTTGGATGGCTAGTGATTATCAATAAATACTTAACAGTAAATGAAAGATTCTTCCGATGTTTATTTGGATGGCTAGTGATTATCAATAAATACTTAACAGTAAATGAAAGATTCTTCCGATGTTTATTTGGATGGCTAGTGATTATCAATAAATACTTAACAGTAAATGAAAGATTCTTCCGAAGTTTATTTGGATGGCTAGTGATTATCAATAAATACTTAATGTAAACGAAAGATTCTTCAGATGTTTACTTGGATGGCTAGTGATTATCAAATTGCACAACTATGTTCCAATCACCATTTGATAATACTTGTTAATAACTCAATCTAGAAATTTACTATAACAATCTATTTCATTTATAATTGTGGTAAAACACACATAAAATTTACCATATTAGCTCTTTTTAAGTGTACAGTTCAGGAGTGTACATTCACACTGTTATGCACCCACTCTCTAGATTGCTTTTCATCTTGCAAGCTAGAACCCTATACTAGTAAACAACTTAAAAATATTTTTAACAAATAGAGCCCCAGGACCACAAGAGAAAAATATTTGAACTTCAATTTATACATATTTTTTGTTGCAGAGAAGAGTAACAGGGGTAACGAAGCATAAGTTATTAGAATAAAATATTAGGACAAAAATCTCTTGAGGGAGTAATGGGAAGAAGAAATCAAAGAGAAAAAGAAACCATGTATAATTTCTGATTAGAAAAGAGCTCTTCAGAGTCAGAAAAGTGGCAAAAATAAGAGTCTGTTTATCCTATTTTAAAATGCATGATAGTGGTATCAAATCACTGCAGCATTTAGATTTCACTGTATCAAATCACTGCAGCATTTAGATTTCACTGTATCAAATCACTGCAGCATTTAGATTTCACTGTATCAAATCACTGCAGCATTTAGATTTCACTGGCTGTATTTAGAAGATCATGCACCAAAAACTTTATTTGTAATGGAATATTTACAGCATGCTGTAAATTACATCCTTTGCAAACTATTTATATTTACTAAAAAAAATTCAGGTACCAACTTAAAAATATATCATCCCCTTTTATAGTGGTAGTTTTTCAAAATTCTTTCAGGCTTCATGTGACATTTGAAGACCACAACATCAGAGTTCAGGGATCACTATGAAAATGCCTAAACCACCATTAAAGGTTAGCAGGAGACTTGGCACTCCCTAATATTTTCATTGTTTTTCATGTGGGTGTTTGTTCGTATAGCAGGACTTACAACAGGACGGCTGCTTCAACATCTGCTGGGCTTCATTCATTCACCTACTATCCCGCACATAAAATGCCTCAAAGGGAGCCATCCTATCCCGGGAGGTCATCTCCTCACTCCAAACCAGTGACCAATTTCAATGAAAGATCAATACTCAAGCCAGGCATGGTGGTATACACCTGTAGTCCCAGCTACTTGGAGGCTGAGGCAGGAGGATCACTTGAGCCCAGGAGTTCCAGGTCAGCCTGGGCAACATAGCAAGACCTTGTTTATGTTAAAAAAAAAAATCAAATTTCCTAAAAAAGATTGCATTGCTGTGCCTGGCCTAGGTTAGTAGCAAGTTAATAGATAACCCCATCAAAAAGTCCACATTGGCCAGCGATGGCTGATGTCTGTAATCTCAGCACTTTGGGAGGCCAAGGGAGAGTCCGAGACCAGTCTGGCCAACATAGTGAAACCCCATCTCTACTAAAAATACAGAAAAACTTAGGCAGGCGTGGTGGCACACGCTTGTAGTCCCAGCTACTTGGGAGGGTGCTCCAGGAGAACTGCTTGAACATAGGAGGCAGAGGGTGCAGTGAGCCAAGATTGCACCACTGCACTCCAGCTTGAGTAACAGAGTGAGACTCCATCTCGAAAAAAGAAAACAAACAAACAAACAAAAAAAAAAAACACACCTTTCCCTCACCAGTACCCTGACACTATGAGCTGTATCATTTCCCCTTAAAAGGACCCATGGTTCCGAGGCAAAATGGCTAATTCCAGGTATATGGCAAGAAATGTATGTAAGCCTATGAATCCCATGTTTATTTTTAAAGAATAAGATTATTTGTTATTGGGAAATACACAGGTGTGCAAATTCTTATTCTTCAATGCTTCTAGCTAAATGAACCCTCATTCATTATTTAGATAATGATTATTCTATTTTGTAGTTGACCCCAACTATTATTCCTACAACAGGATAGTAAAAAACGGGGTTGGGGGAGATTTCATCTTTTAAAATTATTAAAAATTATCTCAAATACAAAATACCAAGATCAATAAGCAAAAGCGTATCAGCATCTGGCTAGGTGTGGTGGCTCACACCTGTAATCCCAGGACTTTGGGAGGCCAAGGCAGGTGGATCGTTTGACTCTAGGAGTTTGATACCAGCCTGGGCAACATGGGGAAACCATGTCTCTACAGAAAAGTACAAAAATTAGCCAGGCGTGGTGGCACACGCCTGTAGTCTCAATCACTTGGCAGGCAGAGGCAGGAGGATCGTTTGAACCTGGGATGTGGAGTCTGCAGTGAAGTGAGACTGCACCATTGCACTCCAGCCTAGATGACAGAGTAAGACCCTGTCTCAAAAAATACAAAGTGTATCAAAAGCTTCTAAATGCAAATCATTTTTATTTTCTTTAAAATGTATTCAATGATAACATCATTATACTATAAATAGAAAATAAGAAATGTCCATCTATCACCTATATCATATCAATCTCTATTAATCATATCTATCTATTCCCCCAACTCTAACTTCTTATCATAATTTTGACCCTTTTCCTTCCAGAAGAAGGGATAGAGCTCGAGAAGTGCTTGTTGAATGAATAATACCTTGGAGCCAGTTGCGATAAAAGTAATGTTCCATACAGCTCTTGGTCAATAAGCAAGGAGACAAAAAGATGATGGAAACCCAAGACAGCTAGGAGCCTGGGAAGCACGACAGGAAAGATGACAGGACAGTGCTGTTTTAAGTTAATCTCCAAGCACTTCCAGAATGGAAGACTAGGACCTGCAAATCTCTGCTTATCCATTAAAGACAGAATACTGGGAAAAACTGTCAAAACCAACTTTTAGAGAACCGTGGAAATTAATCAATGGCTTGCAACAATGCAAGGAGTGTTTATTCTAGAAAAGCAGCTGAATCTCAGTAAGAGCAGCAAGCTTTGCGGTGCTTTCACTTCCTATCCACCTCTCAACTGTGAAATCCAGCAGCCTCACAGCCTGGGAGGGAGCAGAACCAGTCTGGAAGTTCCCCAAAGCCCACACTCAGGACTGTCATCGTCAGACCTGTCTTGCAGCTCCAGGAAAAGCCCTTCTCATAGGGTCAAGTTCAGTGGGAAAAGCCTTGTCCCCAGGGCATTTGCTGAACACAATCAGCATCAGCTGTTTAACATTTAAAGCTAATATGATCAAAGTTTAAAAAAAAGTTTTTTTCCATGGGCCAAGTTTATTTTGTTAGTAGGACCAAAATAGGTTATCTACAAAGGGAACGACTAATTATAAACAAATAATTATTGCATACTCCCTGCCAATTTTACATCTCTTGCCAGATACAAAGCATTTACTTTAATGAACTTACAACGAGTTACTTGCCTAAAACCACGGAAAGTGGGGATATTTTCAAAGCAGCTGCTTATGTGATATGACTGGCAAAACCTCCCCACCCCCCATCCCCAAACACACGTCACTAGTCATTCCTTTGAGTCAATACATTGAAGGCCTCTGTTAAAATATGATCTGCTGACAGACAAATGGAACTATTCACATTTAGTTCAAACTAGTTGATTGAGTTTCTTAGTCACTTAGTAAAAGGTCCTTTGTGAAAGGGACCCAGTAGCATTTTTTTCTTTTTTTTTGAAAAGCCATCTGTATTTTTAGGTTTGCTTTTAAGTGAAAATTTTACAACATGCTTGAAATTAGATCCTCTGCAGCTATTTATATTTCTTATGATAAAAATTAGATGCCAATTTAAAAATATATTATCTCCTTTACACTTGTTCTTAAAATTCTTTTAGAGGATATGTGATACTTGAAGATTGCTGCACTATGGTATAGAGATCACTGTGAAAGTGCCTGAGGAATAGTTACCATTGGGGCAAACAGGAATTGGACAAACACATTTAAAAGACAATGCTGGGACGCATACCCATTAGGATGGCTACTATCGAAAAAGCAAAATAGTAAGTGTTGGCAAAGATGTGGAGAAATTGGAATCCTTGTGCACGACTGGTGATAACGTAAAGCAGTGCAGCTGCTGTGAAAAACAATATGGCAGTTCCTTAAAAACATTACAAATAGAATTACCATATGATCCAGCATTCTACCTCTGGGTATATAACTAAAATAACCGAAGGTGGAATCTGGAGGAGATATTTGTATATCCATGTCCATAGCAGCATCATTCACAATAGCTAGAATGTAAAAACCTAAGTATCCATCAATGGATGAATAGGCAAAAGGTGACACATACATACAATGGAATATTATTCCATCTTCAAAAGGAAGGAAATTCTGATGTGCTACAACATGGACGAACCTTGAGGACATTATGCTGAGTGAAATAAGCTGGTCAGAGAAGGACAATACTGTATGATTCCACTTATATGAGGTAAATAGAGTACTCGAAATTTTATCACAGAGACAGAAAGTAGTATGGTTGGTGCCAGGGCCTTGAGGGAGGAGGAATGAGGAGTTTGAATGCAGAGTTTGAGTTTTACAAGATGAAAAGAGTTCTGGAAATGGGTGATGGCTGCGTAACAATATGAATATACAGCAGGTCCTCAAATAATGTTTCATTCAATGTTATTTCACTACAATACTGATAAAAAAAAATCGATTCCCAGCCAGGGCCACACTGTCTGTGTGGAGTCTGCATGTTCTCCTCACATTTACATATTCTCCAGTTACTCCAGTTTCCTCCCACGTCCCAAAGATGTGCACATTAGGTTAACTGATGAGTCTAAATTGTCCAAGTCCTTGTGGGTGTGTATGTGAGTGTAACCTGTGATGGAATGGTGTCCTGCCCATGGTTGGTTCCTGCCTTGTTCCCTGAGCTGCTGGGATAGGTCCTAGTCACTCATAACCATGAACTGGAATAAACAGGTTGGAAAATAAGTGAATGAATAAATACAAATTATTGTAAAATAAAAATCTGTAATCACACAAATACGTGGCAAGAAATGACTGCGATAAATGCTGCAGTATGAAAGTGCCGGCCATATTTGTTATTGTTTGCTTTTGAACTGCATGGTGGTGGGAGGTGCTCATTACAATTTTCACTTTGCAAACAGTTATTCCTTGATTTAATCCACCACCGCTACAACCGCTGTCAGTCACTGATTCACCAAAAATTGGGTAAATAATTATCTTGTTTTGGCCGGGTGTGGTGGCTCAAGCCTGTAATCCCAGCATTTTGGGAGGCCAAGGCGGGCGGATGATGAGGTCAGGAGATCGAGACTAGCCTGACCAACATGGTGAAACCCCATCTCTACTAAAAAATACAAAAATTGGCCGGGTATGGTGGCACACGCCTGTAGTCCCAGCTACTCAGGAGGCTGAGACAGGAGAATCACTTGAACCCGGGAGGCAGAGGTTGCAGTGAGCCGAGATTGTGCCACTGCACTCCAGCCTGAGCAACAGAGCGAGACCCCATCTCAAAAAAAAAAAATTATCTTGTTTTTATCAATCTTTCTTAAATGTATAGCTCACATTTATTTCAAATGTTTAATATAATAAATATTTGGGGTCTTTATTTAGAAGTTTGGTGATGTTTTTGTGACGAGAAATATGTTGCAGGAACTTAACTCTTGTTTATATCAATCAGCCCATAGTAAATTGGTTTTATTACCAGTGGTTTTGCTTAAAGTCACAGTTTCCAAGAACCTATCGATGATAAGTGAGGACTTACTGGACTTAATACTACTGAACTGTACACATAAAAATGGTTAAGATGATGAAGTTTACGTCTATTTTACCACAATTTTTAAAAACGAAAAAAAGAAATCCTGGGGAGTGAGCTGTTCAAAGAAGGCTTTGAAAAGCTCTGATACATTCCAGAGATCTAGACAGCTACACAGGGGCAGGGCTTTGTGCATGGCCATGAAAGACCTGAGGCACCTGTGATCTTTTACATCTGACTCTGGGGTTCTGTGCAATCAGAAAGTGAAAGCTAAAGCAGACTTGGACTACCAGAGTGTTGAAGCTGTGTCCCAACAGATATAGAGCCACTCTACAAAGGCTGGGAGACTTATAGCTTCAAGGCATTTAAGGAAATCTCTATCTAATCATTAGCTGAACACTCAGCACACTAAGCAAAGATTGAAAGTCACACATGACAAAGAATACAGACTTCATAGAATTAGTCCAGGAAAGTCACTAAAAAATCCAACAGCAACAACAACAAAACCCTTGAGAAGGAAAGGTCCTATTCTTTAAAATGTTCAGTTTTGGCCGGGTGCAGTGGCTCACGCCTGTAATCCCAGCACTCTGGGAGGCCGAGGAGGGCGGATCATGAGGTCAGGAGATCGAGACCATCCTGGCTAACACGATGAAACCCAGCCTCTACTAAAAATACAAAAAATTAACCAGGCGTGGTGGCGGGTGTGTGTAGTCCCAGCTACTCAGGAGGCTGAGGCAGGAGAATGGCATGAATCCGGAAGGCAGAGCTTGCAATGAGCCGAGATCATGCCACTGCACTCCAAGAGTGAGACTCCATCTCAAAAAAAAAAAAAAAAAGTTCAGTTTTGAGCAAAACTAAGAGATACACAAAGAAACTGAAATAAAAAGCCCATGCAGAGGAAAATAAAGCAGTCAGTAGAAACTGTCCATGAGGGGGCCCAGATGTTGTACTTCCTAGGCAAAGATTTTAAATTAGCTATTATAAATATTTTCAAAGAACTAAAGGAAAACATTTCTAAAGAACTAAGGGAATGTATAAGAATGATACCGGACAGGCGCGGTGGCTCACGCCTGTAATCCCAGCACTTTGGGAGGCCGAGGCGAGTGGATCACGAGATGTCAGGAGTTCATGACCAGCCTGGCCAACGTGGTGAAACCCTGTCTCTACTAAAAACATAAAGACCAAAAATTAGCCAGGTGTGGGGGGTGAGCGCCTGTAGTCTCAGCTACTCTGGAGGCTGAGGCGGGAGAATGGCATGAACCCGGGAGGCGGACCTTGCAGTGAGCTGAGATCACACTACTGTACTTCAGCCTGGGAAACAGAGCGAGACTACATTTCAAAAAAAAAAGAATGATATCTCACCAAATAGAGAATACCAATGAAGAGATAACAATTATAAAAGTAGACCCAAGTAGAAATGCTAGAGTTGAAAATTACAAAACCGAAATACAAAATTCAGTAGAGGCACTCAACAGCAGATTAGAGATGGCAAAAGAAAGAATCAGCAAATTTGATAGGTACATTGAGATTATCCAATCAGAGGAGCAGAAAGAAAAAAGAATAAAGAAAAATGAACAGAGCCTCAGAGGTCTGTGGGATACCATCAAACAAATCTGGAGGTCCCAGAGGAGAGAAAGAGGAAAAAAAGGCAGAAAGGCTATTTGGAAAAATAATAGCCAAAATTTTCCATTAAACTTTTCATTTGATGAAAAATTAATCTATATATTTTTAAAAGTTTAAGTGTATCCTACTTGCAGTTTGTTAAAGAGGTCCATACCTAGACACATCACATGCAAACTGCCAAAAAAAAGAGAGAGAGAATCCTGAAAGCAGCAAGAGAAAAACCATTCCTCTTGTATAAGAGATCATCAGAGTAAGATTAACAGCTGGCTTCTTGTTAAAAAAAAAAAAATCCATGGAGACCAAAATGCTGTGGAATGACATACTTCAAGTTTGGGGAAGGCAGTGGGGATAATTCTATATCCGGCTAAGCTATCCTTCCAAAAATGAAGGAGAAGGAAAATAAAAAGTGAAGGAAACATGAGATATTCCCAAATGAATAATAAACAAATAACACTGAGATAATCTGTTATTAGTAGATCTGCCTTATAAGAAATACTAAAGGGCCTCCTCTTTCAGGCTGAAATAAAAGAACATTACACATAACTTGAATCTACAAGAAGAAATAAAGAGCACTGTTAAAAGTAACTACATAGGTATATAAAAATGATAGTATAAATGTATTTTTGTTTGCTTGTAACTCATTCTTCTGATTTAAAAGGACAACTGCAGAAAACAATAATTATAAAAATGTTTTGACAATGTTATATGAAAATGTAATTTGTATGATGACAATACCACAAATAATAGGGATGGGAATAGAGTTATATCGGAGCAAAATTTTTGTATATAATTGAAATTAAGTTGGTATCAATCTGAGCTAGATTGTTTTAAATTAAGATGTTAACTGAAATTAAATGTTAATTGAAAAGCCATCACTAAGAAAATACAGTAAAAAGAAACAACAAAGAAATAAAACTGTACGTAAAAATATTTAACAGAAAAGAAAGCAATAATGGAGAGCAAAATGATGAGACAGAAAATAAACAGCAAAATGACAGGCACAAATCCTACTATGTCAGTAATTAAATGTAAATGAATTCAACATTCTAATAGAAAAAGGCAGAGATTGGCAAAATGGATTAAAACACAAAACACAAATAGAAACAACAATCATTCTCCAGTTATATGAGGAGACATGCTTTACATTCAGGGAAACAAATAGGTTGAAAGAAAGGGGATGGAAATAAATATACCATGCAAACAGTACCTAAAAGACAGCTGAAGTGGCTATATAAACAGCAGACAAAATAGACTTTAATGCAAGAGAAAAAGATATTTTATAATAAAAGGGTAAATCTATCAGGAAGACATAACAATTATAAACATATATACATGTGACAACGGAGCTCCAAAATAAATGAAGCAAACACTAACTTAAAAGGAGAAATAAATAGTTCAACAATAAATGAACAGTTCAACAATAAATGTTGGAGACTTTAATATCCCAATTTTTATAATGAATAAAACTAGGCAGAAGATCAACAAAAAATAGAAGACTTAAACAACACTATGAACCAACTAGACCTGGAAGACATCTGTATAATACTGCACCCAACAACTGCACAATAAATATTCTTCAAGTACACATGAAACATTCTCTAGGATAGACCATACTTAGGCCCTAAAACAAGTCTCAATAAGCTTAAAAGGACTGAAATCATACAAAGTATGTCTTCCAACCACAAGAAAATGAAATTAGAAATCAATAAAAGAAGAAAATGTGAGAAATTCACAAATAAGTGCTAATTAAACATACCCCTAAATAACCTATGGAATTAAAAAGAAATCACAGAGGAAATTAGAAAATATGTAGAGATTAATGAAAATGAAAATACACCACACCAAAATTTATGGGATGCAGCTAAGGCAGTGTTGAAAAGGAAATGTACAGCTGTAAACACCTATATTTAAAAAGAAAGATTTCAATTCAATAATCGAAACTTCCACCATTAGAAATGAAAAAGGAAATGCAAACTTAATCTAAAGCAAGCAGAAAGTAGAAAATAATAGCGGTTAGGGTGGAAATAAACGGAAGACTCAAAAAACAGAGAAAGTGACAAAATCAAAAGTTGGTTATTTGAAAATACTAACAATATTGACAAATCTTTAGGTAAACTAACCAAGAAAATAATGAGAGAAGATTCAAACTACTAAAATCAGTAATGGTGAAGGGGACATTGCTATGGGCCTTAAGGAATCAAGGATTATAAACATTCTAGTAGCAATGATCACACCTAGCATGCAAGGAACCAAGACTCCTTGGAGAAATGACTGATTGAAGGGCTGGTACAGGAAATATACATGATGTGCCTTGGGTATTTTATAATACCAGAAAGTAAAGAAGTGCCCCAAAACAAAACAAAGCCCATAATCATGTGGGTATGTCAAAGGGAAATAGAAACCAACAGAAAAAGCTCCCAGTGACTGAAGTTGGAACAATTTGAGCAAGTAGTATTAGATTATAATTCAAAGTACAAATAAAATCCATGACTCCACAATGATGTAAATGACTGAGTACATAGATGAGGGAGAGTAGACAGGTCTACCATACAGAAGAATACCAAATAATTTATTACCAAATAGATACACCACCCTCAAGGATGTAGAGCATAACTTCCCACCTCTTATGTGTAAGGCACACGGAATGTGTTCATTCCAAAACCTACAGTATAAAAAGGGGGAAGAAAGAGTAACTCTACAGGGGAGAAACCGGGCAAACACTCTCAGCCAGGTAACCAAGATCAACATCCACAATAATAAGTAATGTTGATAGCATGTATCTTGATATGATGTGATCAAGATACCACTTTACCACTGTCTTCTTCTTCCCCCAAACCCATAATCCCAGTATAATAATGAGAAACATAACAGACAAATCTCAATTGAGGGACATTCTACAAAATGTCTGAAGAGTACTCCTCAAAACTATCAAGGTCACCAAAAACAAGAGAAGTCTGAGAAATTATCACAGCTAAAAGGAGCCTAAGGAGATGTATTAGTCCGTTCTCATGCTGCTATAAGGACATACCTGAGACTGGGTAATTTATAAAAGGAAAGAGGTTTTACTGACTCACAGTTCTGCAGGGCTGGGAGGCCTCAGGAAACTTACAATCATGGTGGAAGGGGAAGCAAACACATCCTTCTTCACATGGTGGCAGCAAGGAGAAGTGCAGAGTGAAGCGGCGGGGAGCCCCTTACAAAACCATCAAACTCATGAGAATTCACTCACTATCACAAGAACAGCATGGAGGTAACTGCTCCTATGATTCAATTACCTCCCACCAGATCCCTCTCATGACACATGGGGATTATAGGAACTACAATTCAAGATGAGATTTGGGTGGGGACACAGCCACACCATATCATTCCACCCTGGCCCCTCCAAAATCTCATGTCCTCACATTTCTAAACACAATCATACCCTTCCAACAGTCCCCCAAAGTCTTAACTCATTCCAGCATTAACTCAAAAGTCCAAGGCCAAAGTCTCATGTGAGACAAGCCAAGTCCTTTCTGCCTATGAGCCTGTAAAATCAAAAGTAAGTTAGTTACATCCTAGATACAATGGAGGTACAGGCATTGGGTAAATACACCCATTCCAAACAGGAGAAATTGGCCAAAACAAAAGGGCTACAGGCCCCATGCAAGTCTGAAATCTGACAGGGCAGTCACTAAACTTAAAGTTCCAAAACGATCTCCTTTGACTCCATGTCTCACATTTAGGTCACACTGATGCAAGAGGTAGGCTCCCATGGCCTTGGGCAGCTCTGCCCCTGTGGCTTTGTCAGGTACGGCTCCCCTCCTGGTTGCTTTCATGGGCTGGTATTGAGTGTCTGTGGCTTTTCCAGGCGCACAGTGCAAGCTGTCGGTGGATCTACCATTCTGGGGTCTGGAGGATAGTGGCCCTCTTATCACAGCTCCACTAGGCAGTGCTCCAGTGGGGACTGTATGTGGGGGCTGTGATCTCACATTTCCCTTCCGCACTGCTGTAGCAGAGGTTCTCTATGAGGTCTCTGCCCCTGCAGCAGACTTCTGCCTGAACATCCAGGCCTTTCCACACATCCTCTGAAATCTAGGCGGAGGTTCCCAAACCTCAATTATTGACTTCTGCACACCCTCAGGCCCAATACCACATGGAAGCTGCCAAGGCTTGGGGACTGCACCATCTGAAGCAACCACCTGAGCTGTATGTTGGCCCCTTTTAGCCGCGGCTGGAGTGGCTGAGACACAGGGCACCAAGTGCCAAGGCTGCAGACAGCAGGGTAGCCCTGGACCTGGCCCAGGAAACCACTTTTCTCTCCTAGGCCTCCAGGCCTGTGATGACAGGGGGCTGCCGTGAAGACCTCTGACATGCACTGGAGACATTTTCCCCATTGTCTTGGTGATTAACATTCGGCTCCTTGTTGCTTATGCAAATTTCTGCAGTAGGCTTGAATTTCTCCCCAGAAAATAGGGTTTGTTTGTTTGTTTGTTTGTTTGAGATGAAGTCTTGCTCTTGTCCCAGACTGGAGTGCAGTGACGTGATCTCAGCTCACTGCAACCTCTGCCTCCCGGGTTCAAGGGATTCTCCTGCCTCAGCCACCTGAATAGCTAGGATTACAGGTGCCTGCCACCATGCCAAGCTAATTTTTGTATTTTTTAGTAGAGATGCAGTTTCACCATGTTGGCTAGGCTGGTCTCGAATTCCTGACCTCAGGTGATCCACCTGCCTCAGCCTCCCAAAGTGCTGGGATTACAGGCGTGAGCCACTGCGCCCAGCCGGGGTTTCTTTTTATCACATCATCAGGCTGCAAATTTTCCAAACTTTTATGCTCTGGTTCCTCTTGAATGCTTTGCTAGTTAGGAATTTCCACCAGATACCACCCTAAATCATCTCTCAAGTTCAAAGTTCCACAGATTTCTAGGGCAGGGACAAAATGCCGCCAGTCTCTTTGCATAGCAAGAGTGACCTTTACTCCAGTTCCCAACAAGTTCCTAATCTCCATCTGAGACCAGCCTGACTTTATTGTCCATATCACTATCAGCATTTTGGTTAAAGCCATTCAACAAGTCTCTAGGAAGTTCCAAATTTTCCCACATCTTCCTGTCTTCTGAGCTCAAGTCTCTAGAAAGTTCCAAACTTTCCCACATTTCCCTATCTTCTTCTGAGCCCTCCAAACTGTTCCAACCTCTGCCTGTTACCCAGTTCCAAAGTCACTTCCACATTTTGGGGTATCCTTATAGTAGCACCTCACTCTCTGTGGTACCAATTTACTGTATTAGTCTGTTCTCACACTGCTATAAGGACATGCCCAAGACTGAGTAATTTATAAAGGAAAAAGGTTTGATTGACTCACAGTTCTGCAAGGCTGGGGAGGCCTTAGGAAACTTACAATTCATGGTGGAAGGGGAAGCAAACATGTCCTTCCTCACATGGCAGCATCAAGGAGAAGAGCATAGCAAAGTTGGGGGAAAGCCCCCTTATAAAACCATCAGCTCGTGTGAGAACTCACTATCACAAAAACAGCATAGAGGTAACTGCCCCCATGATTCAATTACCTCCCACTGGGTCTCTCCCACAACACATGGGGATTATGGGGACTACAACTCAAGATGAAACTTGGGTGGGGACACAGCCAAACCATATCAGGAGACCTCAAAATTAAATGCAATGTGTTATCCTGGATGGGATCTTGGATCATTAAGTTAAAAGGGACATTAGGTAAAACTAAGGAAATCTGAATAAAGTATGAACTTCAGTTAATAGCAATATATCAGTATTGTGTATTAATTTTAACAAATATACTATATTAATGTTAGTTGTTAATAATAAAGGAAACTGGGTATGGTGTATATGGGAACTCTCTGCAATCTTTGTTTTTTTTTTATTTTTTATTTTTGAGACAAAATCTCTCTGTGTCACCCAGGCTGGAGTGCAGTGGCATAATCTTGGTTCACTGCAACCTCCACCTCCCAGGTTGCAGT
Source organism: Homo sapiens (assembly GCF_000001405.40). Taxonomy (NCBI): domain Eukaryota; kingdom Metazoa; phylum Chordata; class Mammalia; order Primates; family Hominidae; genus Homo; species Homo sapiens. Next base: position 80,220,714 of record NC_000018.10, read on the forward strand.
GATTCTCATGCCTCAGCCTCCCAAGTAGCTGGCATTACAGGTGCACACAACCATGCCTGGCTAATTTTTGTATTTTTAGTAGAGATGGAGTTTCACCATGTTGTCCAGGCTCCAGGCTGGTCTTGAACTCCTGACCTTCAGTGATCTGCCTGTCTCAGCCTCCTAAAAGTTTTCTAAAATAAAATTTTATTGTAAAAAGGGATCATAGAGGAATACTATGAGTAACTGTATGCCAACAAATTGGATAACCTAGATGAAATGGACTGATTCCTAGAAAAAGACACAAACTACCAAAACTGACTCAAAAAGCAGAAAATCTGAATAAATTTATAACAAGATATTGAATTATCTCTTGTTTAATTGAATTATCTGGGTCTGGACTTTTCTTAGTCCAGACCCAGATGGTTTCACTGGCCACTTATACAAAGTGTTCACAAAATCAAAATCAAACCTTCACAAATTCTTCCAAAAAATAAGAGGGATGCCAATTTATGCTATGAGGTCAGCTTTCACCTGATATCAAAACCAGAAAAAGACATTACAGGAAAAGAAAACTACAGTCCAATATCTGTTATGAATAGAGACACAAAAATCCTCAAGAGAATACTAGCACACCATATCTAGCAACATATAAAAAGGACCACACACCATGACCTGTGAGATTTATCACATGAATGCAAGGTTGGTTTAGCATTCCAAAATCAGTCAATGTAATAAACAATATTAAAGGGACAAAAGCCATATGATCATGTCAATAGATACAAAAAGAGCATTTGACAAAATCTAACACTCTTTTATGATTAAAAACACTCAACAAACTAGGAATAGAAAGAGACTTCTTCATCCTACATAGAGAATATCTATGAAAACTCACCGCTAACATCATACTTAATGGTTAAAAGACAATGATTTTCCCCGAGATCAACAACAAAACAAGAATGTCTACTTTCACATCATCTATTTAACACTGTACTGTAGTTTCGACCCAGGAAAGGCAAGAAAATAAAAGACATCAGATTGGAATGGAAGAAGTTAAAATATCTCTATTCACAGATGATATGCATTTGTATATAGAAAATCCTAAGGAATCCATAAACAAAACCTTATTAGAGTTAATAAATGAATTCAGCATGATTTTAGTATACAATATCCACATACAAAAATAAACTGTATTTCTAAGCAGTAGCAATGAACAATCTAAAAATTAAGAAAATTCCATTAACAATAGCATTACAAAGGATAAAACAGGAATAAACAAAATAAGTGAAAGATTTATACATTGAAAACTACAGAATATTGTTGAAAAAATAAAGAAGATCTAAATTAATGGAAAGACATTTCATGCTCATGGATTAGAAAACTTAATTTTTTTCTTTTTTCTTTTTTTTTTAAATGAAGTCTTGCTCTGTCACCCAGGCTGGAGTGCAGTGGTGCAATCACAGCTCACTGCAGCCTCAACCTCCTGGGCTCAAGTGATCTTCCTGCATCAGCCTGCCAAGTAGCTGGAACTACAGGCATGCGCCGCCACACCTGGCTAATTTTTTTTTTTAATTTTGTAGAGATGGAGTCATTCCTATGTTACCCAGGCTGGTCTCGAACTCCTAGGCTCAAGTGATCCTTCTGCCTTGGCCTCCCAAAGTGTTGGGACTATAAGCATGAGCCATGGCACCCAGCCGGAAGACTTAATATTGTTAAGACAGCAATACTCCCCAAATTGATCTACAGATTCAATACAACCCCATCAGAATCTTAGCTGTATCTTCTGTAGTAGTCAGCAAGCTGATCCTAAATTCAAAGGTCTCACTATATCCAGAAGAATCTTGAAAACGAAAAACATAGTTGAAGAACTCACACTTCCCAATTTCAAAACTTACACATAGTACTAACATAGAGACGTATAAACGACCAGGGGAACCGAATTGAGAGTACAGAAAAAAACCTTACATTTGTCATCAATTTATTTATTTATTCATTTTTTAAGACAGGGTCTTGCTCTGTCACCTAGGCTAGAGTGCAGTGGCATGATCTTGGCTCACTAAAACGTCCATCTCCTGGGCTCAAGCAATCCTCTCACCTTAGCCTCCCAAGTAGCTGGGACTACAGGTGCACGCCACCACATCTGGCTAATTTTTGTATTTTTTTTGTAGAGACAGTGTTTCACCATATTGCCCAGGCTGGTCTTGAGCTCCTGGACTCAAGCAATCCACCTGCCTCAGCCTCCCAAAGTGCTGGGATTACAGGCATGGGCTACTGCAGCTGGTAATCAATTTATTTTTGACAAGAATGTTAAGACAATTCAATGAGGAAAAAACAGTCTTTTCAACAAATGGTGCTGGGACAACTGCATATCCACATGCAAAACAATAAAGCTGGACCTCTACCTCATGCCATATATAAAAAGTAACTCAAATTGGATTACAGACTAAATGTGAGCTAAAATTATAAAACTATTAGACAAATACATAGAATTAAATTATCATTACTGGAGTTAGGCAATAATTTCTTAAATATGATGCCAAAAGCAGAAACCACAAAAGAAAAAAAAGATAAACTGGACTTCATTAAACTTAAAAACCTTTGTGCTTCAAGGAACATCATGAAGAAAGTGAAAAGGTAATCTATAGAATGACAGAAAATATTTGCAAATCAGATCTCTGATAAGGGACTTGTGCCTCTGATAAGGCATATTAAAAGAAAACTCTTAAAACTCTATAATAAAAGACAACCCCATTAAAAATGGTCAAATAACTTTAATAGACATTCCCCAAAAAAGATACACAGATGACCAAAAAATCAAAAGCATAGGAGTCACTACCTCGGACTCACCAGGTTGGCTGTAATAAAAAAGATAACATGCTGATAAGAACGTGTGGGAATCTTAACCCTCACACATTTTTGTTAGGAATGTAAAACGGTGCAAATGATTTTGTAAACAGTCTGGGAGTTCTTCAAAATGTTGAGTTACCATGTGACCCAGAAATTGAAGGCTAACTAGAAGCCATGTTCAGAAACATGACAACCCCGAGGACGGCACCAGCAGGCACTCAGTGGAGACTCTGCTTTTGCTCCAGGCAAACAGGATGTTCCAAGGGACCAAGGGAGGCCAGCATCTGCTGTAAGCACACAACCCATTTAGAAGATGAAGAGTTAAGAACTCAGGGAAGGCTCATGCCTCATCACTGCTGGGCCTTACAGAGGAGGCACAGGATATGAGGTTTGGTCCAACCCAGCTGGCAGGGCTGGCTTTTCCAGTTAAAATGGACCCAACAGTGTTGGCTGGGTAAGGAGGACAGAGGGCAGGCACTCCGAACAGGGTAGAACTTGCCTTCCCTCACATGCCTGTCTCCACCCTGACCCCAAACTACAAAAGTCCTCAGTCCTCCTTCTCTAATTCAGAAACCAAAACTGTATATGAATGATATTTCTGGAGTCACAGGGCTCTGGCAATATAAACCTATTTTCATTATTCAACTTCTATACTGAAGGATAACTCATCACCATTAACACGATTATGTCTTACCTTCCAGGTTAAAAGATATTACAAACATAAAATTTTCTTGATACCTAAGAGGTCTATCTAAATTTACCATACGTTTAAACAAATCAGAGCATGAATGACTCTAGAAGGTATGAAAGTCTTTTTCTGTCTAAAACAAAAATCCAAAATCCTTTTGGCCTGCCTGACTGCCTGGGCCCTGATTCAGTATGTTCTGGACAAACCTCCTCATCATGTGAGGTTCTCTCACTGTCGGCACAAACAGGGCTCATGTTTGGTGTGTGCTTCAAAGCTGGATATCTGTCTTCATGCCCTGAATTAAATCATAAGCTTCCCAATTGAAAGTGACCGTCCAAGGCCGGGTGCGGTGGCTCACGCCTGTAATCCCAGCACTTTGAGAGGCCGAGGCGGGCGGATCACGAGGTCAGCAGTTCAAGACCAACCTGGCTAACACGGTGAAACCCCATCTCTACTAAAAATACAAAAAATTAGCCGGGCGTGATGGCGGGCGCCTGTAGTCCCAGCTACTTGGGAGGCTGAGGCAGGAGAATGGCGTGAACCTGGGAGGCGGAGGTTGCAGTGAGCCGAGATCGCGCCACTGCTCTCCAGCCTGGTCGACAGAGTGAGACTCCGTTTCAAAAAAAAAAGAAAGTGACAGTCCAAGCCCCTGCACTGAAGGCTCAGAGAGGGTGAAAGACTTGCCCAAAAGCTACAGAGAAACTTGATTCCAGGCTGGAACTAAGACCCTCATTTCCTGACTCTGGCCCAGTGCTCCAACTGTGTAGGCATTCTTCTTACCACTGAAAACATAGTCCCCTGCTGGTTTCATCTTAAACTCAGTCAGCTACTAGTGACTAAAAAACTTTAGGATGTCACGCTTTTGCTGATCAAAGTGCAGCTCTGGCTCAGAACCATCCCCAAGGAACTGCGGCACCGTTTCTCAGTCTACGCACGAAGCAGCCATCACCGCATGTTGGACTCATGTCTGCTTTTCCTTTACAAAGGGTCCAAAATAATGAAGAGGAGAATTTTAACAGTATTTTCTTGTCACCTAGGTCCTTTCACACTAGGGAGGACCCTTAGGGCCTGGACCCACGTGCTGTTCTTCAACAAACCAAAGGGAGGGAAGCTCCTGGCCATTTCCATCACTCATGCAAAGGCCCATTGCCATGTTAAAGTTCTCATAGCTGCTTGGGGCATGAGATGCACATACATGATTTTTAATCTTTAAGCCACTTGGGAGATGTAGCATCCCCTTTATAGAGGCAGACAACTGAATGTCCCCTTCACAGTTATCCTGCTCACTCTCTGCCACAGTGCTGGCTCGATTCCCTCCCAGCTCACCTCCCCCTTCAGGCTGGTTTTCACAAAAAAGCAAAATTAAACTTGAAGGGCAAATGTTTCTGACACTGCATTTCTATTGTCCTTTGTCATTTCCTCAAAATACTCTTGCTGTTTTTTAAAAGCATTCTTTTTCTCTTTTGCACCCAAATCAAGACAGTGTTGCCTGAAGTAGTTGGAGAAGCGTGGGAAAGTAGCCATCCTGGGGAAACCAGCAAGTTTCAATGTAGATGCCCCCTCCCACATGTACAACACATACAAAGAGGAAAGTCCAGGTCTAGTGTGACACCCAAGGTGCTGCCAGAGGACAAGGAGATCAGAGCACACCTAGTCATCTCTGGGCCGGCTCACGAGGGCCCCACACACGGATGTCTAACTCTGCACATCACCCCACCACAAAGAAAACCACTGTAATGTGTAGGAAGACATTCTTCCAGGCTTCTTTAACATGTATGGTTTTTAAAAATTAGGATCATACACTGTTATATTTTTCTTTATGGTTTGAATAGGGCTATATAACCACATAGCTCAATATTCAAAAGGTATTTAGTGAAATCTCCAGCTACCCAGCCCCCTCCCCACAGGTAACCAATGACTTCAGTTTTTTTTTTTTTTTTTTTTTTTTTTTTTTTTTTTTAGACGGAGTTTCTCTCTTTGTTGCGCAGGCTGGAGTGCAATAGTGTGATCTTGGCTCACCGCAACCTCCGCCTCCTGGGTTCAGGCGATTCTCCTGCCTCAGCCTCCTGAGTAGCTGGGATTACAGGCATGTACCACCACGCCCAGCTAATTTTGCATTTTTAGTAGAGACGGGGGTTCCTCCATGTTGGTCAGGCTGGTCTCGAACTCCCGACCTCAGGTGATCCGCCTGCCTTGGCCTCCCAAAGGGCTGGGATTACAGGCTTGAGACTTAGCTTTTAATGTGCCCTTCTAGAGATATCTTATGCATACGAAAGCAAACAAATGTGAATTGTCTCTATCTTCCCTCTTTTCTAAACAATGGTAGCACACTACCAACACCGGTCTACTTCATGCTTTTTTCACTTAATTGTATATTTTGAAAACAGTCTTTTGCTGGATGTTCCTAGTTCTACTGGGGCAGTACCCCTGATTCACAGATGACCCTGAACCGGAGAAAGATTACATCTGTTAATTATAATGTGCCCCCAGAGATGTGACAGACTGTTGTCACACTGGCCAGCAAAGAACCAGGCTGAAGACCCAGGCATTAATTTATCAGTCAAAATTTGCTGAGGAGCAGGTCACCTCCCAGACCCCAAGCAGCCACAAATTTAAAATTTTTAATTGCCATATTACGAGTGGCAGGAAACTGCTGCGGCTTACCACTGACTACAATCACATAGCAGGCACTTGAATCTTCACTGAATTAATGAATTAAACCTGTTGACCAGAGTTTTTGTTTATTTGCTTTTTGGAGACAGGGTCTTATTCTGTTGCCCAGGCTGCAGTGCAGTGTGGCTCACTGCAGTCTCAACCTCCCAGGCTCTAGCAATCCTCCCACCGCAGCCTCTCCAGTAGCTAGAACTATAAGCTCACAACCACCACACCCAGCTAATTAAAAAATATATATGTATTTGTAGAGACAGTCTCACCATGTAGCTAGGGCTAGTCTTGAATTCCTGGGGTCCAGTGATCCTCCTGCCTCAGCCTCCCAAATTGCTGGGATGACAGGCATGGCCTGGCTTGACCAGTTTTAAAATAAAACTCTAGAATTTTATTAAACTGACATTGGCTGACAATGTCACAAAACAGAAAGACAGGACAAGGTTTGAGCACAAAGTCATGAAATGTGTTCCATGTCCCTTATAGAGCAATGAGTCCCACCAGTCCGGCCCTGTGGACATTGCATTTGCCATAATCTTCCCCCATCTGGAGCCAAATGTCAGCATGCAGGTGAAGATGTTTTCAAGCAACAAAAACAGGGAGGCAATGTTTCAAATACTTGCACACGGGTGACAAGAGGCAAGGCTGTGTTTTCTTGCAAAAGGCTTTGCTTCCAAATGACTCAAGAAGGAAGCACTGAATTGCTCTGACCAGCTCCCTTCTTCTGGTCAAACTTGAGTGGCAGCCACTGGGTCACACACACCAGGTAGTGTTCCACACTGGCGACTGCAAGGCAGGCACTGCGTCTGTTGCAGGCCAGTGGATTCTCCTGAGAGTCTGAGGACTTCCCACTCACTCCCCACCCCACATCCTTCCCTTCAGCAGAACAGACCCCAGAAAGAGAAGAGCATCTGAGAAACCCCATTCACGAGAGGGCAACCCCGGGAACCACCAGACCACCAGGGCTTCAGACCATTCACGAGACGTCAACCCCGGGAACCACCAGACCACCAGGGCTTCAGAAAGGCCAGGAGGTTCACAGAAGTGTTCTCTTGCGTGGCCGTGTCTCAATTTGAACTCACTTCTTTGAGCCAGGTAGAAACTTACTCATTGAACCCGTATTTTCCTGTGCTGGGCTGAACGGTGAAAGAAAAATATGGTCTCCATTTTATCCCCAAGAGAGCTCAGTATACAGTAGATACTAAAAACATTTACTAAACGACAGGTGACCAGCGTGAGGCAGGCCCCACCTTTGTTCATCTGAGGAGTGGTTTCAAGGCCTCTGAGCACAGCTGGAAAAGGGCCCGACCTGGTGCTCAGGAAGTCACATCCCACGGGGGAGACGGCAGCGAGCAGAGAGACCCCAAGTGAAAACTGCGGAAGCCGCCATGGGGAGGTGAGGGGAGGTGAGCGGAGGGGAGGCCAGGGGAGGGGAGTTCCCGGACACACGGTCCTGGAGAACACAGGCCACATGCACAAGGCCACCCAGGTCCCTCTACATTGACCCCCAGCCTCCTCAATCAGCTCTGCTGGGTGAGTCGCAGGCACCAAGTGCCCCTACAGCTCACATTGTCTGCAAGGGGTCCCCACCCCCACAAGGCCCGCCCACCCCAGGCTTGCCCCAAGGTGCGCAGACTGTCTCTCGTCTAAGGTCCCAGACACCACAGGGTCTTGGCCCCCAGGCCCACAGACTGCATCTCCTAAGATGCAGCCCTGAAGCCCCACCCCCATCCACAGACTGCGCCTCCCACCTAAGGCCCCGCCCACTGAGGCCCCATCCCCTGCCCACAGACTGCGCCTCCCACCTAAGGCCCTTCTCCACCAAAGACCTGCCTCACACCCCCAGGGGCCTGCCTCCCATCTAAGGCCCCCACCCCAGGCCTACAGGTGAGAACAGTGAACAACTGCAGGTGATCAGAAACAGAGACAGATTCCCACAGGAAATGTTCATCAAAATACTTATAAGGGTGACAAATGGAAACAGTAAGTGCATCAAACACATGAAAGCACATTTCCAGGTGGAGATATGATGAAGCTAACAGAAGTGGGACTTATTTTATTTTAGAAGACGGAGTCTCACTCTGTCGCCCAGGCTGGAGTGCAGTGGCATGATCTTGGCTCACCATAACCTCCACCTCCTGGGTTCAAGCGATTCTCCTGCCTCAGCCTCCCGAGTAGCTGGGACTACAGGTGCATGCCACCACACCCGGCTAATTTTTTGTATTTTTAGTAGAGATGGGGTTTCACCATGTTGGCCAGGCTGGTCTTGCACTCCTGACCTTGTGATCCACCCACCTCGGTCTCCCAAAGTGCTGGGATTACAGGTGTGAGCCACCACAATTGGCCAGAAGTGGTATTTGAAAAGGATTTAAGGGCTCAAGGAAGCCTTTACAATATAGTAAATTTAAAAACACACACACAAAAACACAACACCGAATCTGCAGCGAGGTCCCAGTTAGGTCAGAAATTACCTTGGCACAAAACAGAGCAGATGGGCAAGGCCCCTGGGCTGGGAATCCTGTCTGAGCCAGGAGCCCCCTCAGGCCAAGGAAGTCAGGACCTCTGGGGCTGGGCCCAGGCAAGGTCATTTCAGAAAGTTCTAGCTCCTGCTCCTTGAGGATGTTCCTTGAACCAGAAGCATTCCCTGGAGCCAGCTGGAAATGCTCTACACCAGACCCGGAGTCCAAATCTGCACTCTCATGGGAGTCAGGGCTCATGTGCACATTAAAGGTTGCACAACTGACCTGTCTTCGTGTAGCTGATGGTTTGCTCGAGCCAGAAGTTAGACAGTAATCCACACATGCAAATATGTAATTGCAAACTCTGAGAGATGCAAATGAAGACTGTAAAACACAGGCCCTAATTTAAACTCAGGGAATAAGGAGTGGAAATAACTGGGTGAAGCGTGAGGACAGAGAGCATTTCATCCCATGGCACAACCAAAGGAGCCTGGACAGCCCCAGGAATGAGGAGGGCAGTGTGGGCGGCCAGGCAAACAGGACTGTGTGTGTCTGAGATGCTCCAGGGACGTGTTGACACAGGGAGTTGGCTCCAGGACGTGCTGGGGGCCTTCAGGTGTCTCCCACATTCCCCCACGCATCCAGGTGGGTCATAGGGTCACAGTGTCACCATTTCAGAGGAAGAAGACCCTCAAGTCTCACTGTCAGGGTGGGGTCACATGCCCAGCTCTAAACCATTCACTGGCAGGGGCTGAGACTCGCCTTAGACTGTCAGAGCCCCTGGCCTACAGCAGGGTCTGTTGGGAGGGGATGGCGATGCTGGCCTACCATCCAAGCCCAGACGCATTCCAGCTGTAAAGGATCTCACGCGTGTGCATGGCAAACATGAGCTGCCTCAGACCTTCAAGCCGGGGAGCACCTGTGCACATCTGTGCCCTGTAGGAAACTAAGAAACACAGAAAGAACTCCATGTAGGAAAAGAGAGTGCAACAGGTCTTAAAGAAATACAGGCGGTCATCCTAATGAGGAACCTGTTGGAGCGTGGGACTCGGCAGTAGTTTGCTATAGAATGACTTCTTGGGCTGACACGTTGGGACGGTTTAAAATCGGGCCACACACCTATGAGTCAGATGAGGTGGAGCCTGGCGCCTGCCTAGGTGCTGTCCACCCAAGATCCAGAGTGATGATGGTGCAGCCGTTGGCACTCGCAGAACTGCCCAGACGAGCATCATGCCAGACTGTGCAGGGTGACGGCTAAACCCACTGTACCCTGTGGCCCCTCTGAGCACAGACAGTCCCTGCAGAGGGCCTGCCATTCTGGTTCATGCATGTGTTCTGGACCAATGCACCCAGCACTGCTAAATGTAGGAGGTGGGAGGGGTAGCAGTGAGGGAGGGGTAGCAGTGGAGGACACAGAGGTCTATGAACATGGTCTCCGTCCAGAAGGGATTTACCATACAGGAGAGAAGTCAGAGTCTCTGCCAAGCTTTGTGTGCATGCTCTCTGTAATCCTGATGGCAACCCTAGGGAGGTGTCACTGTTCCCACTTTACAAACCAGGAGACTGAAACCTAGAGGGGTTCAATAACCTGCCCATAGTCACAAGGCTAGTAAATGAAGGACCTGAGGCTGAATTCAAAAAGGGAATTTGGAAAAGACCTAAAGAGCTACAGTGATGGGAGAGAGAATTCCAAATGGAAGGTCAGGGACAAGGGGTGCCCTTTGTGAGAAGGAACACCCCAGGTGGGAGGGGATGCCCCTCATGGAGGGAATGGACAAGGATGGCCCATCAGCAAGGGAGTGGGATGAACGGGCCAGGGTTACTCCAGAAGCAACTAAGGGCTCAGGAGACTCTAGTGCTGAGAGGTAGGGCCAGGGGAAAGGTGCTGGGGGTTGGCCTGGGCCCAAGTGTGTGAGGCGTGAGCACAGGCTGCGCATCTGTCCCTGCCTTCATAAGACTTTCCTGAAAGGTAAATTCACTTAGGCAGAAGCCTCGAACTCCAGCCCGTGGAAGAAAGTGGGGTCCCATTCCGATGTGAGCTCATGATACATGGAGGAATTAGGCAGTTCTGCATCCGAGCTGTGCTGCCCACTGGGAGCGGCTGAGGGGATGCAGGCTGGGTCACTGGAGTTGTACAAATACAGACAGACAACATAGCAAAGCTGCAAAGAGCCAGGCTCTGAGTGGACACACCTGGGTTCCAATCCTCACCTGTACTGGCTGTGTAACTCTGGATAATTTATTCAACTTCTCTGATCCTGTTCCTCCTTCATAAAATAGATAAAAACATTCATCCCAGGGTTGTGGTGAGACTCTAATATGAACACATGTCCTGTGTTCAATATAGGCCCTGGTGAGCGAGTGAGACTCCAGCCAATGGGAGCAATTCACTCGCTCAACTTGCTCACCAAGCTGTTTGTTCTCCCCCAGGCCTAGAGACGGGTTCGGCATCTCACAGGCATCCACAGGGATGGCTGCCGAGCCCTTCTCAAAAACCCAAAGTTGCAAGCACAGTAAAGGCAGACCTCTTGCATGTATGGAGTTATAATAGCACAGGATAGTAAGCCTGTTTTGGGCTCACACTGTGGGCCTGAGCTGCTGGCAGATTCAGCCTTCCGGCAGCTGAACCACAAGCCCTAATCTCTGAGCAGAAGCCACTGCGTTCCTACACTTGTCCCTTCACTGCTGGCAGGTAGCTGTTTTTCAGGGCATTTTTAAAAAATGAAATAACCTTTTAGTAATTCCATGAGTGAAAAGCTGTGCTCATGAGTGTGACCAGAGCCAGCAGCTCTGGGTGGAGATAAAGAGTGGTAGGTTCTGCCCCCGCCCCCCAAGCCACACAATTCAACAGGCCTCTGCTAGGTGGTGTCCACACCAGGGACTGGGTGGGTGGGATGGGTCACCAGGAGTACTCTGACCTCCACTGCAGAAAGCCTACTGCGGGGCTGCTGAAGCAAGTGGATGAGGTGGCCAGGCCTGCAGTCCTGGGCCTGTGCTCCTTGCATGTATTAGTCCGTTTTCACGCTGCTGATAAAGACATACCCGAGACTGGGAAGTAAAAGAGGTTTAATTGGACTTACAGTTCCACATGGCTGGGGAGGCCTCAGAATCATGGTGGGAGGTGAAAGGCACTTCTTACATGGTGGCAGCAAGAAAAAAATGAGGAAGATATGAAAGTGGAAACCCCTGATAAAACCATCAGATCTCATGAGACTTATTCACTACCACGAGAACAATGTGGGGGAAACTGCCCCCATGATTCAAATTATCTCCCACCAGGTCCCTCCCACAACACGTGGGAGTTATGAGAGTACAATTCAAGATGAGATTTGGGTGAGGACACAGCCAAGCCATATCACTACACCTGCCCCATCTCCACCAGACAGACTGGACACAAGGCCAAACACGCCCACACCAGCATTCATGGGCAGGATCAGAGGCTCAGGCAGCTGAGGAGAGGGTCTAAGATGCATGAGGGCATTTAGGAAGCAGCCCATCCCTGAGTGGTGTCCTTCCTACAACCCACGGGGCCACATCCCTGGGGAACTGCTACCAGCTCATGGTGCAGGACAGGTGAGTGTGGGCTCACAGGTAAACCCTCCTGAGGGACAGACCTCCTTGCACACAGGGACCTGGGGCTGCTCATCTCCTGAGGAGTGGAGTGGGGCCTCCTCAACAGTGAGACCCTCAAGGGACAGAGCTCCACACACGCAGGGACCCCAGCTGCTCATCTCCTGAGGAGTGGAGTGGGGCTTCGTCAACATACCATTTATTTCAATTGCATCTCTCTGATGTCTGCTGCTCCTGTCCATGCAGACACACAGTGTCACCTTCCAGGCAAACTATCCTACCTCTGACAAAGGAGAACATTCATGCAAAGTTTTTAAACAAAACAAAGCCACCTGAGGAGGTACAGGATTTAACATTCAGCATCAATCACTCATGTGCCACCGCATAGCCGGTGACTGGAACCGGCGGGTCTCACACAGGACCCAGGAGGCCTGTCCCCACAGCTGGGCCTGCACTCCCTCTCATCCCTGCACCAGTACAGGTGCTGATGGGCCCAAGGTGACTGCAGGCCATGGGGGTCAGTGCCACTTCCTCTCCCTCATGAAGGACCACTTTGAAGCCAGAGAAGTTTATTTTGTCCCAAGGAAACACCCCCTTATTATTGCAGACACCAGCAAGGCATGAGGTCAGGACTGTGGGTGGAAAGCCAGTCAGGGAGGCCCCTGAGCCACGGGATACAGGTGCTAACATTGCTTTTGTTTCCAAATCCTCTAGAACAGCTGATCACCTAAAAATGACAGCTGTAACAGCCCCAAACTCCTTTCACAGCCTTAACCAGGAACCTCAGGGGCCTCACACCCGCACCCAGGTCCCCAGAAAGGGGCCTCTTGAGGGCTTATGCACAGGCGTACTGTCCATCCTGTCTCAGAAGCAAAGGCAAAAAGAGAGATCTCACACCTTAGAACTGACTGATTTATAACCCAGCTTTTGACAAGCGTACTGATGTGATAAGACAGAAAATAAATGCACCCATTCAGCAGGCAGGCTTTTAGGAGGAGCGGAGAGATTCACACAGTGCTCTGACGGCCCTCGAGACACAAAGGCTTCACGAACACCCTCCGAGTGTAGAAGGGATGAGCTGCCAACCAGGCAACCCAGGCACACCTCCCAGGCTGAAGGTGGAGTGGAAGCTCTTGGCCCTGCGGGTGTCCACAGCTCACCATGAGTGAAGCTGCTGTGAGGTCTTCATTCCACATGTCAAGTTCAGGCACGTTTTCCAAGAAAGATTGTCCAACTTTCATTGTACACAAAGGGCCCCAGCACAGCGATGTCCTGGACCTCTGGCACAGTGTCAGGCCTGTTCTCATCTCAGGTCCCAGCTTCTCCCACAACATCCAGCCCACCAGAGGGACCCCAGAGATTGATCAGCTGGTGTGAACTCAAGGAAAGCCAGGAAATGCATAAGAACAGCCAATCAAACCACAGAATTCGAAGAAGGGTTGTGAAAGCCCTTCACACATCAGCAGTAGGGACCTTAAATTCTGTAAGATAAAGGATCTTTTCTGATTTTGATTAATCCACAAATAGCTAATAAGTTGTGGTTCAAGGCCTCCAGGACCTACAACTGCCTCACCCCAAATCCAGACAGGGGTCACAGTCTCTGTGTACACCAGAGCCAGGAACAATCCCAATGCTGAGTCATAGGTAAGATCAATGACCGAGATCACCCCCATAGGGCAGACTTGCATCACTGAAAGCCAGTATTAGTGGGGCATGGTGGTGTGCACCTGTAGTCCCAGCTACTCGGGAGGGAGGCTGAGACAGGAGGATCACTCAAGCCCAGGTGAGTGACTGGTGAGACTCACCAGTCACCAAGTCAAGGTGACTGTAATGACAAAGAAGGCCATTACATAATGGTAAAGGGATCAATTCAACAAGAAGAGCTAACTATCCTAAATATATATGCACCCAATACAGGAGCACCCAGATTCATAAAGCAAGTCCTTAGAGACCTATAAAGAGACTTAGACTCCCACACAATAATAATGGGAGACTTTAACACCCCACTGTCAACATTAGACAGATCAACGAGACAGAAAATTAACAAGGATATCCAGGAATTGAACTCAGCTCTGCACCAAGCAGACCTAATAGAAATCTACAGAACTCTCCACCCCAAATCAACAGAATATACATTCTTCTCACCACCACACCACACCTATTCCAAAATTGACCACATAGTTGGAAGTAAAGCACTCCTCAGCAAATGTAAAAGAATAGAAATTATAACAAACTGTCTCTCAGACCACAGTGCAATCAAACTAGAACTCAGGATTAAGAAACTCACTCAAAACCACTCAACTACATGGAAACTGAACAACCTGCTCCTGAATGACTACTGGGTACATAACAAATTGAAGGCAGAAATAAAGATGTTCTTTGAAACCAACGAGAACAAAGACACAACATACCAGAATCTCTGGGACACATTCAAAGCAGTGTGTAGAGGGAAATTTATAGCACTAAATGCCCACAGGAGAAAGCAGGAAAGATCTAAAATTGATACCCTAACATCACAATTAAAAGAACTAGAGAAGCAAGAGCAAACACATTCAAAAGCTAGCAGAAGGCAAGAAAGAACTAAGATCAGAGCAGAACTGAAGGAGATAGAGACACAAAAAACCCTTCAAAAAAATCAATGAATCCAGGAGCTGGTTTTTTGAAAAGATCAACAAAATTGATAGACCGCTAGCAAGACTAATAAAGAAGAGAGAAGAATCAAATAGAAGCAATAAAAAATGATAAAGGGAATATCGCCACCGATCCCACAGAAATACAAACTACCATCAGAGAATACTATAAACACCTCTACACAAACTAGAAAATCTAGAAGAAATGGATAAATTCCTCGACACATACACCCTCCCAAGACTAAACCAGGAAGAAGTTGAATCTCTGAATAGACCAATAACAGGCTGTGAAATTGAGGCAATAATTAATAGCTTAGCAACCAAAAAAAGTCCAGGACCAGATGGATTCACAGCCGAATTCTACCAGAGGTACAAGGAGGAGCTGGTACCATTCCTTCTGAAACTATTCCAATCAATAGAAAAAGAGGGAATCCTCCCTAACTCAT
Organism: Homo sapiens; assembly: GCF_000001405.40. Classification (NCBI taxonomy): domain Eukaryota; kingdom Metazoa; phylum Chordata; class Mammalia; order Primates; family Hominidae; genus Homo; species Homo sapiens. The sequence goes on from NC_000018.10 coordinate 80,235,997, forward strand.
TTTATGAGGCCAGCATCATCCTGATACCAAAGCCTGGCAGAGACATAACAAAAAAAGAGAATTTTAGACCAATATCGCTGATGAGCATCGATGCAAAAACCCTCAATAAAATACTGGCAAACCAAATCCAGCAGCACATCAAAAAGCTTATCCACCACGATCAATTGGGCTTCATCCCTGGGATGCAAGGCTGGTTCAACAAGCACAAATCAATAAACGTAATCCAGCATATAAACAGAACCAACGACAAAAACCACATGATTATCTCAACAGATGCAGAAAAGGCCTTTGACAAAATTCAACAATGCTTCATGCTAAAAACTCTCAATAAATTAGGTATTGATGGGACGTATCTCAAAATAATAAGAGCTATCTATGACAAACCCACAGCCAATATCATCTTGAATGGGCAAAACCTGGAAGCATTCCCTTTGAAAACTGGCACAAGACAGGGATGCCCTCCCTCACCACTCCTATTCAACATAGTGTTGGAAGTTCTGGCCAGGACAATCAGGCAGGAGAAAGAAATAAAGGGTATTCAGTTAGGAAAAGAGGAAGTCAAATTGTCCCCGTTTGCAGATGACATGATTGTATATCTAGAAAACCCCATCGTCTCAGCCCAAAATCTCCTTAAGCTGATAAGCAACTTCAGCAAAGTCTCAGGGTACAAAATCGATGTGCAGAAATCACAAGCATTCTTATACACCAATAACAAACAGAGAACCAAATCATAAGTGAACTCCCATTCACAATTGCTTCAAAGACAATAAAACACCTAGGAAACCAACTTACAAGGGATGTGAAGGAACTTTTTCAAGGAGAACTACAAACCACTGCTCAATGAAATAAAAGAGGATACAAACAAATGGAAGAACATTCCATGCTCATGGGTAGGAAGAATCAATATTGTGAAAATGGCCATATTGCCCAAGGTAATTTACAGATTCAATGCCATCCCCATCAAGCTACCAATGACTTTCTGCACAGAATTGGAAAAAACTACTTTAAAGTTCATATGGAACCAAAAAAGAACCCGCATTGCCAAGTCAATCCTAAGCCAAAAGAACAAAGCTGGAGGCATCAAGCTACCTGACTTCAAACTACACTACAAGGCTACAGTAACCAAAACAGCATGGTACTGGTACCAAAAAAAGAGATATAGACCAATGGAACACAACAGAGCCCTCAGAAATAATGCCACATATCTACAACTATCTGATCTTTGACAAACCTGACAAAAACAAGAAATGGGGAAAGGATTCCCTATTTAATAAATGGTGCTGGGAAAACTGGCTAGCCATATGTAGAAAGCTGAAACTGGATCCCTTCCTTACACCTTATACAAAAATTAATTCAAGATGGATTAAAGACTTAAATGTTAGACCTAAAACCAAAGAAACCCTGGAAGAAAACCTAGGCAATACCATTCAGGACATAGGCATGGGCAAGGACTTCATGTCTAAAACACAAAAAGCAATGGCAACAAAAGCCAAAATTCGCAAATGGGATCTAATTAAACTAAAGAACTTCTGCACAGCAAAAGAAACACCATCAGAGTGAACAGGTAACCTACAGAATGGGAGAAAATTTTTGCAATCTACTCATCTGACAAAGGGCTAATATCCAGAATCTACAAAGAACACAAACAAATTTACAAGAAAAAAACAACCCCATCAACAAGTGGGTGAAGGATATGAACAGACACTTTTCAAAAGAAGACATTTATGCAGCCAAAAGACACATGAAAAAATGTTCATCATCACTGGCCATCAGAGAAATGCAAATCAAAACCACAATGAGATACCATCTCACACCAGTTAGAATGGTGATCATTAAAAAGTCAGGAAACAACAGGTGCTGGAGAGGATATGGAGAAATAGGAACACTTTTACACTGTTGGTGGGACTGTAAACTAATTCAACCATTGTGGAAGTCAGTGTGGCGATTCCTCAGGGATCTAGAACTAGAAATACCATTTGACCCAGCCATCCCATTACTGGGTATATACCCAAAGGATTATAAATCATGCTGCTATAAAGACACATGCACACGTATGTTTACTGCGGCACTGTTCACAATAGCAAAGACTTGGAACCAACCTAAATGTCCAACAATGATAGACTGGAAAATGTGGCACATATACACCACGGAATACTATGCAGCCATAAAAAATGATGAGTTCGTGTCCTTTGTAGGGACATGGATGAAGCTGGAAACCATCAGTGTCAGCAAACTATCGAAAGGACAAAAAACCAAACACTGCATGTTCTCACTCATAGGTGGGAATTGAACAATGAGAACACATGGACACAGGAAGGGGAACATCACATACTGGGGCCTGTTGTGGGGTGTGGGGAGGGAGTAGGGATAGCATTAGGAGATATACCTAATGTTAAATGATGAGTTAATGGGTGCAGCACACCAACATGGCACATGTATACCTATGTAACAAACCTGCATGTTGTGCACAAGTACCCTAAAACTTAAAGTATAACAAAAAAAAAAACAACTATTTTTTTAACCAAAAGTAAAAAAAATAAAAATAAAAACAAAAAACTGGTCTGGCGATAGAGACCCTAATAGTGGTTACCTCGGGGGTAGGTACTCACTAGAAAAGGGCATGAAGGAACCTTCCTGGATGCTGGAATGTTCTGCATCTTGACCACCAAGCCGTACACTTAAGATGAGTGTATTTCACTGTAATACACTCACTGAACACAGCAGACACTGTCGTTGGGCTAAGGGGGTCTGGGACAGCTTCCTGAACAGGCAGTGATTTGAGCCCTGAGGCAGGAAGGCAAGGCTGAACTTCCACTGGCAAGAGTAGGAAAGGATCGGCTTGCTGGGAGGTCACAGAATCGGGGGGCGGGCGGGGGAAGTGGGAGGTGACAGATAGACTAGTAGTTTCACGTAGGCCACGTGGGAGGGCCTCGGTGCCCAGGCTGAAAGCATCCTGCACTACAGTGGTTTTCAAACTTTTTAATCAGCGAAAGCCTTTTCTTCCCCCAAGTGAAATGCTACACATGTATCTCAAAACCAAGCAGATCTGCTCTGGTTGGGGCTGGGGAGTGGAGCCCTCCCCTCTTAGACTCCTCTGCCACTGTCTATGAAGTATGGGATGAGTGACTGATGTGAAGGGAGAATAAGGGAGAGGTGGGGCAGGGGCCAGGGTACAGGAGAGCTCGTCCTTAGACCCCAGGAACATGGGAGCAGCAGGGAGAAGAGGGGGTCGAAGGTACCTGATGACACAGCTGTACCAGAAGTGCTCTGGTCCAGCCACCCCATTCCCAGTGGGCTGGTCCTTGGAGCACTTGAGTGTGCCCAGGCAACTCTGCAAGAGGAAGTGTGTAGGGCTGCTGGTCTACAACAGGGGTACCCTGGGCTACACTGGAGGAAGAATCATCATCTTGGGCCACACATAAAATGCACTAATGACAGCTGATGAGCTAAAAAAAAAATTACCAAAAAAAAATCTCATAAAGTTTTAGGAAAGTTTATGAGTTTGTGTTGGGCCACGTTATTCAAAGCCATCCTGTTCCACATGTGGCCCATAGGCCATGGATTGGACAAGCTTGGTCTACAAGGAAGGGGCACAAGCACCCCTGGAGCTGCTGAGCTGGCAACAAGCAGGTTCCTGGCCTATCTCTGAGCACTGAGAAACTCAGGAGGTGCCAACAGCAACAGAAATAGCTATGTGGGCTTTTAATTTCCAAAGTACCTCACCTTTTCCCCTCAGCTACAGCACTAGTGCCACTTACCTTCACAGGATACAGAGGGCAAGGCCACTGACGCCTCTCAGGGATGCCCCGGCAATGAGCCAACTGGCAAATCAATGTATCAATACATTTTAATTGGTAAAGAAAAGAAGCTTATTTGGCTCACAGTTCTGCAGACTGTACAAGAAGCATGGTGCCAGTATCTGTTTCTGGGGAGGGCTTCTGGCTGCTTCTACTCACAGTGGAAGGTGGAAGGAGAGCCGGCATGTGCAGAGATCATGTGGCAAGAGAGGAGGCAACGGGGGAGGAGCCAGGCTCTTGTTAACAACCAGCTCTTGCTAGAACTCATAGAGCAAGAACTCACTCATTACCATGAGGATGGCACCAAGCCATTCACGAGGGATCCACCTCCATGACCCAAACACTTCCGTTTAGGCTGTACCTCCAACATCGGGGACCAAATTTCAACATGAGGTTTTGATGGTCAAATATCTAAGCTATAACATTCTCCCTGTTCCCACAAATCTCATGTCCTTATGACACTGCAAAATATAATCATCCCTTCTCAATAGTTCCCAAAAGTCCTAACTTGTTCCAGCATCAGCTCAAAAGTGCAAGTAGTTGTCCCTTTCCTCAAAAAGTAATTTTCTAAATTTGCTCAACGGACCATTTCTGAACCAGTAGCTGTCAGGAAAACCCACTTGTTTTTCATCTGAATTCGACCCAAGGAACACTGATTGTGTCCCTAATATAAACAAGGCACTGCTCTTCCCACCTCCAATGCTGAGCTCTTCCTTACACAGCACGCCATTGAGAAACGCAGCTAGGGTTCTGAACTGGCCTCTGAAAACATGTGGGGAGGATTAAAGAGCCCCAAATAAGGACAAGTGGGGACTGGACCCTACCTGCTTCTGGGAGCTATGGAGACCTGGCCTAGAATCTCAAACCACCTCACACAGGCATCACTGTTGCCGATGCAGAGACTATCAGAGCAATTTCAGGGGAGACTCAGCACATTGACTGGTCTTGCGGGGTGGTGGGATGACTGGGCTGCACCGGAAACCTCCGATTTCAAGGAGACGTGAGGCTGTGGATCTGGTGATAGCTTGATTATCAAGACAAAGGACATTCCACCTCACCCAAATCTGCCCACTTACCTGACTGAACCTTCACTGGTGTTTTTAAGGCAGGGATGTTGTACGTTTTACCCCAGCACATGCCCTATGCCTGCCACAAAGTAGTTGCTCAGTAAATGAGTAAACAAATGTATGGATAAGATCAGACTCTGAAAGAATAGCTACTGAATAGAGGACTTCCCGTGAGGCCATGCAGCAAGAACCTTCTACAGTGATGCAAGAAAAATAGAACTTCTCCCCATAAAACACAAGACTAACCCTCCCAGCTGTTTCTTGCAAGCTCCAGATTCAGACAGCTGAGGGAGTCTCTCACCCTATGCACGGTGAGCTGGGAATGTGTGCACCTGTGTCCTGGTTTGTATTTCATGGCTTATTGGATCCTGAGAGGGGTGTGAGCCCTCTTCCAGCAGCCACGGACAACTGGTGGTTCCCACTCTAGACTTTGGAGCTAGACTATCTGGGTTCCAACCCCACTTATGAGCTTTATGACCTTCGGCAGGTCAGTGAAGCACCCTGTGACTCAGTTTCCTCTTCATCTGTATAGTGGGTGTGATAAACGAACCCACGTTACAGTATTGAGATGGGCATTAGTGAACTATCTGCAATTGCAATGCATTTAGGATGGTCCCTGGCCCACGTTACAGTATTGTGATGGGCATTAGTGAACTATCTGCAATTGCAATGTATTTAGGATGGTCCCTGGCACATATATGCACGTATATTGGAGGGGCATTAAGTAAATGTTATTAATACTCCAGAACACAACCTCTCTGCACAGCAGGCAACGTCCAGCCTGGGGGACTCGGGGCAGGGCCGCAGGGTGTGTGTTGGGAAGAGGCTGGGGCCTACACAGGAGCATGTACCTCCCATGGATCCCCAGGGTCATGGTGCAGTAGAAATTTGCCCAGAGGAAGTGGATTTGACATGTAAGCAGCCAAGTGAACACATCTAACCACCTGGAAGGTTCTGCTGCTGTCATGCCAGGCTCCCTTCTTGCTGCCTCTAAAGGTCATGGAGACCCCTTTATGGGAAAAGATCAGGATGCCTCTCCCCTTTGTACTAATTCTGGACGTGATTCACAAACGCCAGAGCTTCTGAGACCTTGAATGGCTGCATCTCCCAATCCTTGATATTCCTTCACTTCCCTAAAATTAGGGCCTTCTATCTGAAATGCCATGGGTCCTAGGAAAGGGCTCTACCCCCTGGCTAGCTGGGGTGCCCACCTGGAAGGCCATCAGAGTCTCCCAGGCCACAGACCTACAAGAAATTGGCAGCCTCCAGGGGCAGTGACGCCATCAGTGCCCCCCAGGCTGACTCTGCACTTGGGTCCCTGGTAAGTCTCCCTAAGATGTGACTTCCCAAATCAAGTCACTGAACCTGTTTAAGCACAGACATGCACAAATACAACAAAACTAAAGTCTTAAAAGGGTGTAGCTGACACACACAGGTGAGTCAAACCATGTCCAGGCAATTCTTAACTGGCCCACAGGAGGCAAGTGTCAGCCACCCAATGGGGAGGCCTGGCCTCAGCTCCATCCCACCGGCTGTCGCACATCACACAGCTGGAAGGGCATGTTCCTGCAGCACCATGGCAGCCAACGGCCTCAGCCAGCAGTAAGATCTTGGGGACCAGAGGAGATATGCTAACACAAAACACTGCACACCTGGCTGTCCCCAGGAGAACCTGGCCAGCCAGTGCATCAGCCAGCCCACCAACAGGCTCCTCATACCCTTGTCATCCTGGAGGGCCCAAGTTTAATGCCTGGGGGCAAGGTCACAACACTCTCAGAGCCAGTCACCCTCAGCACCATCTGCACTGATTGGAAACATTGCGAACAAGAAGCTCCCATAACTTATTAACTCCCAAGAAAACTAACAGAGAAAAAGGATTCAGGACAAAACCAGGCAGTTGAAAATAAATACACAAATAGCCAATAAATACGAAAATTTCAACTCTCTAATAACTTAAGAGATACAAATTAAAACAATGGGATACCATTTCACTCATCTAATTGGGAAAGAATGAGAAAATGCCCAGCGCTAGAAGGAGGAAAGAAGAAAGGGATGGGGAGAAAGAAACAGATGAATGAATAGATATGAAACAGCATCTATAAATTGGTAAAATAAACTTTCCAGAAGAAAAGTAGAAATACGCACTCAAAGCCTGTAAAAGTACGTGCCTTTCCCAGGTGATGTCACTTCCAGGAATTTGTTCTAAAGATCAGTAAGAATTTTGCACTGGTTTAATATAATCAATAATCTTTACATATTTTATATGTGTATATTCTATATATAATCTTTATATAAAGACTTAAAGATATTATTTACAGCACTGTTTACTGTGGAAAAAATTGGGGTTAACTTAAGATACTGGTTAGTCATGGTTTAGACATGAGCAGGAATATGATGCAGTCTTTTCTGTTGTCTAAAAATATTACTGACATGAAAAAACACTCGCAATACATGATAAGTTAGAGGGGAAGCCGGCTACACCATGACATGCCTATTTGACCCAAATTCTGTAACACAAGAATGCGTGCATCATACAGGCACACAAAAGACCGGAAGGCCAGAGGCAACATTTAACAGTGGCTCACCTTTGGACAGGAGAGCTACCAATGGTGTTGGCCCTTCTTTGTGCTTGGCTGTGGTTTCTAAATTTCCTACGATGACACTGTGTTAGCTTAGAATCCAAAAAAGCCCCATCATTATTTAATCAGGAAGCACAAATGGGATGAAAACCTTCTCCCTCAGATATAATTAACACGACAGACAATCTGTGCCGAACATAACTGTGGCACCAGCATCATGACAAGTGCCAATAAGATGACCAGAAACACCAAGAAGGGGTCGGACAGAGAAAGTTTGTTCTGGCACAGGCATCCAGAATGACTTTGTAGAAGAGGGAGCTGTCTAAGAAGGTCCTCAGGATAGGGCAGATTCTCAGAGAAAGCATTTCAGGTAGGGGAAGCCACAAACTAGGGAAACACAGGCCAAAGAAAGCGTGGGCCGAGGGCATGAGCAGCGGGCCATCTACGCTCACGTCTGAAGGAACTCGGGGCTCTGGGCTGAGCACACTGCTGGGAGCGGGGATGAGCTGTGTTTCTCTGGATTTTTCAAGCTCATGCGGACGACAGTGGAATTGACGCAATACTGACGTAGGTAAAGGCGTTGCTAAGTTCGTAGTGGCACCGTGTTGCTTGCTGTCTTCTCCTCATATGAAAATTCATCTCCATTTACCGCCCCCTGTAAACCCCTTCCGATCCCAGCACTGGCTTTTCCGCTGCATTCTAAGGTGGCCAAGGACTCTTGCTCTCCTCCACGTGAAACACCCTAACCCTCTGCGTAGCTCCTCCCTCCCCACGGCAGGTCCTGTGGAAGGAGAGGCCAAAGTCGAAGCTAAGTGGGAAAAGGGTGGTCCCATGAACAGAACTAGGGAATTGGAAGTACATACTGCAGCTGGTTTGGTGAGGAACAGATGAATCACTGGAATTCAGGTAAAAATGTTTGGAGAAGTATAAGGGCTGCAAAATGAGGAAAAGCCACCAGGTCAAGATCAAGACCATATGGCCCCTCGCGCACACACACCAGGGTCCTGTCCCTAAGCACTGGGGACTGACCATCTGTGGCAAATGGTGAATGACAAAAATTCTGAGAGAACCTAAGGCAGTTTTCCAACCCAATATCTTAAAATGCCAAAGAATTCTGACCTGCAGTATTTAACTCAAAGCGCTCTTGTATTCAATGCATTTCATCTTGATAGGTAAGCAGAAAAGGTATCATGCCCATTTTACAGATGAAATAACCGATGCTTGGAAAAGTTAAATGACTTGCCCAAAAGCTCACAAATGCAGTAGGTGGCAGAACCCAGGCTGGACTCAGCTCCCCAGACGCCATTTTCCCCACAAACCAAACCATGGTGTTATGGTGCTACATTGAGGTTGTCATAAGGCTTTGCTGTTATTTTGACAACAGCGGCTCCCTATGGAGATAGATGCTACAGTAACAAATATTAACCATAAAGTGGGTAAGTGGGAAGCTGTGCACAGAAGGAAGAGCCACACGGACCCTCTGGACAAGCAGCAAGTTCAGCCCCATCACGGTGGGGAGGGCACAACAGCAAGTCCAGTAAGGCCCAGGTCAGTGTGGCCCTTCCAAGGACACCCCAGTTCAACCAAAACTCTGGCGCTGCCACTCACCTCCAGACAAGCATCTGCTGCATCTGAACTTGAATCCATGCTTGGGGTGTAAGGCAGCACCCCTTCTTTGCCAAGTGGAGCTGGCAGAAGCAGGCAGGCTGACACCCCAGGGAAGGCAGAGGCAGCCTCTGTAGTGCCAGCAGCCCAGGACTGCAGGATGAGGCCTGGTGAGGGCATGTCCTCCAGACCTACCCTGTGCCTGGTTGAGGCCTCTGATTCTCTGGAGCTATGTGTGTGAGGAGGCAGCCACCCTCTGCAGAGGGCAAATGAGCACAGAAGTGAGTCTTTAACGCTCATGTTAACCAACCAGTCCTCCCTGGTTAAACAGCTGCTGTGAAGGGCAGCAGGAAGGATCCTAGGATGAAAGGGGAAAACTGCTCTGCACCTTGATTGTGTTGGTGGTCACACCACCGCACAGACCTAGGCGTACACGAATGAGTGTGTCACGCTGCTGAGACCCGCTAAGGTCTGTGTCCAGGATACGACAGTGTGCTAGTCACACGAGATGCCACCATCAGGGAGGCTGAGCAAAGGCTCAGAGGCTGAGAACACAGACCTCTATATTCTCTCACAGCTACTTGTGAATGTACAATAATCTCAAAATAAAAAGTTAAATAAGATTACATACCACACGTGCTTATTGTCTACTGTACTAGATAGTGCAGCTCCAGAGAGCTGTGTTCCCACTGAGCTAAAGAAACCTCCCGCCCATGCTTGTGGGCTCTTCCCCTCACCTAACCCACAGCTGGCACACTTGATTTGGGGGAGCTGGGGGCACTTCTGTGCTCCAGAGAAGATGGGTGTGGGGCCGAGGTCATGGGGCAAGGGTAAGGACAGGATCTTATGATAAATGAGGGATTCATTAAAAGACCGTGTACCCCTAAGCAGAGAAGGATCCTGCAACTCACTGTAGCAGGCTGGAGAGGCGGCCATGCTGTTGCTGGGACACCTCCCCGCCTCAATCCTCTGCAGACACCCTGGAAATCCTACTCCAAAGGTCAGAGCAGCACAGCGAGAGGGGGCTGTTGGACTTGCCTCCCCAGAGACAGGGGAGGGAACACCCGCCCTGCGCCCAAGATAGGCACACAGTTAGGGGTGCGGGCTCCCACTCCGCCGTTAGGAGCCTTTCCCACAACTCTGAGAACCGGGGTGCGAAGAAAGAAAGGGCGAAAGGGCCGCTCAACTCCCAGAGAGTAGCCAGCGAAAGACTCGAGGGGCCCCCTCCCGCAGGACCCCGAACAACTGCAGCACCTCCTCAGCCCGCGGGGTCCACCAAGGAGACCCTCACAAACAATAGCATCTGCGGCGAAGGAACCACCCCCGCAAAGGGCAGAAGCGCCAGATCCTACCAGCCAATTACCCAGACGCGCATCGCGACCCGCAAGTTCGGGCACGCTCCGCCCGGGCGCAGGCAGCGGGAGGGGCCGGGCACGCCCGTGGGGGTGGTCTGGGTACGGGTCTGATCCGGGGGCGCGCTCGGGAGGGGTCTGGGTCTGAGCCGGGGGCGCGCCCGGGGGAGTGGGCTGGGTCTGGGGCGGGGGCGCGTCCGGAGGTGGGGGAGTCTGGGGTGGGGGCGCGCCCGTGGGGGTGGGGTGGGGTGTCTGGCCCGGGGACGCGCCCGGGGAGGCGTGGTCTGGGTCTGGGCCGGGGGAGAGCCGGGTGCGTGCTCTGGGTCTGCGCGGGGGAGCGCGCCTGGTGCCTAGATGTTTGGTACCGAGCGGGTGGGGGACGCCGGGCTCGGAGCCGGCGGCAAGTCTCCTCCTGGCAGGTAACAAGCCTCCTTTGCAGCCTTGAAGGCGCCTTGGCCAGGGCCATCCCACGGCCCGGGCCCCCAGAGCCCCCCCACGGCCCCGAATCCGAGCAGCCCCTGGCCCTCAACTCGCCCCGGAAAGGCCGCCCTCCCCTCCAATGTGTGGCGCGCCCCGATCGCCTCTCACTCGTGGAACAAAAGAGCAGCTCCCGCGGAGCGGGTCCAGAGTCTGCCCGGACTGTCCGATGGCCCTCGGCCCTCTGAGCGCCGCGGCTGCCGGGCTTTGTGTCCGCGCGGGGGGCGGGAAGGACGGCCGGGGTCCCCAGTGCGCGTCCCGCGGAGCGGCGCGCGGCGCCCGAACTGGAAAGTTGTCGCCGGCGCCTGTCGCCTCCACGCCGCCCCAGTCCCCCTCCGCGGGGCGCCCCATTCATTAGCCAGGAGACTGGGCGCAGGGCCGCCGGGGCGGGCGGGGGGCTTACCTTGCTCTTGACTTCCACTGCGCTGCAATCGTAGAATCGCAAGGTCTGAGACTTGTGAAAACTTCGGTTCATGGTTTCGGCCCCGGTCAGCCTCGCCGTCGCCCTCGCTCCTCAGGGGCCGCAGAAAGACTCCCGGGGGCGGCGCCCCCAGGCCCCGGCCCCGGCCCCGGCCCGCGCTCGCTTGGCCGGCGGGCTGCTCCCGGTGCTGCGGGCCCGAGCTGGGCTGGCCGCGCGCCTCAGGGACTCCAGGGGCCGCGCGCGGGAGGAGCGCGGGGGACGCCGGCGCGCGCCGCCCCACCTCCCGGCGCCCGCGCCCGCGCCCCGCCCCGCCCCCGAGCCCCGGAGGACCCGCCCATATCCCCGCCCACAGCCCCGCCCCGCGCTCCGGAGGACCCGCCACACCACGCCCCCACGCTGCAGCTCCGCGTCGGATCGCCAGTGGGTGCGCGCCCTCCTGTCCACAATCCCAGAGCCTGGGGAAAGGAGCATCGCGGCCAGCCCAAGGCGTCTCGTTTTGATTGCCTCCACCGAGCAACCTAGGATAGGGGTTGATTTTTGCCATTGTTTTGGGTAATATTCAAGTGAAGAATGCTAACGAGAACCACTGGAGACCTGATCCCAAAAGGCATCACCTGTCAGTACTAATTGTCAAGTTGCTGATGGCCTGGGAGAAGGGTTTTATCAAATAGGCTTAGAGCAGCCTGGCCAATACGGTGAAACACTATCTCTACTAAAAATACAAAATTAGCCGGGTGTGGTGGGGGGGGTGCCTGTAATCCCAGCTAATGGGGAGGCTGAGACAGGAGAATCGCTTGAACCCGGGAGGCGGAGGCTGCAGTGAGCCGAGATCGCATCACTGTACTCCAGCCCGGGAGGCAGAGCGAGACTCCGTCTCAAAAAATAAAAAATAAAAATAAAGGCTTAGAGGGCTTTATTAGATAGCCTATCTCTAGGGAGAGGATCAGAAGCACCTGCCTGATGCGAAAGGAGACTTTTTCTAAGGCAGCTAGAAAAAGAGAACCTGTTAAGACAAAGAATCAATTACTAGCAGCATCAATGAATATTTACCAATCAAGAGGCCTCTGAAACGGGCTTGCTGAAACCAAAGATACAATCCTTGCCCTTGAGGAATTTGTGATGAAGTTCAGAAGACAAGACAGTTTTTAAAAAATCATTTTGAAGTATACTATGAATTGTAATCTACAAGCCATATAATTATAAATCTCACCATACATTCATTGCAAAAGAAACCTGCAGAATATAAAGAAGTGAAAAAACCTGTAAAAATTACCTGTAGTCATGCTACTCAGCAATCAACTGTATTAACCTTTGGTGTATTTTATTTTCACTTATTTTTCTGCATATATATTTGTATATTTTACAAAGTTGTGACCATGCTGTTTATCTCGTTTTACAACTTGCACTTTTCACCTTGTGCTATATAATGAACTTTTTCTTCTTCTAAAAACAGGATCTTGCTATGTCGCCCATGTTGTAGTGCAATGCCATAATCACAGCTCACTGCAGCCTCAAACTCCTTGGCTCAAGCAATCCTTCCACCTCAGCCTCTTGAGGACCACAGATTTGTGCCACCACACAGACTAATTTTATTTTTATTTTTGTTTTTTGTAAAGATGGGGGTCTCTTTATGTTGTCCAGGCTTGTCTCAAACTCCTGGCCTCAAGCAATGCTTCCACCTCTGCCTCCCAGATGTGAGCCACTATACTCGGCCAGAACGGTTTTATTAAATGTTCTTAGAGAAGATGTTTTCTAAAAGGTGCTTATATGAATATAGGCATAATTTATAATCATTTCATTATTGTTGGATATTTAAGATGTTTCCACTGTTAAGCTTTTATATCACACTGTTTTAAAAATTTGCTTATATTCAATGTTTTAAATGGACTTCTAAAATTAGAACTACTAGGCCACAAACTACACACCTCTAAAGCCTTTAACACAAATTACTTTCATAGAAATCTGATTTTCCTTTATTTTTGCTAAGTATTTACCCTGTTATATGCTGGGACTTAGTGCCAGGGAGTACCATTACAAAGCCACTGAGTTATAATCACTGCCCTTTAGAGAAATGCTAGGCTGGCCAGAGGACCGGATATGTAAACAGAGTTCCAAAACAAGGCACGTGCGCAGTAAGTAAGCAAGCAAACAAAAAATGCCAAGAGACACACACTTGGCAAGCAGACTGTGGACAGAGGTGCTGCCATTCTTTCAAGGGAAATTTCCTAAACTGAATGCAAATCTTTGGATTTGAGAAAAGTCACAGGCTCAATGCTGACTGCAAGTTGCCCATTACAGTGGGCAACATTGTTTTGTGGTTAGAAGAGGCTCAGTAATATCCTGAGGGAGGAGCTCCAACTGTCACATTTTAAGAAATGCAGGGACAAAGGAGTATGTGGAGGAATGAACAGCACTGTAGGCAATGAAGGTGGGAGTGGGGTCCACCCAGTAAGCTCGGGGCTTTGGAGTGGGAAGACGCCTTTTAAAGGAAAGGCTGGAAGGCTACGGAATTTCAAGTAGCCCTAGACTTGGCTCTGGACCAGGTTGATGAGAGTGAGATCACTTTGTCAATGCCTGTGGCTCAGAGTGTGGTGTAAGGCCCAAAATCTGCTCCACCTGGCACTTGTTAGCAATACCCCACCCAGACCCACTGAATCAGAATCCGCACTTGAACAAGATCCCCAGGTGATTCATGTCCACACTGAAGTTTGAGAGGTGCTGCTCCTTTATCTTAATCATCTGTTGCTCCACAGTTCTTGATTGGCATGATCTGCAGGCAAAAGCAGGAGGAAAGGCTGGGAAAGCTTGCTGTTGCGTGTGGAGCTTGAGTTTCCAGCTGAGACTTGAACTGGATTTGCTAGGGCTTTGAGCTCTAGGTTCAGGCGGGTATAGACCAAAAAAAAATTAACTGAGCCTTCAGCTGGAAAGGCTTTTACACAGTACAGCAGCCAGATTGGAAAAAACAAAAGCCCTCTCCTACCAGACACAGTGGCTCACACCTGTAATCCCAACACACTGGGAGGCTGAGGCTGGAGGATTGCTTGAGGCCAGGAGTTTGAGACTAGCCTAGGCAACATGGTGAAACCCTGTCTCTCCAAAAAAAAAAAAAAATTAGCTGGGCATGGTGGGACACACCTATAGTCCCAGCTACTCAGGCGGCCAAGGTGGGAGAATTGCTTGAGCCCAGGAGGTCGAGGCTGCAGTGGGCTATGATTGTGCCACTGCACTCCAGCCTGGGTGACAGAGAGAGACCTCATCTAAGCAAAAAGAAGGGAGTGGGGGAGGAAAAGGAAAAGAAGAAAGAAAGAGAAAAGAAAGGAGAGAGAGAAAAGACTCCTCAGATCCTGGCCTGATAGCCTGCCTTTTCACACAACTGGGGGTCATGGGAGCCTCTGAGAGGCTGACTTGTTTCAGACAGAAAATGAGAGAGAAAATAGGAATGGGTAGGGGTTAAATCTTCCTCAAATCACGGCTTCTAAGAACCCATCTAATAACTGAACCATCAGGAGCAAAAAGGAAGTATGTTGTGGACCCAGTAAAATGTATTCCTTGACTGGGTGCAGTAGCTCAAGCCTGTAATCCTAGCACTTTGGAAGGCCCCTCTGCAGTGGCTCATGCCTGTAATCCTAGCACTTTGGAAGGCCCCTCTGCAGTGGCTCATGCCTGTAATCCTAGCACTTTGGAAGGCCAAGAGGGGCAGATTGTTTGAGACTGGGGAGGCTGAGGTGGGAGGATTTCTTGAGACTGGAAGGTCGAGTGTGTGGTGAGCTGTGATCATGCCACTGCACTCCAGGGCATAGCAGAGTGAGACCCTGTTGAAAAAAAGATGAGAGCAGGTTCTTTTATGATGAGAGCAGGCTCTTTTATGATGAGAGCAGGCTCTTTTATGATTGAACATTTGTTGCTGATGTATATGTTCTAAGAAAACATTCTCTAAGATAATTTCGTTGGGTAATAGGAAAGCATCGCTGTAATATTTGAACCAGCAGGCTGTTGCATTTGCAATGCATTCTAATATATTTTCGGATGAGGCAGGCAAAGAACTGATATTCGATTGAAATAAGGAAATGGCAGAGTAGTTATGCCTCATTATCACCTGATTCTCATATAAAGGCATCCCTTCTTTTTACCCTTTACTCTTCCCCTGCTCAAAGAGGCCTCTTCTGCCTTTTTTAAAAATTTTCATTTTTGAGATGGAGTTTCATTCTTGTTGCCCAGGCTGGGGTGCAATGGCGCGATCTTGGCCCACTGAAACCTCCGCCTTCCGAGTTCAAGCGATTCTCCTGCCTCAGCCTCCCAAATAGCTAGGACTATAGTCATGTGCCACGACGCCCGGCTAATTTTGCATTTTTAGTAGAGACAGGGTTTCACCATGTTGTCCATGCTGATCTCGAATTCCTGACCTCAGGTGATCCACTCGCCTCGGCCTCCCAAAGTGCTGGGATTATAGGTGTGAGCCACTGTGTCTAGCCTCTTCTGCCTTTTTGATGCAGTAATATCTTGACTCTCAATGGAAGCTTCATGCCTAAATTGACTTACCAGTAGCTCTTTCAGCAGATGGCACCGTTGGCCAGAATAGAATGAATTCCCTGCATTCCAGAGCCATCTGCCCACATCCTACAAAGTGGCCCTGGTTGCATCCCCTAGATTGGTGCAAAGGGCTCTCTCCTCAACCAGCTTGCGGTGTGACCTGCATGTCCACCCCCAGGTGGAAGACAAAAGGCAGGTGGTAAACCTTACGCAGCTGTCTCTGACTTTGCATTAAAACTCTGGGACACTTTTACAAAATACAAATAAAAGCACCTAGAACATGAAGCACAGTCTTTGTTCCAAGTATTACACTAAGCATGGATTAGAGTCTCAGGATCTGTTTTAAAAAGAGTCAGTCCGTAAAGCTTTTCACTGACTTGGTGAATGTATCAGAATGTGATTTTATGGCAGAAAAGCGTGGTCAGTTTTCAGCCACACAGCATCCATTCATCAGCATGATTCATCTCCTCGTGCACACTCCCAAAGCATTTCAGAGGTTCAAAGCAGTTGCAGGCCCTACTGATTTCCTATTAGATGAAACTGCATGCTTTTCCTCTTGTCTATTTCAGCATGGTTTCTTGGTGGTCCAGTTTACGGCCATCTCCAAGATAATGTCTCTGATTCATCAAATTCTGCCATGGTGGCGGCCTGTACCGGGCCCTGGCAATACAAACATTAAGGAAGCACTCATGTCTTCTGGCCTTGAGGTCTTAGCCAAAGCAAGAATCCTGAAGCTAGGTGTGAAGAGTTCATTCACTCTAAATGGATATGCATCAACTCCTTATTCTTAGATATGTGGGGAAATCTTCCCGGAAGATGCTGCTTGATCACTCAAGTTGTAAAACCAACAGCATCACACAGAAGGCAGTGAACAAGCAACTTCCTGGAGCCATCCTTAGCCCCAAAGGAAGACGGGCTTGGATTCAGACCGTACCCAGCTTGATATGTAGTCCCCTCTGTCCTCAATATGTGCCTGATTTAATTGTTCTAGAGCATCCCACAGAAACCCCAGATAATGCCCACAGGCCTAAGGACATACTGGGAAACCCTCTGGGCTCCCTCAGATGACCTTGATCCAGTCTCTCAGTCTCCTGGTTCATGTCCCAGTCTCTGTACCTCTGCATGCCCTTCTGATATCTTCTTCTTGTTGATCTCGATCTCCCAATTTTACTGCCAAGAGTGAGTGCCTGGACTTTCACTCCCTGCTAAGCACTAACATCCCTGTGACCTCCAGGGGTGAGAAAGTCCTAGAATTCCAGGTCCTCTTCCTCTCTTTCCTGCCTACACATATCCACAGATTCTCGGACATGGTCTCAAGCACTCTTTTGGGTCACTGGTCACCGAGACTCAACGTGTGCAACGCAGACAGAGCTCATCGTTTCTGACCTTGCTCCTCTCTCCCCAAACTTCTCAGGAGGCGTCTGTCTCCACCTTCATAAACATCATCGCTCAGTGACCTACTCCAGGAAAGGTCATTCTGGACTCTCTTCCTGCCGGACTGCCTGTCTCCCAGCCCCATCTCAGGCAGCTCAGGGGTCACTCNAGTCCCTNCGAGTGGACCCTCTCCTCCAGGCATGTGTCAGGGCTGCTGGTCCCCTGCGGTCTGTGAAGCCCACCACTTCCCTTTTCCTATCTGCAGCCTGGCCCCGATCCTCCCAGTGACCCGGGGGCCTTTCTGTGTGTGGTGGTCTCAAGGGCCTGTCTTTGAGCAGGCAGCCTCTTTGGCTGGACCTCTGGTCCCCTTTTCTGCCTAGCTAACTCCTCCTCCTCCTGCAGGCCTGGGGCTTCCGTCCAAGGACTGCTCCTCTGTGCATGGCTCTATCATTGCATTCTCACTCTCGGGAGGGGGACTTGCTTACTTTTTGTCTTCTCCATCGGATGGCAACTTGAGGACGTAGGTTTAGCATTTAATCTCTGTTATGTCTGATTTTTCTTTTCAAGGGACACTCATCCGGGTTTCTTACTTTTGTATTTCTCATAATCTTTATAGCCGTCCCTCTTTGTTTCTGTAGAATAAACCCCTATAAGTGGCATTGGTGGATCACAAGGAAGGCACATTGATTTCTGAAATGTACCACTGAATTGCCTTCAAAAACATTGTTCTAAGCTGTACTCCCACTAGCAGGAATGGGGGATCCCAGGCACCCCTTCTTGATGTGACTCTGATAGCCCCACGTGGGATGCGGTGGGGATGGGGANTGGAGATGGGTGTGGCCTCTCTGTGGGTGTGGCCTGTCCACTGTGGGCGTGGCCTCTCCTCTATGGGTGTGGCCTCCCTGTGGGTGTGGCCTGTCCACTGTGGGCGTGGCCTCTCCTCTGTGGGTGTGGCCTCCCTGTGGGCATGGTCTGCCTCCACCCCAGGTGTTCCTTGTGCCCTGCTGTCCTGCTTGGCAAAGTATGGAGAAACTTGCTGGCCGACTACTCACTCAGCTGTTAAAGCCCTGTCTCCTTCTTTGGCCATCATCCTGTGAAGTGGTGGCACTGCCTCTCACAGTGAGGTCACTGAGCCGTCTCAGGAGAGTGATGCTCTGAGGGAGGAACGTGAGTGGGAGCTGAAGGGAGAGGCATGGGGGTTGGCAGGCAGCATGAGCCCCAGCTGTGCCCTGGACAGGAGGGCTCTGTGAGTGTATTTGACGGCTGGGTGATGTTTGCCCCACATGCCTTCACATATGTGAGGTTGTTGGAAGGATAGGCTCACTGCCTGGGGTAACCAGGTCTGAGGGTCTTTTGAAGGGGGTTGGGGTCTTTTGAAGGAGGTCATGTGAGTGCAGGGCAGGGGGGTGGAGGGTGGGGAGTGGGCATTGGACCTGGTCCCCTTTGAAATTAGTGAGACATGAGTAGGAAAGCAGGAAATTCCTCTGGCTGGTTGGCCCCTGGTGTGAGATAGGGTCAGCAGATGTGGGTAGTGGGGACCTCTGTGGATAAAGGCCCTTTACCTGTAGGAGGCATTCACCAAGTCTATCGAAGGCTTCTCTATGCCACTCACTGTGAGATGCAGGATAGGGATTGATCTGGGTCCAGCTCTCCTGGGCCTGTCTCAAGACCTTGAGAGAGGCAGTGTTCAGAGACACCTGCAAATAGAACTTTCCTGATTAGAGTGGTATGTTGGATACTGTGATTTCCCCCGATATCCATTTCTCCCCTTTTTAGAAATGGAGTATCTCCATCTTCCTCAATTTTAGCAAGGTCCATCTCACAGCCTCCCTTGCAGCTAGATGTTACCACCCAAACAAGCTCTGGCCAATGAACCTAAGTCGAAATGATGATCTACCCATTACCTGCCACCCACCTTGCCACTGCCTGTTGGCCTAGGATTGGCAAGCAGTGGATCTTTGGCCCTGGGCCGGAAGCTGTGGGTTAGGGATAGCAGAGTGGCCTTGTCAGCCCAGGAGAATTCTTTCCGCCTGGACAGTGAGTGTGTTTGGAGCTTTCAGCTGCTTCATTTTAGCTGTGCTGTATCCAAAACTAGTAACTGAAGCCACGTGTGTTCTCAAGTTCCCCATGGGTATGCCTCTGGAATGAAAAGATTTACGGAGGACAGATTGGAGGCTGTGGAACTTCAATGTGCAGGGCAGCAAAGACTGTAATGACTCAAGTTCTAGATAGCACAGGTATTCGGTGGTAATTAGGTGGGATGTGTATTAAGACTGCATTTATGCAGCAAGCACATTGCAGTTGCTTAATTGTATTTATTTGGGTTTGTGTGCCTGAAGGGCTGATGGAGATTAAAGTGGGACTNGGGGTGAGGGTATTGTGACACAGCCCTTTNTCCCCTNAGNNNNAATAGAAAAGGAGGGGAGTNNTAGGGTCATANACTTNNCTTCCATTTNCTNCTAAGAGCTTTAAGGTCACGACATGCTCTCATACGCAAAACTTCATCTGATACATACACAGAAACCCCATGAAGTATACGGGGCAGTAGTGCATTCATTTAGAGGGCTCTTGGGTGGAAGATGTTAATAAACTGCCCAGGTACCATGGTTCAGCAGAGCATTGTCCATTGCTGGGGCCCTTAGGGATCCCCAGGATTTATTTCAGTGTGCCCATAATGGGCACACTGAAAACTGGGAACAGTTTCTCACAAAGCAAATACCCCATCGTCCACCACAAAACACACTCTCAGCTTATTCATCAACGTGGCACTGGGGTCCTTAATGTGTGGCAGGCAGAGGTAGTGACAGTGAGCAAATAGCCCAGGGACTACCTGAGCTAAAAGCAACAAAGGAACCAAACGCTTCGACTTTCTGACCAAACCTAGTTCCCAGCTGAAGCTGGTCTCATGCAAGTGTGCTGGCCTGAGTGATCTCATGTGCTGTGAAGGCTCTGCCAAGGAGGGATGGTGGCTAGGGTCAGGCCTCCTTAAGAGGGGTCCTGGATCCCAGCTCTTTGAGAGGCCAGGGTGGGAGGATCACTTGAGCCCAGAAGTTTCGGACCAGCCTTGGCAACATAGAGAGACCCTGTCTCTGCAGAAAAAATAATAATAATATAATTTTTTTNAAAAAAAATAGCAGAGCATGGTGGCATGTGCATTTAGTCCCAGCTACTCAAGAAACAGAAGTGGGAGGATCGCCTGAGCACAGAACGTCCAACCTGCAGTGAGCTGTGATGGTACCGTGATGCTCCATCCTGGGCAAGAGAGTGAGATCCTGTCTCAAATCATCAATCAATCAATCAATCAATCAATCAAGAGGCTTTGGAGAAACCCACAAAAGACTTTAATACTTTGGTTGTGTTTTGAGTACTTAAGTCCAACATACAAAGGGATATAATTTATAATCTTCACAATTATGATTTTCTTTCTTTTCTTTCTTTCTCTCTCCTTCTTTCTTTCTCTTTCTTTCTTTTTTCTTTTTTTTNGAGACAGATCCTCACTTCTTGACCCAAACTGGAGTGCAATGGCGCAATCGTGGCTCACCGCACCCTCTGCCTCCCTGGTTCAAGCAATTCTTCTACCTCAGCTTCTCCAGTAGCTGAGATTACAGGCATGTGCCACCATGCCCAGCTCATTGTTGTATTTTTAGTAGAGATGAGGTTACACCCTGTTGACCAGGCTGGTCTCAAACTCCTGACCTCAACTGATCCACCTGCTTCAGCCTCCCAAGGTGCTGGGGTTAAAGGTGTGAGCCTCTGTGCCCAGCCATGATTTTCTTTTCTTGCCCTGATTTCCCATTGCAATGACAGTGGATGTCACAGCTGTGGATGCTCCCTTGGAGCCCTGTTAGTCCTGTCTTCCTGCTCCTCTGCAGACAGCATGGCTGCAGCCTGTGTCACACCCAGGGTGAAATGGTGGTTGGTGCTTTTCAGGTGAGTACGTCCTTTCATTCCATGGTTGGAGTGAGGGCTCCGGTTTCAGACTGGGTTCAGGTAAAAATTCTTAGAAGTTACAGTTAGGGTAAGAGTCAGGGTGGGGATGATGCTTAGGTCTCAGCTGATAGGTGTTAAAAATAGGAGTTAAATGGTAGAGTTTGGATTCCCAACTGGGTTTGGGAAAATATTAATTGTAGGGTCCAGCCCCACAGGGTCGGTGGGTTTCTCCCTGTGTGCAGAGATGAGAGAGTGTAGAAATAAAGATACAAGACAAAGAGATGAAAGAAAAGACAGCTGGGCCCGGGGGACCACTACCACCAAGACACAGAGATGCAGAGACTGAATGCTAGGCTTTGCTGATATTTATTGGATACAAGACAAAGGGGCGGGATAAGGAGTGTGAGCCATTTCCAATGATAGGTAAGGCCACGTGGGTCACGTGTCCACTGGACAGGGGTCCCTTCCCTGCCTGGCAGCCGAGGCAGAGAGAGAGAGAAGGAGAGAAAAAGTTTACATTATTATTTCTGCTTATCAGAGACTTTTAGTACTTTCACTAATTTGCTACTGCTAACTAAATGGCAGAGCCAGGTGTACAAGACAGAACATGAAGGCGGACTAGGAGCATGACCACTGAAGTACAGCATCACAGGGAGACAGGCCTCTGGATAACTGCGGGTGGGCCTGACATCCACAAGAGGTGGAGGAGTAGAGTCTTCTCTAAACTCCTCTGGGGAAAGGGAGACTCCCTTTCCCAGTCTACTAAGTAGCGGGTATTTTTCCTTGACACTGAGCCTACCACTAGACCACGGTCCGCTTGGCAATGGGCGTCTTCCCAGAGGCTGATGTCACCGCTAGACCAAGGAGCCCTCTGGTGGCCCTGTCCGGGCATGACAGAAGGCTCGCACTCTTGACTTCTGTTCACTTCTCACTATGTCCCCTCAGCCCCTATCTCTGAATGGCCTGGCTTTTCCTAGGTTATGATTATAGAGGGAGGATTATTATAATATTGGAATAAAGAGTAATTGCTATCAACTAATGATTAATGATATTCATATATAATCATGTCTAAGATCTATATCTGGTATAACTATTCTTGTTTTATATTTTATTGGAGTGGAACAGCTCATGTCCTCGGTCTCTTGCCTCGGCAAAGATTAGATTAGGGTTAGGTGAGGGTGAGGGTGAGGGTGAGGGTGAGGGTGAGGGTGAGGGTTAGGGTTAGGGTGAGGGTGAGGGTGAGGGTGAGGGTGAGGGTGAGGGTGAGGGTTAGGGTGTTAGAGGGTTAGGGTTAGGGTTAGGGTTAGGGTTAGGGGGTTAGGGGGTTAGGGGGTTAGGGGGTTAGGGTGAGGGTGAGGGTGAGGGTGAGGGTGAGGGGTAGGGGTAGGGGTAGTGTGTGGGTGTGGTGTGTGTGGGTGTGGTGTGTGGGTGTGGGTGTGTGGGTGTGGGTGTGGTGTGTGGGTGTGGTGTGGGTGTGGGTGTGGGTGTGGGTGTGGTGTGGGTGTGGTGTGGGTGTGGTGTGTGGGTGGGGTGTGGGTGTGGTGTGGGGTGGGTGGGTGGGGGGGGTGTGTGTGGGTGTGGTGTGGGTTTAGCGGAGGGGTAGGGGTAGGTTTAGGGGTAGGGGTGGGGTAGTGTTAGGGGTAAGGGAGGGTTAGGGGTATGGTTAGGGTTAGGGTTAGGAGTAGTGGTGGGGTAGGGTTTGGGGTAGGGTTAGGGTTAGGGGTAGGGTTATGGTTAGGGGTAGGGTTACGGTTGGGGGTAGGGGTAAGTTTAGGGGTAGGGGTGAGGGTTAGGCTTAGGGTTAGGATTAGGGTCATGGTTTCATTATCTCAGCAGGAGGAATGGGGAAGGAGAGCAGGGTGTTAATAAGGAGAAGGTCAGCAATAAAACGTGAGCAAAAGAATCTATGTCATAATTCAGTTCTAAACCATAGTAATTTATAGCGTAAATTCTTTTTCACATGACGTATTCTATCCTGGGATAGTCCATATCCTGAGTTATTTTATTTAGTTTGAATAGAGTTTGATTAACCATTTGGCTGTAAAATTCTGCATATTTTGACAAATGCATTGTAGCAGGTATCCCACTATTAAAGTATCATATAGAATGCTTCAAACCCCCACCCCATGGAGCCAATGGCTTCCCATCCGTGTAGTTTGCCTTCTCCAGTGTCTCATTAAATGAGATTACACTGTGTGTATTCTCCTCAGACTGTTTTCTTCCACTTAGCAATGTGCATGCAAGATTCATTCATGTCTTTGTGTGAGTTGATAGCTTGTTCCTTTCTATGACTAAATAGCATGAATGTACCACAATTTGGTTATACATTTTGGGGAGCAAAACCTTCCTCTTCTAACTTTGTTCCAGGGTTGGAGACCTTCAAATTAACCGACTATAAATAAATTAGTAGAAGAGACAATACATGGCTTCTTCTTCCACAAGTATGATTGTGGGACAAAATTCAGCAGATGGCAGGATCCAGTTTACAAAGAGGTAAAATTAGCCCAGAAACAAGAAACAAGACTGGAATCTGATAACCCACAATGGCTATAGTTTTCCTTTAAAAAAATTTTTTTTGATACAGGGTCTGGCTCTGTCCCCCAGGCTGGAGTGCAAAGGTGCAATCTCAACTCCCTGCAACCTCTACCTCCTGGGTGCAAGCGATCCTCCCTCCTCAGCCTCCTGATTAGCTAGGACTACAGGCACATGCCATCATGCCCATCTAATTTTTGTATTTTTGGTAGAGACGGGGTTTCACTATGTTGTCCCGGCTGGTCTTGAACTGCTGGCCTCCCAAAGTGCTGGAATTATAGGTGTGTGCCACCATGCCCGGCCATGTTATAGTTTTCCATTGAAATGTAAAATTTATCTCTGTAGTAACCATTATTTTTGATCATAATCAAAGTAAGACTATTCTTGTTTTAAAAATAAGTCTAGTTTTGTTAGATTTTGCTTGATTATTTATGTAAGTGCAGCAAGAACAGGAGATGACCACGTGGGTGCTTTCAAGTTTCTTTGCTGGAAGTTTTCATACAGAATCTCAGACTTGACTTTTAAAGGCCTTATTCAGGCTAAAAGCCAAGCTAAGAACATACTATCAGATTTCAGCTGCAGTCTTTATAGCTTTGTGTGAATTCCTCTCTTCTTGAGGCCCCCCAAATATCCCTAAATTCCTGGGCCTACTAGGAAATGACCTTCTTTACTAAGCTGTAAGTCTGTGAACCCTGTAATCTAGGTATCAGGCTGGCTTTTCTCAGAGTGCTGTTGGGAATGAAGTTTTTGGTATTCCAAAAAAAAAAGAATTAATATGGGAACGAATGATCTCTTAGCAAGGCGAGCTTTACTTTCTGCAGAAAGGGTGCTACTCAATAGCTGTCCAGCCACAAGAGCACACCAAACAAAGGAGACAGAGTTACTCATAACCTGATGTGTCTACCCTAGTGCTGTGTCCAGGTTCCATTGGCTGGAATAGGACCTCACATTTTACACTTTACCCAGTTGGCTTAGAGTTTAAAACTTTCTTAATTAGGTAAGGGGAATAGAAGAAAGAAAGAAAAGGAAGTTGCCCAGGGATAGTTAAGGAAGCATCTCCAAATAAGGAATGGCATGTACTATGGGCTGGGGCTTGTCTAGTTCTGTCCAGGCATGCTGGAGCAAGCTAGGACAAGTGATTTGGAATACACACACACACACACACACACACACACACACACACACAAAAAAATAGTGGATAGTTGTGACTTCATAATGTTTGAGGAAGAACTTTCCCATTTCTCACAGCACTTTGTAAGCATTGTCTCCATAAAAGTCAACCTTACTTCCTTAAAATTGCTAGTCATAACTGATCTTAGGTACACTTCCTAAATATGATATTCCAGTACAAACCTTGATAATATAACCAAAATTTCCAATTATGTCCTGTTATAAGGTGAATAAATTCTTATTGGACTTTTGCTAACAACTATATCATCGTGAAAATAAGAGTATTCAGTAAGGATTTCAAAATTCTGGAAAAATCAGGCAGGGAAAAAAGATAAATGCTTCATTTCTGTTTACAAAAATATAATCTACTAACTTGTTGTAAGTTACAGTAAGATTAAGAGAGAGAGATTTCTTAAATCCAGAAACTAGAACATTAAAGAACCAGCAATGCTCCAAAAAGCTATAAAATTACAATCAATTTTCATCAGTTCATTCAGTGCCATGTAATCAATTCCAGTCTTTTTGGATCTTGGGTTAGCAGTGTCATGAACCCATCAGTTTCTCAACCAGAGTTCTGGAGACCTTCACTGAGTCAAGTGTATGGTCTTAAAGTTATTTAAGCAATATCATCAGAAGCCTATAACGAGTACGTGTCATAGTCTTTTCCGTGAGTCTCAGAGGGAGTTCTGTGTTGGAGACGAACAGTCTGACTTGTAGCTGATTGCCGGAGCTTTCAGGAAAGCATCGGGGGAAATAATATCTAAATGACAAAGAGTATGAAATGGCTGTGATGAAAGATCTGATGAGAGTTCATTATACCACAGCTGAGAAGGATATTCGATTTTTTCTGTGGCATACAACATTTATTTATTTATTTAGAGACAGAGTCTCACTCTGTCGCCCAGGCTTGGGTGCAGTGGCGCGATCTCGGCTCACTGCAAGCTCCATCTCCCGGGTTCACGCCATTCTCCTGCCTCAGCTTCCCGAGTACCTGGGGCTACAGGCGCCTGCCACCACGCCTGGCTAATTTTTTGTATTTTTAGTACAGACGGGGATTCACCAGGTTAGCCAGGATGGTCTGGATGTCCTGACCTTGTGATCCACCTGCCTCAGCCTTCCAAAGTGCTGGGATTACAGGCGTGAGCCACTGCGCCTGGCACAACATTTAAAATAATAATTGGAATTATGACTCATTACTCTATACTGGCACAGAGCATGGATAAGGAGGACATTGACAAATTTCCAGGAATTTTATATAATTTCTGAAAACAACATTGTACCCATACAAATATAACACAGGGATGGTTAGGTATCTCTTTTTATTTGTATCTTATGTATGGTTTTCCTTATAAAAAATACATCCTACTTTACTTGCAAAACATGCCCTACTTTTCTTGCATGCTTTGCGTAGAGTTGTTTCTAGTTATTCTATTATTTCTACTAGTTTTCTTTACATATATTGACACCACTGGACACCACTGTCAGCAACAGGGCACTGCAGTTGCCGTAGTCGCCAGCAGGGGGCGCACTGGCACAGCACCGTGGGCAAGTGGGTCCTGTAGTGCCCGGCTGCAAGCAGGGAGCGCCCGAAACGGGCTTTTCAGATTACTCAGGTTCCACCTGTCTCTGCGCCGCGCCGCCGGCGACGTGTGTCTCTGCGCTGTACCGCGCCACCCCCGCGGTCCCCGCCCGGCGGCGTCAGACTGTTCGCGTGCAACACGCCCCGCCACCATCAGCCCAGCGACGTGCGTCGGTGCGCCTGCGCCCGCCTCAATCCCGCTCGCCCAGCCACACCTCCCCTCTGGGGACGCGCCGGCGTGCGTCAATGACCTACACCGCGTCTCCCCAACCGCGCCGCGCCTCTGTGCGCCTGCGCGGGCGCGCCGCGCCTCTGTGCGCCTGCGCGGGCGCGCCGCGCCTCTGTGCGCCTGCGCGGGCGCGCCGCGCCTCTGTGCGCCTGCGCGGGCGCGCCGCGCCTCTGTGCGCCTGCGCGGGCGCGCCGCGCCTCTGTGCGCCTGCGCGGGCGCGCCGCCTTTGCGAGGATGGAGTTGCGTTCTCCTTGTTAGGGTTAGGGTTAGGGTTAGGGTTAGGGGTTAGGGTTAGGGTTAGGGTTAGGGTTAGGGTTAGGGTTAGGGTTAGGGTTAGGGTTAGGGTTAGGGTTAGGGTTAGGGTTAGGGTTAGGGTTAGGGTTAGGGTTAGGGTTAGGGTTAGGGTTAGGGTTAGGGTTAGGGTTAGGGTTAGGGTTAGGGTTAGGGTTAGGGTTAGGGTTAGGGTTAGGGTTAGGGTTAGGGTTAGGGTTAGGGTTAGGGTTAGGGTTAGGGTTAGGGTTAGGGTTAGGGTTAGAGGGTTAGGGTTAGGGTTAGGGTTAGGGTTAGGGTTAGGGTTAGGGTTAGGGTTAGGGTTAGGGTTAGGGTTAGGGTTAGGGTTAGGGTTAGAGGGTTAGGGTTAGGGTTAG